>NC_000016.10:27880425-28183455 GCF_000001405.40 Homo sapiens
CACTCCTGCAGTGTGAGTCTGTGAAAAGAGCACAGGGCTTTGAAGCCAACTGGAGCTGGGTTTAATCCCAGCTCTGCAATGACCAGCTGCATGACCTTGGGCAAGTCAATTAACCTCCCTGAGCCTGGATTGTTTATCTGCCTGGAATTATGGAGACAATCGTATTTGCTTTCACAGTGGGTCTCCCCACTAGGAGGAAACCTGGCTTGGTTTATTTGTTTTCTTGAGGGTAGAAACTTTCAGAACCCCTTGGAGGTAGAGGAGAGTCCCCCACTTCCTGCCCCATGAGAAGACTGCTTGCAAGAACCGGTGTTGGCTGCCTGTGGCCAACGACAAACTTTTGTTTTGTGGCTGGAGTGAGCAGGTTGGGGGAAGAGCTACATGCTTGGAAAAATGGAGGGGATTTTTTGATGCTTGGTGCAGGGGAAGAAAAGGAGAGATGAACCTGCTGATGAAGGAGAGGGGACTGGATGCCTGCCCCCCGAGACATCATGCCCAGACTGTCTGAAACAGACTGATCATCTCCCCTCCAGCCCCTTCCACTTCTTCCCTATCTTGGTTAGATCACTGCTCACCCTATTCCAAGCCAAAGGATAGCCGAGGGATCTCCCAGGTCAGGGTCCCTCTGACCATCTGACCCCTTCTCAGAATAATGTTTTCCACTAGATAAAATGAAATACATAGTACAGAAGAAATCAATTACATTGAAATACAGCTAGCAATATATTCAAACAAATTGTTGTATAGGAATTTATGTGCCATTTTGTTAACATATGAAACGGGATTCAGTGGAAACTTTAATAAGTATCATACTTTTTTTTTTTTTTTTTTTTTGAGATGGGGTCTTGCTCTGTCACCCAAGCTGGAGTGCAGCTGTGCGATCTCGGTTCACTGCAACCTCCACCTCCTGGGTTCAAGTGATTCTCCTGCCTCAGCCTCCTAAGTAGCTGGGATTACAGGTGTGCACCACCATGCCCAGCTAATTTTTGTATTTTTAGTAGAAACTGGGTTTCACCATGTTAGTCAGGCTGGTCTCGAACTCCTGACCTCGTGATCCACCCTCCTCGGCCTCTCAAAGTGCTGGGATTACAGGCATGAGCAACCGCACCCGGCCAAGTATCATACTTTTGAAGGAGTGCATTTTGAGATAGCTGCAGCTGTGGTGAGATTTCATGAAAAGTACAGATTACTATTGGTGACTATGTCATGGGTCTCATCCCCACTACTGTGATTTGTTGGAGGAAAGCTAAATGACAGCTAATTTTATGTTAGAAAAATAAAGATGTTATTTCCCCCAACTGGGTTCATGGACCTCCTGAATTCTGTGCACTCCAAGCTAGAAACCCTTCACCTTGACTCTATTTTCCCCTAACCACCCACTCCCACCCGCCTCTCCTAACCAGTCCCCAAGCCCAGCTGACTTTACCTCCTGCACGGTGGACCTGTCCCTGCCCTCACCCATTCTCCACTTAGGCCTTGTTGCTTTGCATCAATATGACTCCTGCAGCCTCCTGGTTGGCCTCCCCACCTCCATTCTTGCTCCACTTCATCTGTGCTCCACCCTGAACCCAGAGAGATCATCCCTGATGTGATTTGGCTGTGTCCCCACCCAAATCTCATCTTGAACTGTAGTTCCCATAATTCCCACGTGTCATGGGAGGGACCCAGTGGGAGGTAATTGAATCATGGGGGCGGGTCTTTCTCATGCTGTTCTCCTGATAGTGAGTCTCACGAGAGCTGATGGTTTTATGAAGAGCAGTTCCCCTGCACATGCTCTCTTGCCTGCCACCATGTAAGACATGACTTTGCTCCTCATTTGCCTTCCACCATGATTGTGAGGCCTCCCCAGCCATGTGGATCTGTGAGTCCATTAAACTTCTCTCTTTATAAATTACCCAGTCTCGGGTATGTCTTTACTAGCAGCATGAGAATGGACTGATACAATCCCCAAATGCAAACCCGACCGTGTTGCCCCTTGCTCCACACTCTTCAGTGGCTCCCTATTGCCTATATGGTAAAATCCAGACTCTATAAAGCACTGAGACCCTCACAAAACTCTCCAGCTTCATCTCTCAACATTCCTCCTCTCCCTACTCCCAGTCTTCCCACCATTTTGAGCTATGTGAAGTTCCCAGAATATGCCGCATCATCAGGCCTTTGCTTACGCTGTCCACTCCACCTGGAATGCCCTCCTCAAGTTGTCCACCAAGCAGACTCTTACTTATTTTCCAAGTCTCACTCAAATGTTGCCTTCCCCATGCCCACCCCACTCATCCCGACTCCCTGGGCAAATGTGGGTGCCCCTCCTGCAGAGCTGTTAACACACCCAGTCCATAGAGGTCAACACACCAAGTTAGAATTGTCTGATGAATACATTTCTCCACAAGATCACAAACTTGGCCAGACGTGGTGGCTCACGCCTGTAATCCCAGTGCTATGAGAGGCTGAAGCAGGAGGATTACTTGAGCCCAGGAGTTGGAGGCTAGCCTTGGCAACATAGCAAGACCCTATCTCTAAAAAAAATTTTTTTTTTAATTAGCTGGTCGTGGTCGGGGGGATGGGGGTTGCCTATAATCCCAGCTACTCAGGAGGCTGAGATGGGAGTATCGCTTGAGCCCTGAAGGTCAAGGCTGCAGTGAGCCGTGATTACACCACTGCTCTCCAGCCTAGGCAACAAAGCAAGACCCAATCTCAAAAAAAAAAAAAAAAAAAAAGAGAGAGAGAGAAAGCCTTCATGAGGGCAAGGACTGAGTCTTTTTCCTTCAACTCCCCCAAACAAGCACAGTGCCCAGTTAGGCCTTCAGTGAATGTAGGTTGAGTAAATAAATAAAAGATGGAGGGGAAAAAAAAAAGAATAAACAAGCTCTCCGTCCTTGGACAGCTGGGGATGGGGTGCATGGGGATGGGGTACATGGGGATGGGGTGCATGGAGGCCAAATCCCACATTGTCTGTGTGTTGTGACAATTGTTCTATTTTTCTTCTTTTCTTTACTGTGATGATTGGATTTCCCACATCCTGGGGATGACAGATTGGCACATTTTGATCTGTGGCATGTGCTCTAACTTCTTGAATGCAGCTCTATTATTTGAAAGATCCCTCTGTCAAATGTACATACCTCAATTAGGAGAGATTACTTCCCTTACCAGGAGGCTCATCGTTTTGGTTTCATTAAATAGAGAGTTCTTCCAATGCGTGAAGAATAGGATTAAATTTATAGAAATTCAATTTACACTCAGCTTTTTAGGAACAAATGTCTTAAACAGCCAAGCCACTGCTCTGTCTGCCAGGCCTCCTGATGTTTTAGTTTATAGGCTTCCTTTATTCCCTTCCTGCGTAATCCCAGCTTAACCCCTGATGACCTGAATCTGCTGCAGCGACCCTGGGCACCTGCCCACCAAATCTAAGTGTTTGCTTGGAATCATCTGTCTCCATCTTCCTGAGTCCTATGATGCAGTTGACTGTCCCATTCTTCCTGAAACCCTCAAAATCGCTGGCTCTGTGGCCTTTTCCCACAATCCCTGCCCAACACACTCTTGCCCTTGAGCTTCCGGATGTGTTTGATCATTCGACTTCCCATGCAGCATCTCCACGTGGAGTTCTCAAAGCCAGATGAGCTCAGGAAGAGGAGCGACGTGCCCTCCACCCCAAAGTGGCTTCTCTTTTACATCCCAGGGAAAGGCGGCACAGTCAGCCTATTCTGCACAACCGCCTCCCTTGCTGATACTGCAGATCCAATCCATCACAGACCATGTGGTACTGATCTCCTGAAGACATCTCAAATTCATCTGCCTCTCCCTCCCACATGTGTTATGCTCCTTGAGGTCTGGGACTGCCTGCTTTTGCTCATTACTATAGCCTTAGTACCTGGTCTGGTGCTTAGCATGTATTAGATGCTCAGTCAATATGCATTGGTCATTTTTTACAAACGATAAAACTGAGGCTCACAGAAGAGAAGCAATTTGTCCAATGCCTCCCGGTTGGTACAACCAGGGCTTACTCCAAGGGCAGCACCCTTTCTCGCCTGTGCTCTGAGAGGCCACAGGACCAGCCATGCCTTACCTGAGAGCACCGTGAAGACAGCCGCGAAGGCATTGAGCTTGAGCCCGTCGATGACATTGCTGGAGTGGAAGAGCTCGAGACACATGAGGCTGAAGCCAACCACCAGCAGCAGAATGTACAGCACCTCGGAGACCACAGACAGCCACAGGACCCCTGTCCAACAGAGGCAGAGAGGCCGTGAGATGAGGGGCCACCCAAGATAGACTCACCCTGTGCCTATTCCTCCCACAACAGCAGAGGGTAGCAAGTCATTCTAGAATAGAACCTGGTTCTGGGGGAGGTCCTGATGGAAGCCTGTCATGGCCGTCCCATCCTTGTCTGCAGGGGCCGGCTCAGGGACCGAAGCTTAAGTCAGCATTCTCTGGATCCTATTACTGGGGAAGAACTTTTATCCTGTGGCTGGACCAAGGGCTCCCTTTCTTTCTCATGGATTAGATGATCACCACTGAGAGCCAGCTTGCCGCCACCAGTTTAGGGTGAAGCTGACACTGTAGACGCAGAGAAGAGTGATGGAACGATGGCCTCATCAGACCAATCACCAGCCCTCGGAGCTGCCCTGTTCTGGGTTTCATGAAATAAACTGCTGTATTGTTAGGCCAGTTAGTGAGAGGTTCTGTGTTACCTCCAACTATACATTTTGTTTTGTTCTTTTTTGTTTGTTTGTTTTTGTGGGATTTTTTTTGAGAAAGGGTCTCGCTCTGTCACCCAGGCTGGAGTGCAGTGGTGCAATCACGGTTCACTGCAGCCTCAAATTCCTGGGCTCAAGCCATCCTACCACCTCAGCCTCTCACGTAGATGGAAATATGGGAGTGCGCCACCAAACCCAGCTAATTTTTTATTTTTTATAGAGATGGGGTCTCGCCATATTGCCCAGGCTGTTCTCAAACTCCTGGGCTCAAGCTATTTGCCTGCCTCAGCCTCCCTAAGTGCTGGGATTACAGGCATGAGCCACCACACCTGGCCCACCTGCAGCTCTAAGTATGCCACCTCACACACACAGCAGGCTTGCCCTCAAGGGTCACCTACACTTTTATCTGCCCTGTATCCTACCCCACATTTTTTCTAGAACCCATCATTGCTACTCCCACACTTCAACCTTGTGGTTCTCCCAGTCAGCCATGTTCTGGTGAGGTCCTGCCCTCCTGGCATAGCTGATTGGTCCAGTATGATTATCTGACTTATAACTGACCAATCAAAGTCTTCCTCTAGGAACCTGCACTTAGAACCACTGAAGTAGACCAGGAAAGAGCAGTTCAGATGAGAGTCTGAGCATTCTGACCACATGAGCACCTGGTTCCAGCTGTTCCTGAAGACCACCTGCACTCCTGTCCTTCCAGGAGTTTGGCAGTTCAAATGTTCTTTGTATTCCCTGAGATAGCACAGCTCCCTTTTCCTACAAATTTGTCCAAATTGGATTACCATCATTTGCCATCTAGTTTAGGGAGGATCTGTTGTTTTTCCTACCCATATTATAATGATTCCTGCATGCTTTTTGCCGGGAGAGACTCTCTGTCTACATGGATGCTTTGCAGCTGACCCACATCTGGGCTCCATGATGGGGACATGACTCAGGTCTAGCCAGTCAGAGTGCCATGTCCCTCCAACTCCAGTCATTGGTTCAGGAGTGAACTTCTCTATGCCTCAGTTCCTTCATCTGTAAAATGGGGGTAATGGCTGGGCACGGTGGCTCATGCCTGTAATCCCAGCACTTTGGCAGGCTGAGGCAGATGGATCACTTGAGGTCAGGAGTTCGAGACCAGCCTGGCCAACATGGTAAACACCCATCTCTACTAAAAATACAAAAAGTAGCCGGGCGTGGTGGCATGCACCTGTAATACCAGCTACTCGGGAGGCTGAGGCAGGAGAATCGCTTGAACCCAGGAGGCAGAGGTTGCAGTGAGCCGAGATAGCACCACTGCACTCCAGCCAAGGCAACAGAGCGAGACTCCGTCTCAAAAAATAAAAAAATAAAATGGGGGTAATAACGCCTGTCTTGCAGTGTTGTGGTGATGTGAGGATTCGGTTGCACAGCAATGTAAGGAGCTTATAAATAGCACATAGTAAGAGCTCAAGTCATTTGTACTATTACAATTTTTTTAGAAGAACATAATGGGGATATATCTAATGGAGACTGGAAATACAGCCCAGGGGCTCTTGACGAGGTCAAGGCTAGAGATAGAGTCAACAGGGAGAAATGAAATTGTGAGGGTACATATGATTTCTGAAAGAAAAAGTAGCGAATAGAAGATGGAACTAGGAACACATCCCCATGGCTTGCCTTCCAGGTCACACTAGTCATGTGGTCTCCCAAGACCCACACTTTAGAGAAGGAACTACGGACCAGGCATGGGCAGTCAGACATGGACCCATGACCCAAGTCTATTCAATGAGACTCAACCTCAGGACTTTTGCAGGAACTACTGGGAAAGAGAAGCTCTCTGTCTCTTTTCTTTCTCTCTTTCTTTCTTTTTTTTTTCTTTTTCTTTCTTAGACAGGGTCTCACTCTGTCACCCAGGCTGCAGCACAGTGGTGTGATCATAGCTCCCAGCAACCTCCACCTCCTGGATTCAAGCAATCCTCCCACCTTAGCCTCCTGAGTAGCTGGGACTACAGGCATGCACCACCATGCCCAGCTTATTTTTATATTTTTTGTAGAGATGGGGTTTCACCATGTTGCGCCGGCTGGTCTCAAACTCCTAAGCTCAAGTGATCATCCTCTCTCAGCCTTCCAAAGTGGTGGGACTACAGGCATGTGCACCATGCCCAGCCCTAGAAGCCTTCTATTTCTACCACGTTTGAGGCTAGAAGGATGTAAAGATGGAATTGACTGAATCACCAGACAGCAAGAGCCTTCCTGAGAGTGAACCCAGTGCCAAGAGAGGCAGAGCCAAGAGATGGAGGAAGATTGCGTCCTGATGACATTGTTTGAGCCCCTAGATCCAGCCATGCCTGAGGCTGCCGGTCCTTTGTTCTTTCAATCACGTGAACCAATTAATTCTTTGTCTTTGCCCATGCCAGTTTGAGGAGAATTTCCATCACAACCAGGAGTCCTTATCTTCAGCTTTTCTTGTCAAACATGTCCTTTTCTAGCTCTCTGCCTTTGCACAAGTTGTTCCTTCCACCTGGAATGTCCCGGGGACATCCAAGAAATACTATTTATCAAATAAAACAAATAAACAGAAAATTCTGAGTCCCCACTTGCTCCCTGATGAAGAACCCAGATGCTGAAACACCCACTATCATTCCTAGCGCAACAGTGCTTTTAGAGTTTCAGAGAACTTTTCTTTTCCTCTTCTTCCCTTTTTTTCTTTTCTTTTCTTTTTTTTTCTCCTCCCTACCAAAATATCACATCTCCTGGGCAATTCCTTGGATTGTTGTAAGAGAATAATGTGCTCTTGGCAGCCTGGATGTTGTTAAAACACCCCCTGGCACCGCACACTCAGAGCCTCCCAGCCCTTCGCTGGCCCAAGGGCCACCAGGCAGCGGGGAGCAAAGCAGGAAATTCAGAGAGCGCTGAGCCTGCAGGAGGGTGGCCGCCCCCAGGAGGTTTCATCCCCAACCCAACAGTCTTTACCTCGGAGATGCTGATGCTCCTATCGCTGGGTTTCCAGCCCCTGTTGGTGCTGGCAGGGACTGCCCCTCATCATGGCGCTGCTCACTGACTCAGCTGCCTCCCCCACGCAGCCCCCACACCCCAGGGGGTGCGTTCAACCCTGCCCACGTGGGCCCCGGGCCAGGACGCTTCCCCCGCCCCTCTCCTCACAGCAGGGCCCAGCTCTGCTCTTTCAGAAGTGATGGGAGATGGGCCAGAGCTTGGAGGTGGGGATGCTCCGGAAGTAACTTAACCATGGGGAAATAGGCACGGGTACCCCGATGCCTGGCGGGGTTGTGGTTCTTTCTTTCTTTTCTTTTCTCCTTCTTTCTTTCTTTCTTTCTTTCTTTCTTTCTTTCTTTCTTTCTTTCTTTCTTTCTTTCTTTCTCTCTCTCTCTCTCTTTCCTTTCTTTCTTTCTTTCTTTCTTTCTTTCTTTCTTTCTTTCTTTCTTTCTTTCTTTCTTTCTTTCTTTCTTTCTTTCTTTCTTTCTTTCTTTCTTTCTTTCTCCGTCTCTCTCTGTCTCTCTCTCTCCCCGCCCCCCTTTCTTTTCTTTCTTTAAGACCGACTCTCACTCTGTCACCCAGGCTGGAGTGCAGTGGCACCATCTCAGCTCACTGCAACCTCCATCTCCCAGGTTCAAGCAATTCTCCTGCGTCAGCCTCCCGAGTAGCTGGGATTGCAGGCACCCACCACCATGCCCGGCTAATTTTTGTATTTTTAGTAGAGATTGAGTTTCACCATGTTGGCCAGGCTTGTCTCGAACTCCTGACCTCAAATGATCCACCCACCTTGGCCTTCCAAAGTGCAGGGATTACAGGCCTGAGCTGCACCCAGCTGGCTTGTGCTTAGATAGATATAGATATAGATATAGATATAGATATAGATATAGATATAGATAGATATACAGATATATAGATTTTTTTTGAGACAGGATCTTGCTCTTTGTCCAGGCTGGAGAGCAGTGGCATGATCATAGTTCACTGCAGCCACTAACTCCTGGGCTCAGGCCATCCTCCTGCCTCAGCCTCCGTAGTAGTTGTGACTAAAGGTAAGTGCCACCATGCCCAGCTAATTTTTTTATTTTTTATTTTTGTAGAGACAGGGTCTCACTATGTTGCTCAGGCTGGTCTCGAACTCTCAGCCTCAAGTGATCCTCCCGCCTCGGCCTCCCAAAGCGCTGAAATTATAGGTGTGCCCAGCCGAGTTGTGCTTTTCCAGCTAGATTGCTAGATTTATTTCCTTATCTTCTTACTGGGCTCGGGAGCATCCGTCTGAGAGTTTCAGCCCACTCCAGCCAAGGAAATTAATAACAATAACGATTGTTCTTGTCGTTATAATTGTCACAATAAGGGCTGACAGTTATGAGGTCTTTATTATGAGCCAAGTCAAAAAGGAGGATGTTGATGTCCCGCCCAATCTCCTAGGCTCTCTTTTTAGAGTTTCTGTCTTTGGAGGATTGTCTTTGGGCAACCAGAGCCCATTTTTTCTATCTTTGTTCAGAAAATGGGAACTTATATTTCTCTCTTAGCCGCCATCAATGCATGACTGACCAGCAGGGTCCTGTCCTGTGGCTCTGGCTAAGACAACTCTGAGCTGTGACCCACACTACAAAGCCCCCATGGGGTCAGACTGGCCTGACAGCACCCCTTGCTTTCTGTTCTCCCTTCCCTGTCCTACAGCTTCAATTCCCTTACCAGTCTCCCCAGGGAGCATTTCCTTCACCAATGACTTTGCACCCAAATCCTCATCCTATGCTGCGCCTCTAGATAATCTGATCTTAGACACAAAAATTTATGTGGATTATATCCCCGAATCTTCCTAACAGCCTGCAAGGTAGCAACGTATCACCCGTTTTGCAGACAACAAAACTCAGCTTCTGAGGGATTAAGCAACTGCTCTATACACCTAGGTAGTGGCATAGTCTAGATTCAAACTCATGCCTCTCTGCCTCCAGGAACCATGGTCAGCAAGGAGGCTGTCGTCAGGACAGAGTGGCCACTTGGAGACCATATTCTCCCTCTGTTAGCAGGTTGTTGCCACCGGTCTGGCTGTGGGGCGTAGGATTCCCTAGTCAAGGCTCTTATTCAAGATATTCTCTGGAGTCCCAAGCAATTCTGGAACCAGGTGTCCAGAAGAGGACGGCCGCTGAGTGGGATGGAATGGCCCTTCGGTTCTCAGGGATGCCATACCAGCCAGCCACCAGGCATGATGGGGAAGGAGGTCACAGGGTAGAGAAGGCAATCTGGAGGATTCTTGGAAGCCAGGTTGGGGAAGCTGGACTTGACCTGAGTTCAGGGGCAGGTGAGGGGCTTAGCCAGGGAACTCTGTATGCTGAGAGGAGAGTGAAGAATGGATGGACAGGATGGAAACAGTTCTTGGAGGCTTCCGCTGCACTCCATGCAAAAGATGACGGTGGCCTGGACTGTGGCCACAGTGGGAATGAGGACAAGTAGATAAACTGATAACCCCTGAGGGGTGGACTCAGTGGGCTGTGCACCTATGAACCTGGTGGCAAAGGAGAGGGAGGAGGCCACACTGGTGCCATGTTCCTAGCTTGGACACGTGAGCAGATGATGGCATTCTTCACTGAGTGTGGAACAGTGCTAAAGCAGGAGGACAATGACATGCAGAGCCTACATGAGCCGTGGAACATCCAGAAGGAATGTCCATGAGCTGGAGCTCAGACAGGTGGGGGGCACTGGCAAGACTCAGCACTCCCTGTGTATCTGCTGTGATTGTCAGAAGGTAGTTGGAGTCAACAGGATGCCTCTGAACACATGTGGGAAGTGGGATTCCAGGGGACATCAATACTTAAGGGGAGGGAGCAGTGGCAGGGGGCTGTGGAAGTGCGGCAGACACAGCCGGTGCGGTGCTCCCAGCCTGCCCACGGCCCTTGGGGGCACATTTCCACCTGCTGGCGCCTGTGTCTCTCTGCTTGGGGGCTTGCCCTGGCCACCAGAGCCCACCTCCACCCAGCTTTGAGACAGGCTGGACATGCCGGGGGACGTACACCAACCTGCCCCCATCCCCAGAAGCAGCCGTCCCCCCGTGCCAAGTGTAAGCTGGTGAATAAGTCCCAGAAGCTGGGTGCCACTGGGGGCTGTGAGCTACGCATTCCTGTTTCCCACCAGGGGACGAGTGCTTTAAAGTGGTGTTGAATCACAACGTTAAACTGTCAGAACCAAAGAGTGAAAAAGTGATTCTCTTTTCCCTGATTTTTAGCATTCTTATTACCTCAATCAAAAGAATCTCTGTGTGGTGCTAATAGGTCCTTAACACCTTTCTAACACTTGTCAATTTTTTAAAGCAAAGACAAGGCCGGCCTCAGACTCAGAATCTTCCATAGTTTCTAGCCATACTGTGTAACTTTTTTTTATTATTTGTTATTATTAATTATTCATTTTTGAGACAAAGTCTTGCTTTATCACCCAGGCTGGAGTGCATTGTGCAGTGGCTGGATCATGGCTCACTGCAGCCTTAACCTCCTGAGCTCAAGCGATCCTACCGCTTCATCTTCCCAAGTAGCTGGAACTACAGGCACTCACCACCACAACCCACTAATTTTTAATTGTTTTGTAGAGACAGGGTCTCACTATGTTGCTCAGGCTGGTCTGAAACTCCTGGGCTCAAGCGATCCTCCTGCCTCAGCCTCCCAAAGCACTGGAATTACAAGCGTGAGCCACCGTGACTGGCCTCAGATTCTCTTAACCCTTCTCACTTCTCTGTAAGGAGTTCTTTCATTCAAGTGTCTTCACTTGAACTATTTGGGGGATTCTGTTTTCTGCAGGTACCGTCAGTGACAGATCTTTTTTTTTTTTTTTTTTTTTTTTAATGCAAGGGACTCTGATTTCCAGTGAGAGTGGTGATCTAAGCCAGTGGTCTCAGCACACACTGAGTGCCCCACCAGCACCACCGGACTCACCTGGGCACTTGTGGTGCAAATTCTCCGGCCCCAGCCCAGACCTGTGGAATCAGAAACTCTGAGAGTAAAAATCATTCTGTTTGAATGGGCCCTACAGGTGATGTTGATATGCAGTCCAATTTGAGAACCAGGAATCTAAAGTCCCATTTTTAAATGTACATGTAAAAAATGAGGCCGAATGCAGTAGCTCAAGCCTCTAATCCCAGCGCTTTGAGAGGCCGAGCTGGGAGGATCACTTAAGCCCAGGAGTTCGAGACCAGCCTGGGCAATATAGGGAGACCTCATCTCTACAAAAATTTTAAAAATTAGCCAGGCATGGTGGCGCGTGCCTGTAGCCCCAGCTACTTGGGAGGTTGAGGTGGGAGGGATCACTGGAGCCCAGGAGGTTGCGGCTGCAATTAGCTACGATCCTGTCGCTGCACTCTAGCCTGGACAACAGAAGCGAGACCCTGTCTCAAAAATAAAAAAAATGAGTCACCTTGGCCGGGCTTGGTGGCTCACGCCTGTAATCCCAGCACTTTGGGAGGCCGAAGCAGGCAGATCACCTGAGGTCAGGAGTTTGAGACCAGCCTGGTCAACATGGTGAAACCCCGTCTCTACTAAAAATACAGAAACCCCGTCTCTACTAAAAATACAGAAATTAGCCAGGTGTGGTGGTGTGTGCCTGTGATCTCAGCTACTCGGGAGGCTGAGGCAGGAGAATTCCTTGAACCCGGGAGGTGGAGGTTGCAGTGAGCTGAGATCGCGCCATTGCACTCCAGCCTGAGTGACAGAAGGAGACTCAGTCTCAAAAAAAAAAAAAAAAAAAAGTCACCTTAAGGAAAAACTAAGTCAATGCTAGGAAAGAAAAGTAGGTGTTGGCATCAGGCAAATAAAAGGTGGTATGGGAATAATTAAACATTCGGGAACCAATGCAGAATGCCTGGCCTGTGATGAACACTCACTTTTCTTCTTAGTGCTGTGGAATGCAAGCTCGCGGAAGGACAGGAAGTCAGAACAGACCAGTCTCTCAGCAGGCCCGGCAGAGCCTCGCCTTAGTGATGCCGGGAAAGCCTCCATAATGGTGGGGATGATTGTCCCAAGTCTCCGAAACTTGCGCTAATGGTTCAATTTGCGGCAGAGAACAGGTGACCTCCAGGGGGCAGAAGGAATGAAATGATTTCTCATCAGGTGTGGGGCCAGGAGTTGACAACTGATCCTGTTAGCTGCACTCTTTGCCTTTTTAAAAAACAGCTTTGTGATGCCAACTCTGACCCTTCATTGCTGGGATTGATGGGTTTGCAGAAATGATTTCCCATTTGCCTTGGATCCCTCCCTTGCTGAGAGAGCTTCCAGGGCCAGATCCTTGACTGAGTGAAAAAACATAGGTGGGAACTGTGTCTCGGCTGTGTGACATTGAGTGGTCCTCTGCCCGTAGGGTTCCTCATTCCTAAAATGGGCATAATTGACTTGTTGCACGCAGTAAATGAGACAATACCTGTAAATCACACAAGCCCGACATTTGGAAAGAGTTGAAGAAAGTTAAGTATGACTATTTCTTGCTAATAAGTGTCATTATTCACAACTATAATAATTTTTCCTTTTCCTTTTTATTTTTTTAGAGACAAGGTCTCAGTCTGTCACCCAGGCTGCAGTGCAGTGGCACAATCAAGGCTCACTGCAGCTTCAACCCAGGCTCAAGAGATTCTTCTGTCTCAGCCTCCCGAGTAGCTGGGACTACAGACATGCACCACCATGCCCAGCTAATTTTTTATTTTCATTTTTTATTAAGACACAGGGTCTCACTCTGTCTCCCAGGCTAGAGTGAAATGGCACAATCATGACTCACTGCAGCCTTGAACTCCTGGGCTCAAGCGATCCTCCCACTTCAGCCTCCCAAGTAGCTGGAACTACAAGCATGCACCACTACATGCAGCTAATTTTCTTATTTTTTCTAGAGACAAGGTCGCACCCTGTTGCCCAGGCTGGTCTCAAACTCCTGGCTTCAAGTTATCCTCCAGCCCTGGTTTCCCAAAGTGCAGGGATTATGGGCATGAGCCACCAACCCTGGCCAGCAATTGTAATAAGAGGTGGTAAGGCACTGAGAAAGATTGAGGACCTGGACCAGGTGACCTTAGCTCCATCAATAACTAGATGTGAGACTGGGAAAAGGATACATCGCCATTGAACCTCAGTCTTCTCATCTGCAAATTGGGCATACATGAAGCAGCCAGCCCATGGACTGTTGTGAGGATTAAGTGAGTTAATTAATGAGTAAGTGCTTAGGACAACACCTGTCCTGTCTAAGGTGCCCATTAGCTGTTACCGTTGTTGTTATTCCTAAAGGGAAGTAGCCAAGGAGGATTAGGAAACCGGAACAAGTGCATTATCAGCCACTGGACAAATAAAACCTTTATGAGGATCAGAGGGGAATTGTTGCAAAGTCATATGAAGTCTCAAGACACAGTGGCCTTTCAAGAGAAAACACCTTTTTTCTCAAAAAATCCATCAGTTTAATACATCAAATCAATAAGGCACGGCGCAGTGGCCGCTGGCTGTGAGATGGGTGACAGGCCCCCTGATACCGAGCATGTTGAATCATGTAGATGATGTGGACTGGGACCTCGGGGGCTGGCAACGTCTCTGTGGCAGCTGCTGTTTGCAAAATGTCAATATGGGAAGCTCAGAGGCAGGGATGTACCGGCGCTGGGAGGAAAAGGCCAGAGGCCATGGAGAGCTGTAGGGAGGGACTTCTGGGGTCACTGAGCCCCCAGCCCTTGTTCTACAGATGAGAAATCTCAATGCAAAAAGGAGTCAGGACTTTCCCATGTCACAGAGTAAGTCAGGAGCAGAGTCGGGTGGGAGGCACTGTTCCACCTCCCAGGCTATTTCCTGTTGTGTGTCTGGGGGCAAGGTTGGTTCTATTAGAGGCATGAGGATTGAGGTTCGAGGGGGAAAGGGCTGTCTGGAAGAGAGAACTACAGTGAGACCAACAGATGGTGGCTCCACTGTACATCAGCAGCCCTGAGTTCAAACCCTGATGCTACAAACCTCGGGAAGGTCCCTTTGCTGCTGTGAGCCTCAGTTTCCCTCTCCGCAGAGTGAGTAGATTCTCAAACAAGCTGCCAACAGGCTGAATCCAGCCCACAGAAATGTCTTGTTTGGCCCACACAGTATTTTAAAAATATCTGAATTCATTATCAACATTTAAAAATAGGAGGCTTCACATTAAAAAAATCCAGATTTCTGGATTCGTTTGCAAAATGGGCAAATGCACAATACTGGAACTGCATCATCACGTGATGATGGCTGTGGGGCTGAGCTGGGGCTGCCCTCCTCAGACAGGGGACACGGATCCCACCCGGTGCCCCTCAACCCTTCATGCGTCTTGCCGGGCTCTCAAGAGCATTCGAGTTTCCAGCCTTGTCTCCCTATACGACGAAATCAGTCATTTCTATCTCCGATACTGCAGCCGTGCAACATTTTAAGACCCTGTATGGACCCCTGATATCTACAGATAGGGGTGAAATATCCTGCAAACCTTTCCCCATGGTCCAGGGTTCTAACAAACACCACACAATCCCATAACTCAATTTTCAGAGTTAGAGGAAAAGGAAAGACATTCAGCTCAGACGCCTGAATTGACTTTCTAAGCCAAGGGCATGGATCTGACAGCTGTTCCCGAAAGTTCTCTTGTCCAGCCAGCCCCAAATCCTTTCCAAAAAGTCCCAGAGAGGGCGAGTGAGTTGCCCAAGGTCACGACGCTCACTCGGAATCTTCCTTTAATAAGTCCGGAAAGCTTTTATGCTTTGACTCCAGGTCATAGTAGAGACCCTCAGTGGATACTTTAGTGGGATGGGCAAAAAGGTAGGGCAACAGAGCACGTGGGGATGTGATTCCATTCCGATGCCAATCGGCATGCTACCGTGGAAACACAGGCCTGGAGATGACTGTTTTCTGCATAACCATCTTGTCTAGAGTCTCAATCCTCAAAGGGAGGTCTACAAACCAGCAGCGTCAGCATTCCCTGGGACCCTGGAGAAAATATAGAATCTCTGGCCCCTCCCAGACCTACTGACTGAAGACCTGCATTGTCATCAGGTCCCTAGCTGACTCCAAAGCACATAGGAGTGTAAGGAGCACTGGCCTAGGGGGTCACTCCAATGGGTGGGGCATGCTGGAGGCGTGCGGGAAATGAGATGTTCAGCCTGCAGCTGTACTTCCTTCTGGTGGGTGCTCAGGGTGGAGATGGGCAGGACTGCTTGGGAACCATGTGTCAAGGGCATTGAATGCTGCACTAAGACATTTGAATGTGACTAAGCCCCTGGGGCTGGCTGAATAAGGGCTCTCAAAGGTGTCCCCTTCCTAATCCCTGGAAGCTGTTCACTTCCAGGATACGTTACCTTGCATGGCACAAGGGACTTTGCAGACATGATTAAGATCTTGAGATGGAAGGATAAATAGCTAATGCACATGGGCCTTAATACCTAGGTGATGGGTTGATGGGTGCAGCAAACCACCATGGCACACGTTTACCTATGTAACAAACCTGCACATCCTGCACATGGATATTGGAACTTAAAATTAAATTAAATTTTTTAAAAAGTCAAAGGTCGAAGGCATAGAAAAAAAAGATTTTGAGATGGGGAGATTATCCTGATATCTGGGTTGGCCCAGTGTAATCACAAGGGTCATTATGACAGGGAGACAGGAGGGTCAGAGACAGAGAAGGAGATGCAATGGGAAAAGCAGAGGTTGCAGTGATGCGGGGCCATGAGCCAAGGAATGCAGGCGGCCTCTAGAAGACAGAAAGGGCAAGGAGACAAGTTCTCCCCTTGAACCTCCAGAAAGGAACACAGTCCGGCTGACACTTTGGTATTTTGTTGTTGCTTTGTTTTGTTTGAGACAGATTCTCGCTCTGCTGCCCAGGCTGGAGTGCAGTGGCACGATCTCAGCTCACTACAACCTCCGCCACCTAGGCTGAAGCGATTCTCCTGCCTTAGCCTCCCGAGTAGCTGGGATTACAGGCGTACACCATCATGCCTGGCTAATTTTTGTATTTTTAGCAGAGACAGTGTTTCACCATTTTGGCCAGGTTGGTCTCAAACTCCTAACCTCAGGTGATCCCCCCACCTCGGCCTCCCAAAGTGCTGGGATAACAGGCATGGGCCACCACGCCCAGCCAACACTGATTTTTAAGTCTCATCTTGGAATTCTGACCTCAAGAACTGTGAGATAAATCCATATTGTTTCAAGGCACTAAATTCTAAATTTGTGGAAATTTGTTACATCAGCAAGAGGAAACTAATACACCTCCTTTTTTTCTTCTTCCTTTTTGAGACAGGGTCTCGTGCTATCACCCAGGCTGGAGTGCAGTGGTGGAATCACAGCTCACTGCAACCTCCAACTCCTGGGCTCAAGTGATCTTCCCACCTCAGCCTCCCAAGTCTCCAGGACCACAGGCACGTTCTATTGTGTCTGGGTAATTTTTTAAATTTTTTGTAGAGATGAGGTCTCACCCTATTGCCCAGGGTGGTCTCAAATTCCTGGCCTCAAGTAATCCTCCTCTGTTGACCTCCCAAAGTTTTGGGATTACAGGCATGAGTTACCATGCCCAGCCAACTTCCTTTCTTTGTTCAAAATCACTTCCTCCCCGAACCACCCTAGCCCGCACTGTGGCCCCCACCATGGCCCCTAGATCGACCTTAGCAAAGAAGGAAGCTTCTCTACCACCTCCACAGAGATACCTCGCTGTGGTGGGGTGAGCCTGGACTTGAGGTCAAACAGACATGGATTTGACCTTGGCCTTTTCCTAACCTCTCTGAGCCTCAGTTTCTTTGGCTATAAAACAGAGTCCACACTACCAATCTCACAGGATTTTCTGGGCAACTTTAATGAGGGAATGGCTGCAAAGCCCCCATCTAGTTCTTGGAGCATTCTAGGTCCTCTGTAAACGGCAGCCTATGAAGCTGATGGGCTGGGCCCAGAAAAACAAGTCCTTTCTCCTCCACACTCAACAACTGAACAAACTAGTTTATCATTGGAAAGGATTTTGACAATGCCTCTGGCCCCTAGAGTTCCACAAGCCTCCAGGCCTTGTCAGTTCAGAGACGTCTCTGGCAGACGTGCCCTTTAGAAATGGCTCTTTTGGAATCTGGGGACAGTTGCTGAGCCTGTGAGATATGTCACGGTGACCTTGGCCTTCAGAATCAGATGACAATTATTTTTCTTCCCCTTCAGAATTCAGCACCTGACTTTGAAAATAAGCACTGGCCCACACAGGCTGGGGGCCTGGAGATGGGTAGTAGGAACCTGGTGGGAAGAACTTTGAAGTCCAAGGTAGAGATCTGGCCCCAAAAGCCCCACCCGCCCACCCACCCCCTGCGAGGTCTTCTTGGGCAAGTCCTCTCATCTCTCCAGGTCTCCTTTTTCCCATCTCTAAAAGGGGGCTGCTGTGAAGGCAGAAGCACGAGAAAGGGGAAGGGAGAAGTCACAAACTGGCTCAAAGACAGGTTTTTGAGATTTTTTGTTTTGTTTACTGTTTGCTTTGTTCCCTCCCCTGTCTTCCTCCTCCTCTTCCTCCTCCTCTTTCTTCTCCTCTCTCTGTTTCTCTCTCCACTTGACCTTAGCCAAAAGGCCAAGAAGTGATCTCTCTCTATCTCTTCTCCCTTTCTGCCTCTCTCTTCCTCCCTCTTTCTCTCTCTCTCTCTCTCTCTCTGTCTCTCTCTCTCTCTTTCTCTCTGGGTGTGTGTGTGTGTTTCTCTGTCTCCCTCTCTCTTGGTACATGTGATATTTCTAAAAATTTGAATTAGATGTCATGCCAATATTTAAAAATGGGAAAATCACAAGAGAATCTAGATTCTTTTGAAAACATGGAAGACCAGGGCCATATTCCCACATGGAAATAGTGGCTGGGCAGAGTGGCTGCTGCTCCCTTTACCGAGGGCAGGTGCTGTCTAGTTTGCTGCAGTCCTCACCCCTCCCTATTGTTTGCCACCACAAAGGCTGAGGGCTACAGCCCAGGGAACCAGCTCAGCGTGCAGGCAGTGAGAGGGAAGAAAGTGTGCAGTCAGGGAGGACACAGATGGGCAAGGCTCGGGGAGGAGGCTGGCATGGGAGGCCAGGAAAGGCCCTCCATGGGAAGCGCCCCCAGACATCTGCTGATTCCCGTCACCTGCTGCTACCCTTGAAAACACATCTGTGAATATGATCTGGGACTGCTCAGTCTGGAACATAGCGGAGAAAAGCAGGAAAGCATTTACCCGCTGCGAGTTGGCAGTGTAGCCCAGTGTTTAAGGGCACGGCCTGGGGAGCCAGGTCACCTGCAGGCAAACCCCGGCTGTGCTAGGGACTTTCTGTGTGGCCTCAGACAAGTTACCTCGCCTCTCTGAGCCTCGATTTCCTCACCTGACTCACAGGTGAGGAATTACATGAAACAGGTAAAGAGGCATCACTGGCTGGGCACAGTGGCTCGTGCCTGTAATCCTGGTATTTTGGGAGGCTGAGGCGGGAGGATCGCCTGAGCCCAGGAGTTCAAGGCCAGCCTGGGCAACACAGTGAGACCCTGCCTCTACAAAAATTTAAAAAATTAGCCAAGTGTGGTGGCGTGCACCTGTGGTGGTAGCCACTCAGGAGGCTGAAGCAGGAGAATTGCTTGAGCTCGGGAGGTTGAAGCTACAGTGAGCTATGATTGTACCACTGCACTCCAGCCAGGGTGACAGAAGGACACCCTGTCTCAAAAACATAAATAAATAACAACAAGACACGTGTAAAGAGGCATAACCCAGGGTTCACTCCCGATAGACTTCAATATGCTAGCTGTCCCCATTTTAACAGAGGAGAACAGATTCTGTCTTGGAAAGAACAAAGAAAAAATCCTCAGCTGCCTCAAGCCTGACAGAGCCAGACTGAGTGGGTGGTGGGGAGGTACTGTCCAACTGGGTGATGTGGATTCCACATTTGCCCAGGATCTCAAGACCAGGCAGGCTTCAGCCTCCGCTCCTTGCCTCTCTGCACCTCCGTTGCTGAATCCAGGGTCCCCTGTGGCCTGATGGTACTCCAACTCAGTCTCCCCATCCTGAGCACTAATGCAATTGTCCTTCCTCCTCAATCTCACCTGAAAAACAGCAGTGACTGCACAAACCCAGACACTGTTTCCTGGGAATGCAGACAGAACAGGACTTGGATCCAGTCCTCCAGGAACCCCAAATTGAACCTGCGGGGTGAGACACACACCCAGTGACAACCACGCTCTACAGCACCCACGGAGGGCCAAGCACCGAGCTGGCACCCTTTTGACAAATAGAAACTCAATTCATCTCCACAACCACTCTATGCCTTGGGTGCTATTACCATCTCCACGTCATGGAGGTGAGGAAGCTGAGGCAGGTGAAGAAGTTAAGTCCCCATCCCAGGGCCATAATGGGCAAGTAAGTGGCAGAGCTGGGGTTCAGAGCCTGGTCAGCCCAGCTCCCATGGCACGAGAAGCCCAGCTGGCCTCAGAGCACCTCCCTGATGCCTGCTTGGGGGGCCTGGCTGGTTCCTTCCAAGTATTTGAGGTAGGGGCTACCAGGCTCCATCTTCCAGGTAAGGACACTGAGGCAGAGAGAAGGAAAGAGATTCACCCAAGATCCTGCAGCATTGGCAAGGGGAGTTAGGAATGGTGCCTACGTCTATCTGAGCCTCCCTCTCCAGCTCTGCACCTTTTCCAGGACATGGACCCTTTGGCATCTGGTGAAGCCTCATGGACCCTTACTCCTAATGATGTTTTTCAATGCATAAAACAAATACAGGCAGAATTGCAAAGAAAGCCAATTATATTGGAATGGAATTATCAAAACATTAAAAAAAAAAAAACAGATACATAGGCCGAGCATGGTGGCTCATGCTTATAATCCCAGCACTTTGGGAGGCCATGGTGGGTGGATCATCTGAGGTCAGGAGTTCAAGACCAGCCTGGCCAAAATGATGAAACCCTGTCTCTACTAAAAATACAAAATTTAGCCAGGTGTGGTGGCATGCTCCTGTAATCCCAGCTACTCAGGTGGCTGAGGCAGGAGAATTCCTCAAACCCGGGAGGTGGAGATTGCAGTGAGCTGAGATCACACCACTGCACTCCAGTCTGGGTGACAGAGCGAGACGCTGTCTCAAAAAATAAATATTTAAAAATTAGAAGTATATTAGTACACATACTTCTTGATTGACACAGGATATAACAAGATCTAGTGCACGTCTAATAACTACAATCATTTCAAAGCAGTGAGCAGGGAAGCCGTATTTCAAGATATCTGCAACCCCTATAAGGTGTGGTGGAAAAAATCTGTGATTTCGATTGGTGTCAAAGCCCCAGGTGCATCTAGCCCACTGAGGTTTGTTGCCACCACACGTCACAGAGGAAGATGCCAATGGCCAGTGACAGGCTAGTGAGAGTTAACGTGATCCTGCCACCTCAGTTCTTAGATCCTGAATCCTGTCCACTTGGCCACCTGGGAACATCCAGGTTAACCAACTCTGCTATTGTTTCTTGGCTAAGGCAGAATGAAGAATCTCTGCTACAGGAGCGGTTCTCAAGTTTGTGCATGCATGTTAAAATGCAGATTCCTGGGCTGGCCCCTGTGGAATCTGATGCTGCAAGTTTGGGAAGAGGCTGGGATCTGCACTTCGAGCAAGTGCCCCAGGTCGTTCAGATGCACGGGCCATTTTATGAGAAAGAGTTACCTTTCAGAAATGTAAATACCATCGGGTCTCTCTCCTCCTGCAACCTTCTGGTGATGCCCCGTAGTGCTTGGGATAAACCCCAGCTCCGTGCCTTGACATTTGAGTTTCTACCAGATTGTCAGACCACTGCCTACCCTTTGTCATCCCCTGTCCCTCCACACTCCAGCCTCATGGGCAGCTCCCTTCCTCCAAAGCCACCTCAGGGCCTTTGCACTTGCTGTGCCCTTGGCCCAGTGTTCTTCCCCCAGCGTCACTTGGCCGGCTGCTTCCCAGCTCAGATGACCCCAACCCCTCCATTTAAAGCAGCCACCACTGCCGTCACACACAGTCACTTTCGGTCCTTCCCCCTATTGTACTATCCCCTCTGCCCTCCTGGTTATTGGAAGTGGTGTTATTCACTGGTTTACTGAGGTCTGGTCTGGCAGGATGTTGTCTGTCTGTCCAGCACCCGCTCCGGGAACCACATCTGGCTCTGGCATGGGTGGCGCTCAGCAAAGAACTTGCTAAATGAATGAGTGAAGAAATGCCACCAGCCAGGAGGAAAAGGAGATGGCCAGAGTTGTTCAGCAGCAGAGAGGCCGAGGGAAAAAACTGCTTCCAGGAGAAGGGAGCCGCTGTCATGAATGCCACCAAAAGGTCAAGGGAAATGAAGACTGAGAGATGAGAAAAGGCCACGGGCTTTGGCGATTGGAACCCCTCTGGTGACATTTGTGGGGAGGGAAGCTGATTCCGCAGAGAGGCCGATGCCAAGGGGGAATCTGGCTTCAGGAGGTGGGGAAGGAGGGGGTGGTGAGGCTGGCAGTGCAGACCCCGCGGGTGCCGATGATGAGACGGGAGGTTCGCCCAAGCTTCAGAGCAAGGGGAGGGAGAGGGGGGGCCGCTGGTGCAGGAGGCTTTGGTCATCTGTATTCACTGACTCACTCATTAATTCACTTTCAGCAGGGAGGGATGGGGAGGGGACAAGAGCAGGGCTCTGGAGCCAGGCAGGGTGTGATCACATCCCACCTCCTCCGCTTACCAGCAGGGTGCCTTGGGCGTTATTTAAATCTGGCTGGATCTTGGTTTTCTCATCTGTAAAATGGAATGAAAACGATGTCCGCCTTAAGGGCTGCAGTGAGGCTTTAGTGACACATGCGGGAACAGGACAGGGTACCCAGAGAGTAGCCAGCAAGTGCCCAGCGGGTACCATCTTTTGTTTCCTATTGCTGCTCAATGTCGGGTGCCATGCTGCAGCTGGGAGGTGGCAGTGGAAGGCAGCTTTCAGTATGAACCACAGAGACAAGGACACAGCCAGGCAAAGCAGTGGCGGCCAGGCGAGCCGAGTGACCAGAGGCTGCAGGGATCCAGAAGGGACCAGCCTGGCTCAGGCACAGGAGTCCCAGGGGTTTCTGGAGGAGGAGCTGGAGGAGGTCTTGAAGGACAAGGGGGAGTCCAGCAAGAAGAACGAGACCCAGGGGGCGGGAGCCTGGAGCTGGTGTGGCTGGACCCAGAGGCCAAATCCTGGGGGCTAGGAGCCCGCAGAAGAGGCTACTTGATCCCCAGGCAGCAGGGAGTTGTGGGAAGCCTCCCGCCAGGGAGCAACGTGGTCGGACCTGGGTACCCAGTATTCCCTCTGGCTGCCACACAGAGAGAGAGAAGTGGGCCTGGTGTCAGTGCTGCCCTGTGGGGAGACTTCTGCAGGGCTCCCTGGAAGCAGGGGCAACTGTCTGGATGGTGGAAACCACAGCCAAGACAGGGGAGAGGAGACAGACTGCCCGTGGGAGGCAGAGTAGAGTCGTCCCCTGCGGACCCCGGGTCACTTTCCTCTGATGTGTGTCCCACAAGGACGAGTACTAAAGGGGGCTGCAGAACGCCCACCTACCTCCATCAACTTTTCTTCCCACCTCTCCACCAAAGCCCATTTTGAGTGCATGGTGGAGGGGGCTCCAGATGCTCAGATGCCCCCCCTTGGGGCCCTGGAGGGAGAGTGGCCTCAAAGCTGCAATGAGCCACCAGGGACCAAATCCTCCAGGGCAGGCCAGAAGTCAGGGGCTTGGCGGACAGAGTGCAGTATCCTGGCACCCAGATTTGGAAGTCCCAGCCCCAGGAAGTCCCCCAGTCAAGACAGAGACCCCCCACCAAGGTCCTATGAAGACACTGAGTGTGAGCCCCAGCTGACTCGGCATTCACTTACCTGTCAGAGCCAGCGGTCACCTGTACAATGGCCGTTAACTCCCCCTCACTTTCGACCCTGTCTTCTGCCCCCTTTCCCCTTGCTCACCTTCCTCCAGGCACCCTGGCCCACTTGCTGTTGCTGAAACGTGCCAGGCACACTCTTGCCTTGGGGACTTTGCACTTGCTGCTCCCTCTGCATGAAATGCTGTTCCCCTGTGTCTCTCCACCTGCCCTAAGGTTTTGGAGGTTTTTTTTATCACCCAGGCCAGAGTGCAGTGGCCTGAATTGTTCACTGTAACCTTGAATTCCTGGGCTCAAGCAATCCTCTCCTACCTCAGGCTCCCAAGTAGCTGGGACCACAGGCACATACCACCATGCCTAGCTAATTTTTAATTTTTTTGTAGAGATGGGGTTTGGCTATATTGTCCAAGCTGGTCTTAAACTCCTGAGGTCAAGTGATCCTCCTGTCTCAGCCTCCCAAAGCGCTGGGATTATGGGTGTCAGCCACCATGCCCAGTCTTCTAAGTTTTGCCTAAATGTCACTTCTCAGTGATGTCTTCCCTGATCCCACTATTTAAAATTGCCGATGCCCCTCCCCAATACTCCCTAGCCCCCTTTCCTTTTTATTTTTTTCCCTAGCATGTATGACCATTCAGCAGCCAAAAGGATCTTTCTAGAATGTAAATCGAATCTCCCCTCCATAAATCCCTCTAATGTTCCAATGGTTTCCCATCATACTCAAAGTGAAATCCAGGTTTCTTCCAGGGCCCTAAGTGACCTGGCCCCTGCCCACCTCTCCTGCCTTATCTCCCTCCCCTTCCTTCCTGAGGCTCCTTTCCAGCCACAAAACTCATTCCCACCCCAGGGCCTTTGCACATGCTTTCCCCACCTCTGATGGAAACACGATTACAAGACATCTCTCACTTTCCTCCTTAAGGAAAGGTACAAGCACAGTCATAAATGGGGGTGAATGCTCTGCTTCCGTGTCAAGAAAAGCACAGAAAGTCATGGCAGCTGCAGCCACCTGGAGGGGTCACATTCAGGGATGGTCACATCCCAGGAGAAGCCACAGCCGCAGCCGACAGGTGGGAATATGCACTCGGGGTTGCCAGATCTTCCAACTCTTCCAAAGAAGCCAGAAATCTTGGGTTTTACATGAAATTTCATTTTGAAAAAATAATGAATTCAAATCTTTTCAAACACAACTGTGAGGCCCTAGGACACCAGTTTCCAATCCTTCACAGAGCTCAGAAACCCAATCATGATTGAGTCCATCCCACTGCATTTTTTTGTGCTAAAAATTCACCCCAGAGAGGGGACAAGATTTGAAGAAGGTCACACGGCTTCTAGCCGAGCATGGTCTCCAACCCAGTACTCTGTTTCTTAACAGCAGACATTTCTTCAACTTCTACTGAGCACTTGGCTGGACCACACAAAGGGGAAAATGCTATTCCGTTCATGCCAGAATCTTTTTTTTTTTTTTTTTTTTAAAGCGACAGGGTCTCACTTTGTTGCCCAGGCTGGACTGCAGCAGTGCAATCATAGCTCACTGCACCTCCTGGGCTCAAGTGATCCTCCCCACCTCAACCTCCCAATTAGCTGGGACCACAGGCATGTGTCATGCTGCCTGGCTAATTTTATTTTTTTGTAGAGACAGGGTCTCATTCTGTTGCCCAGGCTGCTCTTGAACTCCTGGCCTCAAGCAGTCCTCCCACAGCCTTCCAAAGTGCTGGGATTACAGACATGAGCCAGCACCTTTAAGACATGGACAGAATAATGAACAAATATTTGTGGGTAGAAATTTTTTAAGGCTTATCTGCAATGGTACATGAAGGGTCTATCCTAGCACGAAGAATGTACTTCTTCTGTCTCAGTACGGCATTCATCTTGGTGGCAGGGCGGGGCGGGGGATGCATGATGCATGATCCTGCCTGAGTCTATGGTGAGCTCTGAATCTCTATCTTATTACTAGACAGCATCTTTTCTCTTGCCACTACCCTTCCCCCACCTTCCCACTCCCACCCCTGCCTCACCACCTTGACCAAAAGGATCCTGGCTTTATCACTGTGGCAGAGAAGTCTAAAAATATCTAGACGCACCAACTTCAGGGGTTTATTCTCTCATCTGGGAGGCACCCACAAAGCTTTTGCCAATATAAATGGCATTTCCTTTGGTATTTTTAAAGATCAGAGAATCCACGGGAATATACAAGTTGGACGGGGCCTTTGAGATCACAGCTTCCAAATGCCTCCTGTTTCAGGTTTAAAAAAAAAAGTTTTTTAAGGAGGCTCGAAAGGTTAGGTTTCCAGATAGCTCACAAAGGAAGAAACCAACGTAGTTAAAATCCTATGGAAAAATTAATTCAACCTCTCTCGTAATAAAATTTAAATTAAGGCACTCATGAGATAGAGCTTGTAGCCAGCATATTAAGCAAAATTTTTCAACTAAGAGCTTCTAGTAGAAGATAGCGACGGGAGGGTGGGTTTCCCTGGCGGAAACATTTACAAACTTCTCACTCAGAAGCCATGAAATCCCCCTATTTCCCCAGGCTCCCTTGCTGTGTGACTAGTCCTGGCCACCAGGCTCTGAAAAGCTGGCGTGTGGCCTTCCTGGTTCTTACCCCGCTTCCCTGAGGATCTGAGGAGGTGTTGAGATGTTAGTGTGTCCAGCATCCTGGGTCCCTAGGAGATCAAGTTTGCTTCAGCCCGGGGCCCTCTGCACCTCCTGCTCCCCCTGAAATGTTCTTTCCTCTTATTCTCACAGGGCTGGTTCCTCATCTGCACTCAGGTCTCAGTTCAAATGTAAGCTCTTCATCAAGGAACCAGAAAGATCCTAACCCATCCACCTACCCAACCTTCTCTCCCCTGGCCACGCCCCATTCTGACATCTTGTTTAATTGTCTCCCTAGCAGCGGTCTCATTTTGAAATGATCATACCTTTGCCTCAGTTTACCCGTCTGTGAAACGGGCAGTCAGACTCAACTTGAAGGCCCATCCCCTCTGTGACATGACTCCCGAGACCCCGATGGGTATGGACACCCTGTCTCACCACCTCCACTGCCCCTCCTGTGCCCTGGGCCAGCCCAGCATCCCTCTTGGAAATAGAACCCACTTTTCCTTCCAGAGACCACCACTACCCCATTCTCAGCACTTGAGTATGGGGGACAGTCCAGCTGCTCCCAGCTACAGGGCTAGTATCCTCAGAGTCTACTGTGATTGGTTAAGGGATGGGCACATGACTCAAGCTGGGCCAATCAGAGCTAGACCTGGGAATTTGCAGAAACATCTGTTGAAGAGGCGGTCCCTTTCCACTGGGAGTTGCTAAACTGGAGAAAGTGGAAACTGGAGCTGCCGGGAGCACCTCTGCCAGTACAGACCCCCTCAGAAGGAAACCCAGGAGAGCCGAGCAGAGAGAGAATGGCTGACTCTTAAGAGCATTGTGGGAGCGCCTGGATCCAGCTGTGCCTGACTGTGATATGTCCCTGATACTTGAATTATGGAGCCAGTAAACTCCTCCTTCAGCTCAAGTCTGTTTGAAATGAGTTTTCTTTCTTTTGCAGCCAAAATAGGCTTTTGCCTTCCTTGACTGTCCCTGCAAGGATGTCTGTCCCAGCCCTGGAATGTTTGCTCATTTCTTAGTCTCCCTCTGGGGATATGAGCTCCCTCATAGGCAGGGCTCCCAGCATCTCTGCTCCTCATCTGCCCTGTGCAGCCCTGGCCAAGTGACCAGAGGAGAGAGAAAGCTCTGCAGCTCTGGGGTTTTAATTGGGGAGCTGCTCTGTCCATTCCAGAAAGCTTCAGACTGTGTGATCTGAGCAATTAACCTTTCTGCAGAGGCCAAGGCCAATTATATCCCAGGGGCCATCTGTGACATCTGTGTAACAGAACAAATGTCTCAGCCTGGCTGTCTTGGTTTTGTAGGACAAATGTAGCATAATCAATCTCTTCTATCCCCTCTGCTGTTGCCCCAGTCTAGGCCTGTGTCCTTTCTTGTGGTTGCAACAGCCTCTGCCTCCTTCCTACTTTCCCATTGGCCCACTCTTGCCCATGCTCCACAAACTTGTCCCCTGTGACCTTGGCAATTGCATCTGCAGCTTCCCCACGCCCCACCCTCCAACTCCCCTAAACTACCTACCTGGTAGATTGCAAGCATGGTCCCAAATTATTCACCCTTCCTGTGTCTGTACCCTTTTAAAATACTCTCCCACTTCTGACTTTGAGCTCAGCCATGGGACTTGCTTTGGCCAATGGGATGTTAGCGGATGAGACACAAGCACATTGCACAACCAGTGCAATCCCTCTTGCTTGCACCTGTTGTCACCCAGGCTAGCCTGCTGGAGGATGAAGGACCCACTGGGCAGAACCTAATCATCCCAGCTGAGGCTGGCCTAGGTCAGCCAAACAGTCTGTCTGTGCCTAGACATAAAGCAAGCTAGCCACAATCAGCAAAACCATCGAGCTGATCACCCCACATGTTGAAGCAGTAAACGCTTATACTTGCAGACCTCTGAAGGTTGTGATCAGTATGCAGCATTGTCATGGCAATAGAGAACTGATGCATGTTACATTTCCCCCAAGTCTCTAGAGCCTTGGCAAGTACTCTTCCATCTGCCCGTCCTGTCTACACTTTGGTCTGTTTCCTAGTCCAGTTTGCGCTGCTATAACAGAATACCAGAGACTGGGTAATTTTTAAAAAACAGAAATTTACTTCTCACAGTTCTGGAGGCTGGGAAATCCAAGAACAAGGTGGCTTTTCTGGTGTGGGCCTTCTTCCTGCGTCCTTGCATGGCAGGAAGGGCAAGAGAGAGCTAATACACTCCTGCAAGCCCTTTTTATAGCAGCATTAATCCATTCATGAGGATGGAGCCCTCCTGACCTAAACACTTCCCAAAGGCCAAAACTCTAACACCGTTGCATTGGGATTAAGTTTCCAACACATGAATTTTTGGAGAGGACAAAAACATTCAAACCACAGTGTTTTGCTTGGCCAACTCCTACACATCCTGCAAGATTCAGCTCAGTATCTCATCCCACTGAGGGCTTCAGTAACCTCCTCTTCCCACCCCACCCCAAAGGCTGATAGCTCACTTCTCTATGCCCTTACAGCCCCTCTGCATTAAAACAGGCTGGAGTCAGAGAGTGTAGCTCAAGCCCTGGTGCCTACACTTACCAGCCGTAGGGACCTGGGGCCCATCATTTAACATTTCTAAACCTGAGTTTCCCCACCTGAAAATGGGGATGACAATAACATCACCCATCTAGTAGATATCCCATGGGAGGGGCTTCATGTAGTGTCTGGCACACAGCAAGAGTTCTCTCTAGTTAGCTGCTATCCTGTCGCTATGGTGCTTACCTCATTGTCATGCCATTATTTTTCTGCCTTGTGAGACTTTGGGCCCCAGAAGTCAGGACCCACACCTCATTCACTATCTGCCTTTGGACTAGGCCAGAGGGAACAATTATTTTTTCTTTTCTCTCTTTCTTTCTTTTTCTTTCTTTCTTTCTTTTTTCTTTCTTTCTTTCTTCTTTTTCTTTTTTTTTTTTTTTTTGACAGGGTTTCACTCTGTCACCCAAGCTGAACTGCAGCGGTGTAGTGGTGTGATTATGGCTCACTGCAGCCTTGAACTCTTAGGCTCAAGCAAGGGTCCCACCTCAGCCTCTCAAAGTGTTGGGATTACAGGCGTGAGCCACCACTGACCTGGCCCCAGAGAGGACAATGTTGATGAAAGGAGGGAGAAGGCGAAGGAACTAACCAAACACCTGCATGACTCTGCACTGCACCCAGCTTTTTTTTTTTTTTTTTTTTTTTTGAGACAAGGTCTTGCTCTGTTGCCCATGCTGGAACACAATGGTGTGATCATATCTCACAGCAGTCCCGACCTCCAGGGCTCATGTGATCCTCCCACCTCAGCCTCCCAAGTAGCTGGAACTACATGCGTGAGCCACCATGCCCAGCCTGCACCTAGATCTTTATAAGCTGTCACTTCTGATTCTCTAAAGAGAAGTTTCACAGTCCCATTTCATTGTTAAGAACATCAAGGTTCGGGGAAGCAATGTAACTTGCCCATGAGCACACAGTAATTAAATGATGTGCATCTTTTCTTTCTTTTTTTTTTTTTTTTTTTGTTTAGACAGAGTCTTGCTCTGTCACCCAGGCTGGAGTGTAGTGGCATGATCTCAGCTCACTGCAACCTCCACCTCCCAGGTCCAAGAGATTCTCCTGCCTCAGCCTCCTGAGTAGCTGGGATTACAGGCACATGCCACCATGCCTGGCTACTTTTTTTTTTTTTTTTAGTAGACACGGGTTTTCACCATGTTGGCCAGGCTGTGCTCAAACTCATGACCTCAGACAATCTGCCCCCCTTGGCCTCCCAAAGTGCAGGATTACAGGCATGAGCCACTACACCCAGCTGATGTGCATCTTTTCATGCCCCTCCTGGTCTGGTCCATATTTGGGACAAGGACAAATGTAGTATTCAAGAGAAATACTATAACTAATAAGAAAGAGTATTTATAAAGTACTTACTATACTACTCATGCTGTTTGAATCACAACTGATTTAATCATCACAAAAACCTCTGTGAGGTAGGTAATGTGATTATCCCCATTTTATAGTCAAGAAACTGAGGCATGAAAGGTCCATTGACTTGCTTAAGGTCACACAACTAGAAAATGGCAAGACCAAGGTTTGAACCAGGCCACTTGAGGCCATGGAGCTTTCTAGTTCATCAGTCTTATTGCCATGGATGATGAACTGCATGGTTCATGACCCTCAGTCTTCCCATCACAGACACCCAAACACACACAGGTACAAAAGCCCCTGGTCAGGATGACTGACACATGCAGGAACCTGCCTCAGTCTACCCAAGAACTCCAGGTCTAGGCTGGGTGTGGTGGCTCTCACCTGTAACGCCAGCACTTTGGGAGGCCAAGGCAGCAGGATTGCTTGAGCCCAGGAGTCCAAGACCAGCCTGGGCAGCATAGTGAAAGCCCATATCTACAAAAATACCAAAACTTGCCAGGCGTGGTGGCATGCACTTGTGCCATGTACAACTCGGGAGGCTGAGGCAGGAGGATTGCTTGAGCTCAGGAAGTTGAAGCTGCAGTGAGCCATGATTGCATCACTGCACTCCAGCCTGGGTGACAGAGCAAGAACCTGTCTAAAAAACAACAACAACAACAACAAAAATACAAAAAATTCCAGTTCCCTGCCCTGAGCCCCAGTCAAGGGCTGGGGACCTGGCACTCCCTGTAGTTCCTGCCCACTTCCTCCCTAGCAGCTGCCGGATCCTGCTGCCCCCACCCAGCCTGACTGGACTTCCTTGGAGTTTCTTGGCAGCCACAACCAAGCCCACTGTTTGTGTAGCCCAGTACAATCTGGCCTCCTTTCTTCTCTAGCCTCATCACCTCTCTCTCGCTCTCTCTCTCTCTCTCTCTCTCTCTCTCCTCTCTCTCTTTTGAGACAGGGTCTCACTCTGTCACCCAGGCTGGAGTGCAGTGGCACATTCTCCATTCACTGCAACCTCCGCCTCCCAGGTTCAAGCTATTCTCATGCCTCAGCCTCCCAAATAGCTGGGATTACAGGCGCCCGCCACCACACCCTGCTGATGTTTTGTATTTTTAGTAGAGATGGTGTTTGGCCATGTTGGCCAGGCTGGTCTCCAACTCCTGACCTCAGGTGACCCTTCCACCTTGGCCTCCCATCCCTTTCTCTCTTTACTCCAGGCATCTCCTTGCTGCTTGGCTGCTGTTTGAATATCCTGGGTATTTTCTGCCTCAGGGCCTGTGCACCTGCTGTTCTGCTGTTTGGAACCTCCCCACTCCCTCCCCCAACCACATGGCATCCTCATGGTTTTGTCCTCCACTCCTTTGATCTTTGCTCAAATGTCACCTTCTTGAGAAGGCCCCCTCTGGCTCCCCCAACTGTAATGTAAACGCTCTCTCACTCCCTGCCCTTCTTCACAGCCTCAGCCCCGCTTTACTTTTCTCCACACTTATTGCCATCTAATAATACCATGTGACTGACAACTTACTTTTTTGAAAGTTTGTTTCTCTCTTTGAGAGTGGAAGCTCCATGGAGGCAGGGGTTTTTGTCTCCTATATGCCACTGGGCCCCAGTGTCTTGAACTGCGCCTGACACATAGCAGGCATTCCTTAACATTTGTTGAATAAATGAATGATTTGTTGATCAGCTTTGGATTCAAGCTATAAGGACACTGACCACCTGCTTTGTGGTGGTCAGGCTGGGGCTTGGTGAGTTCCCGCAACCCTACAAGGGTCTGACTCCTACCACTGTCTCACCATCCATGTACCCAAGCTCCCAGCATGCCTCACAGCCAAGCCCACTTAAGGTCAGACAACTGGCATTAAGACCAAAGGTCTGGCTGGGCACAGTGGCTCATGCCTATAATCCTAGCACTTCAAGAGGCTGAGGCAGGAGGATCGCTTAAGCCCAGGAGTTTGAGACCAACCTGGGCAACATAGTGAGACCTGGTCTCTACTAAAAACATTCTTTTAATTAGCCAGGCATGGTGGTGTGCACCTGCAGTTCCAGCTACTGGGGAGGATGAGGTGGGAGGATCACTTGAGCCCAGGAGGTTGAGGCTGCAGTGATCCCTGATTGTACCACTGCACTCCAGCCTGAGCAACAGAGCAAGACCCTGTCTCAAAACCAAAACAAAACAAAAGACTAAAGGTCTGGTCTGGCTGTTATATCTTCAGATTTCATATATACTCACAACAACAACATCAAGGTTAAAAATGATTAGTATGAAGATAGCAAACGCTGGTGAGAATGTGGGAGTGGCTCCACAGATTGACGCAGCCACTTCAGAGACCAATTTGTCCTTACCTAGTGTAGTTGAAGATGTTTGTGTCCTACGACCCAGCAATCACAGTCCAATTTATAAAAGTTAAAGACATTCTTGCACCATAATACAGGTTCAACAATGTTCATAATGGCACAGTTTGAAATGGGAAAAAAAACTGGAAACAACTAAATGGTTATCGACAGTAGAATGGATAAATAAATTGTGGTGTATTCACAGCATAGAATGCTTGCTAGGAAGCTGTGAACAGAAATGGATAATGGCTACAAACATCAACATGGCAGAATCTTTATTTTTATTTATTTGTGTGTGTGTGTTTTTTTTTAATGGAGACAGGGTCTCACCATGTTGCCCAGGCTGCTCTGAAACTCCTGGGCTCAAGTGATCCTCCTGCCTCAGCCTCCCAAAGTGCTGGGATTACAGGTGTAAGCCACCACGCCTGGCCAATGTGGAGGAATCTTAAGAACATAATGTAAACAAGTTAACTCTGTGTACCCATGTACCATGTTAACATGATAACACATGTACCATGATCCAATTTATCTAAAGTTCAAAGATAAGCAAAAAGATACAGTGTATTTAATGATACTAACTTGTCGCGAAACTGAACAAATGCAAGGGAATGTTCTATCTAGAAGTCAAGAAAGAGGTTGCCTTTGAGGGAGGGGCTGGGATCTCAGGGCAAGGGACCTAGGAATCCAAAGCTAATGGTAATGACGTTTTGCTTAAATTGGTGATTCGCTGCATTCTTATTAATGGTATTTTGAACTTATTTTCATAAATATTCATTTGTATTTACTCCAATATTTCATAAAGTCAGTTTATTAAAAGGAAAATAATGATTTGGGAGATGAGAGCAGGGGTTGTCAAACTACAGCCTATGGGCCAAATTTGCCATGCCTCCTGTTTTTGTAAATAAGATTTTATTGGAATACAGACAAATAAAGTTTTATTGGACCACAATCAAGTTCATTCATTTATGTATCATCTATGGCTGCTTTCATATAACAATGGCAGAGGTGAGTAACCACAATAGAGACTGTGTGGTTCCCAAAGCCAGTATTTACTATCCAGATATTTACTTTCTGGTCCTTTTAAAGAAAAGTCTGCTGCCCCAGGGCTACAGCAATGACCTACACTCACAGACTAAATTTAATTATTTTAAAATTTTTTTCTACGTATTTTCTAATTTAAAAGTAACACATGCTTATCGGAAAGAATTTGAAAAATATAGAAATATGAGAAAATAGTTTCCCATATAAGGTCACCACCAGCAATAACTGGTAAAATTTGAGCCTATTTCCTTCCAGTTTTTTTTTTTTTTAACGCATATGTAAGTTTCCTCCGTCTATAACCAGGAGCTTGCAGATCATGCAGTTTTGCACCCTGTTACTTTCACTTAATATAATCTCAGGAGCATTTTTCTGTGTGGCTTAATAGCATTCCATTTTTTGCTATTATAAGTAATGATGCAATTAGTATCCTTGTACACATGTCTTCGTTGACAATATGAAATATTATATAGTCATCCAAAATGAATTCTTCAAGGAATCTCTAATGATACAAGGACTGTCATGGCTACATTATTTATACCAGCAAAAAGACTGGAAACAATATGAATGGTTTGGCAGTAGAATTGTTATATGAACTTAGTACAACATTAAGTGGAGTACCAAGTTCATATATTGTGGATGGAATATTATTCTGTAGCTTCCAAATGTAATGATTATGAAGAATGGAAAAATGGTTCTCTCTCCGAGCCTCAGTTTCCTGATATGCAAAGTGAGGATACAGCCTCCCAGAGCTGTTTTAGAAGCGTTTTCTCTTTCTTTTCCTTTTTCTTTTCTTTTCTATTTTTTTTTTTTTGACAAGATCTCACTCTGTTGCCCAGGCTGGAGTGCAGTGGCAGAATCATGGCTCACTGCAGCCTCGACCTCCCAGGCTCTAGTGATTCTCCCACCTCAACCTCCCGAGTAGCTGGGACCCCAGGCACTCACCACCATGCCTGGATAATTTAGGAGGAATTTTGAAAGCATTTAGCACAAATGAGCCTAGCATGTAAGTTGCATTCCCGATGCTAGAGCTATTATTTTTAGTAATAATAACATATAAATCATGGGAAAAGGATACAACCAGGCTGATAGGTCAATCCTGCATCCTACCAGATGCTAAATATCTTGCAGATTGCCCCTGGCTACACCCACACCTAAGTAAAAATAACAAGTGTCTGGAAGGGACCATAGACAAGTGGCAGGTGACATTCTTCTGCCTAAACTTCGGAGCCCTGTGATTACTGCTCCCATGTCATTTGTGTGATCACTGAACGGCTGTGATTCCAAATGGGTTTTGATGAGAATCTACCTGCAACCAAGAAAGGAACAAATGGCTCTTAACCGTAGATATCACTAAGCCGCTACCAAGCAGGTATTGATCAGAGCTGAGGCAAAACCCAGGCTGATGGATGGGGCAACTCTGAGAGGGGATGAGGGAGCAGAGGTGTCTCTTCCCCCAGAGGATGTACACACACACACACACACACACACACACACACACACACACACACCCTGTTGGTTTTGAAAACTCACTGGAAAATAGGGAGGGAGGGGCAGGGTGGGGGCAGAAGAGCCAAGGGAGTCTGTGATTTAGGGGAATTTGCCAGACTTTCATTTTGGTTACAAAAGAAATATTTGAAAGCAAAGAAATCCATGAACAGCAGAAGGCTTTGTGGAGCCATAAATAAAGATCAGACACACAGGGCAGGGCGCTGAGCAAGCAAAGCCACAGGCAAGAGAGTCAGCCTGGCTGCCTAGGCTCACAGGTCCACAGTTCTCAGTCGTTCATTCACTCACTCAAGCCACAAGTATTTACTGAGCACCTACTATGTGCTGGGTGCTGTTCAAGGTGCTGGGGACATAGCTACGAATGAAACCAATGAGTCTGCTGTCTTGAGGAGATTGAAAATAAACAAGTTTTCAAAAGTCAATAGGATTGGGGAAACTGAGAGGGGAGGATCGCTTGAGCCCAGGAGTTTGAGGCTGCAGTGAGCTATGACTATGCCTTTGAATAGCCACTGCACTCCAACCTGGGCAACACAGTGGGACCATGTCTCTAAAAAATAATAATAATAAATACAATAGGATCATGTCAGGTAGCGGCAGCCACAGCAGAGAGGTTAAAGGAACAGACAGACAACCTGGGTTTAAATTCTGGTTCTGCCACTTACCGGGTGGGGCCCTCGGGCAAATCATTTAACTTTTTTTGCAGTGAATATTCCTGGTGCCTACCCAGGTCCCCTTTGCAGTGATACATCACTCCCTGGCTGCCATGACGGGCCACTAAAGGAGCACACTCTCCCCTTCTGCAGAAACATGCCCTTGGTTGAATTGCAGCCAGCTCACCTGGAAGGTTATGGTGATTCCCTCTAACCCCTGAGACACCCAATGAGGAAAAAAGGCGTGCTTCCTGTGGCTGAAGGTGGAACCAACTCTGCAGTATAATTCACACTCCAGAGCTTCCCAGGGGGTCAGTCTCTGGGGAGACCACACCCCTTCCATGCCATTTCCCTTACTCTGCCCTCTGTGTCTAATTTATCTTCCTCTGCCCTCTCTTAAACATGTTTTTCTTTCTAAATTTTATGTATTTATATTTTTTTTTTAGAGACAGAGTCTTGCTGTGTTGCCCAGGCTGGAGTACAGTGGTGCAATCACAGCTCAGTGCAGACTCAAACTCCTGGGCTCAAGCAATCCTCCCACCTCAGCCTCCCAAGTAGTTGGGTTGCAAACCACCATGCCAGCTAATATTTTTAATCCTTTTTTTTTTTTTTTTTGTAGAGATGAGTTCTCATTCTGTTGCTTAGGCTGATCTCAGACTCCTGGCCTCAAATAATCCTCCCATCTCAGCCTCCCAAAGTGCTGGGACGGCAGGCATGAACTACTGTGCCATGCTCTCTCCCTTTTACCTGAAAGTATCTCTCCAAAAATTCATGGGCACCAGAATTCCCATCTCAGGCTCTGTTCCCAGGGAAGCCAGCTTATGACACTCATTCTTTGTGTGTAAAATGGGGGCACCTCCCTCATGGGGTTGTTAAAAACTAAAAGAGTTAATATACTCCTGTATTTGCTTAGGACACGATGTGATACATCATAAGTGCTATATAAGCATTGATCATCATTAATGGAAAAAATAAAATTAAAATCACTCAATGCAAAAAAAAAAATGTCTAGAGTGGGGCTATATCAGTTAAGAGTGTCCAGGCAAGATGTCTATGAGGAGGTGACATTTGAGCTAAATCCTGGTAGGAAGGAGGAAGCTAAATAAAGAGTTGGGTGAAGATAAATCCACACACAGCAAGTGCAAAGGCCTGAGGTGGGAGCAAGCTTGCTTCGTGCTTTTTTTCTGTAATCCAGAGGCCAGTGAGGTGGGAATTCTGGTCAGAGGATTTTAAAGAAGCCGGTGGCCCAATATAATTTGCGTTTGCAGTAGATCACTCTAGCTGCTGGGTTGAGAATGGATCTGTTGGCTTCACAAGTATTTCCTGATGGCCTGTTTTGTGCAAGGTGATGTAACAGGTATTCGGGAGGATTTGAAGATGAACCTCATGCAGTCCTGACCTTAAAGTGCTCAAATGTAGAAGAGGCAGTGAGCTGGGCGTGAGGACTCTACAATCAAGAAAGTGCTGTGTGCTGAGAGAGAGGGGCGGGGGGAGAAGCTGGCATAGCTCCAAGGATGTAGGGGGAATGAGCAGGACCCTAAACAATGACAGGAATGTAGCTGTGGAGAAAGAAAGGGTGTTCCAGGTAGAGAGGAACAGAATAAGCAAAAGAGGAGACTTTGTTGAGGGCAGTTAAGAAACCCAATCAACCCAGAGCATAGGAGGCCTTCCTCTGAAGCCAGAGACAGCAACTGGGGCCAGATGGCAGAAAACCTAGGGTGCCAGGTGAGAATCCAGCCATTCCTCCCAAGGCAGTGGGGAAGTATTCCCAGAGTTTTAAAGAGATGAGAATTAAACCATCTTTTCTTTAGCCTGCTGAATCTAAAATTTATATCAGACTTCTCTTAGTTGCAAGGGATAGAAATACAACCACGACAGGCATAAACAGAAGAATAATTCATCAGCTAAAAAGCAGATCTGGCTTCGGGCACAGCTAGACGGAGGACTCGGTCCTTTTCTAACTTTTGGCTCCATCTTCCATGCTGTGGCTTGGGTCTCAGACTCCATGCCATGGTAAGAAAGTGGCCGGAAGCCAAGCCAGCTCTTGGGACCAAAAAAAAAATCCCTGATTTTTAGCAAATCCTTCTACTGTGGCAGATTTTGAATGCCAAGTTGAGAAGAAATGTGTGAAATCAGCTTTCAGGGCCACAGGAAACAGCCCCAACACACCTAGACCCACATCCAACCACCTTCAAATCCACTGGGCACAGCTCTCTTCCCCTGAGGTTGCAGCAGACATTTCATTGTATTGCATAACCTCTGATTTGGTCATGAATCCATCAACCCATCCACAGGGGAATGTGATGCTTTGACTGCCGTAGGCCTGGGTCTCCTGCTTCAACCTCAGTCACAAACTACATGGCCTGAGCATAGAAAGAGCTTGACACCCAGCAGAAAAAAACAACAACCAGAGTATGGTTACCAGAAAAAGGGATGCTGGCTATGGGGCAAACACAACAGATTGTTTTCCTATTAAGATGGTTTGAGGGCCTGGCGTGGTGGCTCATGCTTATAATCCCAGCACTTTAGGATGCCGAGGCAGGTGGATCATTTGAGGTCAGGAGCTCAAGACTAGCCTGGCCAACGTGGCAAAACCCTGTCTATACTAAAAATACAAAAAATTAGTCAGGCATGGTGGCGGGCGCCTGTGGTCCCAACTACTCAGGAGGCCAAGGCAGGAGAATCACTTGAACCTGGGAGGCGGAGGTCACAGTGAGCCAAGATCATGCCATTGCACTCCAGCCTGGGCGACAGAGCAAGACTCCATCTCAAAAAAAAGAAAAAAAAAAAGAAAGAAAAAGAAAAAAAAGAATAAAGAAGATGGTTTGAGGAGGCTGCGAAGATCCAACAAGAAAATGGGCAGGAAGAATCTTTGTAAAATGGGAAGCCCTGCAAAGGCTTGCTGAACATTTTTATCCTTGGTCTGGTGCTCTAAGTTTCTGATACATCTGATGTAAAGTACCATGAAATTCTATGGGAGACACCTCTGGGAGTGTGTAGTCTTAAGATGGATGATTCATCATTCCCGTTCCTTTACCCAGGGCAGACATTGCTAATCGATCATGGCACTCTCCCACGGAGCCTGGGAGACGCCTCACAATCCTTCTCCACACAGCTGTCCAGGCAGGCACTACCAATTGAGAATAGAAGGGATGAAGGATTAAAGCTTTCCATTCTCCTTAAACTTGTCTGATTCCATCATGAGCCACAGTAGAAACAGGCCCAGAGATGAGTGCAACTTGCGCATATCACAAAGGCAGAGCCTAGGGATGCCCAGAGTCTTTCAATTCTCATTCAAACCTGTTCGTATCCAAGATGACTCAATAAGGAGGAAGGAGTCAGTACAAAGAAGGTTCCAGGGCATGGGGATGCCCAAAGTGGCAATGACTTCCCACTGCTGTTAGAAAAATCTCCCAATTCCCTATCATGGCCATCATGGCTGCCCATGATCTGGTCCCTACCTTCCTCTCTGACTCCATCTCCTACCATTCTCCCCTTACCTTCCATGCCCCAACCATTCTCTCTTTCTGTTCCTCAAAACATGCCAAGCTCGGTCTCACCTCAGAGCCTTTGCAGGATCTCCCTACGGGGATGACAAAGACATTCACCAGAAGCTCCAGGCAAACACCCCTCTGACTTGGTCCACACCCAGGAGAAGGAGAGCTCCATTTTTTCAGCAAATGCAGCAGAACATCTAGCTTCCTAGAATCCAGTACTCATCATGGCAGCCAAGAAGATGGAAAACTCCAATTGGCCAAGCCTGGACCGTGTGCCCAGCCTTGGAGATAGAGCCAGCCTCACCCTGACCACACAGGCTGAGAGTGATGGAGACATGGGTGCCCAATGGAGAAATTACATTACAGGAGGGGGAGTCGGCTCAACATTACACCCTAGTTGATAATATGGAGTCCATATCATTGGATTTTCACCTGAAAGGAGGAAAATAAGAGACAGAGTATTTAGAAAAACCCATATCTTTCAATGCTTATTTATCATCCTGGGAGTAAGGGCCAAAAGTGCAGCAGTAAGTGATTTATCCCATCCCTCTTGATGAGGATCTATCCCATCCCATGCCAAATGGCATGTTCCGAAGGGGGCTGAATTGAAAAAAGATTATGGAATCTTGACTCGGGGGAAGGGGCCTTGTGGCTCGGTCAGAATGTCCTCCTTTGAGGCATACCTTCCATGAACCCATTGTACATTAAGAGGACCAAAATTTAAAATCTTCAATTGTCATATTTTAAAGTATTCCCAAGCTCTGAATAACCAGAACTCACATCCAGGCTCCTAAAACATTTGGACTTTGTTGTGCACGATCAATTAACAATGTCTGGTGTGGGCGAAGGTGGTGAGGAATCATGGTGTGCCTACTGTATCTTTGCTGACCCTAGTCTGTGGGCTTTTTTGGACTGTAGCATGGCTGCCTGAGGCCAAAAAGATCCCCACTTGGACCTGAGTTGTCCGCACACCAGGCTGACTTAATTAAAGTGAGCAGGATTACTAAGTCATTATTTAACGATGGAGAGTTTCCAGGAGTCGTTGGGAGGCAGACGCCACCTCCAGGGAAACTGCAGTGCCTTCTGTCCTCCACCATGGCTGCACAGCCCTCTCTCTTTTATCATCTTCCCTGCTGCAAGTGTTTTCCCCGTTTGCTATCTGATCTTGCAAAATAGGAGTGAGACATGTTTTGCTCAGGAAAATGCAGAGCAGCCTGAGGAGCGTGGGCCGGTCACTTGCTATAGCAGCCATCCCGGGAAGTCACTGTTCATCACGGCATGCTCCTGTCACCCTCCCAGCCGGCAGCCTGCAGGAGTCCTGTGATGGGCTGAAAGGCCCTCAGGGAACCTGTAATTAAATCCCAGAAGATTGCCACTTCTCCTGCTGGTGAGGGGAGGAAACAGCAAGGCACAGCAGGCGTGTCCAGACAGGGCTGAGCAGAGGCAACCAGGCAGGGACAGGCTTCACGGCTGCAGTGGCCAAGAGCAGAGAATGCAGGGAGCTGGGAATATGTTTAGTCGTGGGGAATAAGGGGCCAGATGGAAGCAGGTGATTTCTAGCTAGACCTAGGCTGAGAAGGGCTGGAAACTTTTATGTTCTATCAGACGGAATGAAATTAGCCGAGGTCCCTACCCATTCTAAAATTCTATTACCCATCAATCCACCTGGTGAACAAACATTTGCTGTGACCAGAGCCACTTTTCAAAGCAAAAATCCAGTTATATCACTCCCCTGCTCCCCACTCAGGCCTGATGGTCAGCTAATATGCACCTGCACAGCCATTCTGACGGTTCAAATATTAAAATATTTTCCTACCAGCTCATACCAGTAAGTAGCTGCTGTCTTCAGCACCTTCTCCAAGTATTTCACCTGTTCTTTCCCCACCGCACCCCCAGTCCTCCATCCAACACACACACTGCTCCCATGCCCTCCAAAACCCTGGAGTTTCCCTGCCAAGACTTGGTCCAGCACCACGGCCAGTGTCTGTTCTGATGGTTGGTGCCGGTGTGTTGTTAAAGATTTTGAATGTCATTCTTACTACTATTTAAACTCCATAGCCTTATATCTGCCATATTCCTTTTAAACATCAACCCTGTTAACTTTTACAGCCTCATCTCTCACAACACAATCACCACAAACCCCAGGTACATGAATTTCCCACCATTCCCCAAAAGAGACATGCAAGGCACATTCATGTGCCTGGATTTCCCTCTCCCTCATTTTCCCTCCAAAACTCCTACTCATCCCTCACAAGCTTTCTCAATTGTGCCCCAGTTCTTATAACCTGGCTTCCTGCTCAGTTAGGGGAACTGGCTTGATAGCTTGGATATGCCCTGTATATAACCAGATCTTTGTGTTGGTTTCTTTTCCAGGCTCTTGTTTTAGTGACCTGTCTTATGCGGCAGCCCCTTCTCAAGTTGAGGACCCTGCCTTGATCGTACCTGTGACCCACTATTGTTGGCAGCTGCAAGAGACAGGGAAAGAGACTGGGGCATCAGAATGTCACTATTTCTAATAACCTAAGCCAACCCTCAAAAGACCATCAAGTAAGGGTTGCTTTTTCTTTTTCTTTTCTCTCTCTCTGTTTTTATTGTTGTTGTTGTTGTTTGTTGTCTTTTTTTTTTTTTTTGGCTTCCTGAGTCCATTATGTCCTTCAGTGCTGGTGATCAGAACATAATAAACAAATTAATCAACATTTCATTTATTTACCCTTGTTCTGACCATGCACATGTGCCTCTCCTTATCCATCACCCATCCTTCACACCCCCAAAATGACTTATTTCTCTCTCCTCTACACTACCCTCATTCCTCCATCTCTCTTGTGGCCTCAAGAACGTCAAAACTGCAGTTTTTCTCTCTTTATCATTCCCATGTTTCCAGGTCTCTTGATGCCCAAGATATTTGTCTAATTCTATTGATCCAATATGTTCTATTTCTCTCAACAAAACATAACTACAAAATATTCCCCAGCATGGATGACCATATAATTATGCCTTTTCCTTCACATATCTATAACCAAATACATTTTATATACTTTCTATTTAACCTAGTAAGTTTCCCTACTCAATGATAATAGATCACCCCCGACCCGATCGATAGTACCGATCACCTCTGTGGGAAGATGAGACTCTGATGTGGATGCTGACCTGAATTCCTAGTCCCTGTGCCCCCTCCTCATCTCGTCCCTCTTTGTTCACTCTACACTATTCTTTCTCCCATGACCCAAGCTTTCAGCACTGCCCTTTGGACAGCTCTCCAATACATTTGCCCCAGGGTTAGAATCCAGTGATGGATGACAGCCAATCCTACACAGCAGCCTTCTTTCCAAACACAGACAGGTAGAGCCATCCCATGGAGATGCCCATAAGCCTCCTCATCACTCCTAACTCCACACCTGCTCTAACATATTTTTGTAGAGATGGGGTCTCCCTCTGTTGCCCGGGCTGTGGTGCAGTGGTGCAATCATAGCTCACTGCAGCCTCACACGACCCCCTGGGCTTAAACAATCCTCCTGCCTCTGCCTCCTGAGAACATAGGACCACAGGCACCCGCCACCATGCCCGGCTAATGTTCTTATTTTTTGTAGAGAAGGAGTTTCACTATATTGCCCAGGCTGGTCTGAAACTCCTGGCCTCAAGCAATCCTCCTGCCTTGACCTCCCAAAGTGTTGGGATTACAGGCGTAAGCCACCATGCCTGGCTTTTCCTTTAAACATACTATTTGCATGAACTGATTTGACAAATTGAACTGGTATTCATGGGCTGCAAAAAAACCTGGTACTGGGAGATGTACCAGACACAACCACCAAGCTTGGCTCTGCTGCTCCCGGCCAGGATCAGGTCTCTGTGTGGCACTCAGCACACCACAGCCATCTGGGCAGCCATGGCCAAGTGGCTGTTCTGCCCCTGTACCCCGAGAAGGCTCCTGCTCCCCAGGAGGATCATCCTCACTCCCACAGCCCAAACACCTTTTGTCAAAGTCCTGTCCCTGGGGCACCCACATGCTAAGAGCAAAGGGAGAGGAGACCTCACCAGAAATCCTCACCAGTGCATGCATGTGGCAGAAAGTGCCAAAAACGCCAGGCAAAGTGGTTCACACCTATAATCCCAGCACTTTGGGAGACTGAGGCAGGCAGATCGTTTGAGACCAGGAGTTTGAGACCAGCCTGGCCAACATGGCGAAACCCCGTCTCTACAAATACAAAAATTAGCCAGGCATGGTGGCGGGTGCCTGTGGTCCCAGCTACTTGGGAGGCTGAGGCAGGAGAATCACTTGAACCCAGGAGGTGGAGGTTGCAAGATTGAGCCACTGCACTCCAGCCTGGGCAACAGAGCAGGACTCTGTCAAGAAAAAAAAAAAAAGGAAGAAAGAAAGAAAGAAAGAAAGAGAGAGAGAGAAAGAAAGACAGAGAGAGAGAGAGAACGTGCCAGAAAAACCAATTACAAATAGTGTTGTGGGAGCCATTTCTTCAGGTACCCTCTGAGAGAGTGAACCCTTGTAATTAAAAGAACAAACTCTGGACCCTGTGCTCAAATCTTGGCTCTACCACACACTTGCTCTGTGACTTTGGGGAAGTTACCTAACCTCTCTGGGCCTCAGTCTCCTCAAAGTAAAATAGGAGTAACAATAGTGTTAACTCAGGATTTGTGAGGATTACTTCAGTTTCATATTTAAGTGCTTGATATTTATAAATGTAATATTTATATTTATAAAGCATTTACATCAGTAAGAGAAAAATTATACACACATAAATGCTTATAAAAATATATAATATATATGCACAAATATATATAATGTCTATATACACAAATATAGACATTATATACAGTATTATATATTTAGATATACTGTAATACCATTGATCGATATATTAAAGAGATATTTATGTACTATATAGAATATGTGTACTTCATATAATGTATATGCATACGTGTATGTATGTGTGTGTACACACATTACTAAAGGTTGCAAGAGAGAGAGAAATGAACAAATGTACTACCCTAACACAGCTATTATTTTCTAAAAAGTATTTTCTTTTGATCTTTTTAAAAATTTGCATACATTTTTACATCATGCAGGGCCTACAGTTTTGTGTGTTGAGTTTTTTTTGGCATAAATAATGTCATAAATGCTGTGTCATGTGGCCACAGAAACTTAGAGTTTCTTTTGTATGACTGTATAATATCCCAAAGAGCATGGAGACCTGAATTGACTTAGCTGTTGCCCTTGTATCTGCAGGAGTGCTTTAGGCTGCAAGTAACAGGAAGCCCTGACTCAACTCCCTTAAGCAATAAGGGATTTTCTTATCACACACAAAAGAAAACTTAGAAGGAAAATATCTCTGGAGTTGATTAATTTTGCAGCTCAACAATATCACCACAGAAAGGGCGTTTTCATATTTGTGCTTTGCCATCATGAGGATGATAGATGATGAGTTGTCCTTAATTTTGACCCTTACAGTCATAATATGACTGCAACTATCCCAGCTGAAGTGGAAGAAGAGGTCGACTCACATCTCTTAAGAGTAAGAGACCTTCCCCAGTCTCCCAGCAACACCGGATCACACGCCTACTTCTAAACCAATCACTGTCAAGGGAATGGGATAGCCATGTGGATTTAGACCAATCAGGATTCACTCCTGGACTGGGGATTTAGGAGCTCATTCCCCAAGAGTGGACAGGTAAACAGAACCAAATTCCTTCTGGAGGAAGGAGAGTAGGGTGGACAGATATTAGGGAGACAGCTCACAGTAATTGTCTTGTTCCCACTTCACACATTTCTCTTACATCCAACTTGGAGGACCAATTATTCCTGAGTAAAGGAATTAAAATTCTTAAAGGATATGACATTTGATCAGGGCTTTAAAGGATGTGTAAATGTCAACATAGGCAGGGCCAACATTTCAGGCTGAGGTTCCAGCATGCCTAGAGGCAGAGAGGCAGTAAGTTGTGGGGCATTTTCCAGGAAGAATGAGTGTCCCCGGAAGGCTGTGGTGTCAGGTGGTGGGAGGGAGGAGGGGTGGAAGGCGAGGCTAGGTTGAGGACAAATTGGGAGAAGTGTTTAAATGCTGACTGAGAAAGAGTCTTGACCCAGAATGTTGTGGTCATGGGAAGCCACTGAAGATTTCAGAGAAGAAAATAGACACAGAAAAGCTGAGCTTTCGGGGAGAGAAAAACCTGGCTATGGATAAAAGATGCATAGCAGGAGAGAGGTGGGTGCAGGGAGGCCAGTTAGGAACACGCCATGACCATCCGAGGGTGGGTCCCAACCATGCAATGTTCACGGGAAGGAGGTGAGAGATTCCACCGATGCAGGAAGGTGAGCTTCACGGAACCAGTAGGTGCCTTCACGTTAGGACAGGAACCGAGGGGCTGGGGGTGACAAGGTGAAAGATGGCATCATTAACCAAGCCCCCAAAGGAGAGAAAACAGAGGATCTACCAAGAATAGGGCAGTGCCTGGGGCGTGCACAGAGTCCTGGGTTTCCAGGCAAGGTGCCAGCACCTCACACAGTGACAGCAGACAGCAGCCCAGGAGATTGGAACAAAAATGCATTTATGCCAACATCAGAGGAAAAGGGGGAAAAAATTAGCTGAATGAAATGGCGAGTACATGGTAAAATTTGGGAAGCGTGCTCTGTGAAAGTTTTTGTTTGTTAATTGAGGCGGGGCTTCTAATTGGATTTCAGAAAAACAGTCTTCATGAATACAAGATAGGAAAAAGGAGTGACAAAGCCTTCTCCAGGGACAGACACGGGACAGCTGATGCAGGGCATGAGAAGTCATCACCGATGTGTTCCACAGCCACCTGACTGCAAGTCAATCTGGTCCCTGTCCTGGCTTTATAAAGTAAGGGAGGGATTATCCATTTATTAAGGACCTGCTATGTGCCAGGCACCAGGCTAGGAAGGCAGCCATGTTCAAAGTAGTCCTGGTCCCTGCCGTTGCAAAACTCATGGACAGTCTAGTGGGTGGAGGCGGCAGACAACTGAAAGATGGTTGATTGCAGGCACAGTGGCTCATGCCTGAAGCCACTGGGCCTGGGAGGCCGGTGCTGGTGGATCACCTGAGGTCAGGAATTTGAGACCACCCTGGCCAACATGGTGAAATCCTATCTGTGCTGAAAAAAAAAAAACAAAAAAACAAAAAAACAAAACTAGCTGGGCATGGTGGCACATGCCTGTGATCCCACTACTCTGGGGGCTGAGGCAGGAAAATTGCTTGAATCCAGGAGGCAAAGGTTGCAGTGAGCTGAGATCACATCACTCCACTCCAGCCTGGGCGACAGAGCGAGACTCCGTCACAAAGGAAAAAACAAACGAAAAAAAACCTTAGATAAGGAATCCCACTGGAGAAGCAACTCATTGAAGAAAGTGACATATGGGGTGAGCGCTTAGCAGTATGAAGGAGTCACGTAAGTCAAGATAGCATAGAGGGCTGATGACAATTAAGTGTCCACCGGGATAGAAGCATTTAATAACGGCCCAATTAATTATCTCAACAACCCTGTGAGGTAGATATTAGTACTACCCCCAATTTTCAGGTAAGGAAACTGAGGCTCGGAGGGTTTAGAAATATGTTCAGAGTTTGACGCCAGAAGCCAAGCCCTTGACCTCTGCACTGAGTGGCCTCCCTCGACAACCCTCCCTCCACCCTTGCTCACCCAGACTGTGGTAGCCTCCTGACAGGTCTCCCATGTCCTCTCGAAGCCCCTCCAATCTACTCCCAACGCAGCAGCCAGCAGGATCTTTTGTTTTTCTTTTCTTTTCTTTTTCATTTTTTTGAGGCAAGGTCTCACTTTTTCACCCAGGCTGGAGTGCAGTGGTGTGAACACAGCTCACTGCAGCCTCGACTTCCCAGGCTCAAGCAATCCTCCCACCTCAGCCTCCCAAGTAGCTGGGACCACGGGTACGTGCCTAATTTTTCAATTTTTTTGTAGAGATGGGGTCTCACGGTGTTGCCCAGGCTGGTCTTGGCAGAAGGATATTTTGGCGATGAGAATCTGACCTTGCCACCTCTCGCCGGAATCCTTCAGTGACTCCCGTTGTTGTTCAGAGGGAGGAAAGATGCCTCACCTGGACCGGCCTCACCTGCTCTGTGGGGCTCAGGCCCGGCCCCTCCCAAGTCTCCACACTCACCCACTGTGCTCCAGCCACACAAGCCCTCCCTCGGACCCCTCATGCCATTCTCCTCTGCACCACAGGGCCTTTGTACATGCCAATCCCTGATTAGAACACTTTCCCCACCTCTGCCCTAAGTTCCTACCTTAGTTGGCTCCCACCCATCCTCAGTGCTCCACCCAGCCACCTCCTCCAGGAAGTCCTCCCTGATGCCTAGCCTAGGCAAAGTTCATTCGCCACACACAGGTATCACTCATCCTTTCTTCAGACCATGCTTCTTAACCCTGGCCACCCACTGGAGTCACCTAGGGAGAGTTTAAGGAGCATCGATGCCCACACCTCTGCCTAGATCTGGTGAATCAGAATCTCTTGGGAGGCGTGTGGGGTGGGGAGTGGCCTGGACATCAGCATTTCCTAAAATCTCCCCAGGTGGTTCCAATGTGTGGACACAGTGGAGGATTCGTGCTTTATCATCATTTCCTCATTGCTTAAGTCATTCTTAGGGTTATTTTGTTCAAGTTTGTCTCATCCACTAGACGATACGTTCCATGTCCCCCAGTCCCTGAGAAAGTGAGCACTCAATAAATACTTATTCAGCAAATGCAGATAACTGTAGCAGCCAGCATTTATCTAGCATATGCCCTGTCTGTGGACTTCACAAGCATTGTCTTCTTTCATTCTCACAAAAACCCTATCAGGTAGGAATTCCTATTAGCCCAGTTTGACAGATGGGGAAACTGAGGCTCAGGAGGTTGAAAGGTAGTGAGTCCCAGAGTGTAGATTCCAGCCCTTGTCCATCTGACTCCAGGACCTGCCTTGCAGAACTTTCTCCCTACCCAACTCTGCCCAGCTCCTCAGGACCCTGCAGTAAACAGCATCTGCAATGTCGCCGCCTCTGAGCGACACTCCTGTGTGGGTGACTTGGCCCTTCCCAGTCTCTGGGCCCCTCCAAGACGGCCCCCAGCCCAGTTCTAAGGAAAACAAAGTTCTTGTGAGTGGAAAGAAAAGAAAAGAAAACAAAACAAAACAAAACAAAACAAAAAAGCCCAGGCTCAGTCTGTCTGGTTCATCAGTCTGTCTGGACACCAGGGAGAGGCTTCTAATTGGATTCAGTCAGGCTGCTTCCTGCTGACATTTGGTGGGTGGTGACATTCGGCAGGTGAGGGACTAGGTTAGAAAGTCGCCAAGCAGGCCCAGGCCTCGGGAGAGGGAGTTTAACCTGTGTGGCTTTGATGCTGGTCAGAAGCCACACTCCCTTGAGAGCTGTCCTGATCTCTATCCCAAGAGACCAGACACCAGCCGGCGCTCCACTTAATGCCAGCCAGAGGAAGGCTAAGGGGCTTAGAGTCTGGCTAAGGATTTCTGTCCCTCTTTGCTTCCCTCCTTACAAACTAGCAGACTGAAAACTCTCCAAATCACGGAGTGATGATTCACAGAGGTTATTAAGGTGCAGGGACCTGGGAAAGCAGTGGTTCTCAGCCCTGGTCACATGTAAGTATCTCTTCCAGAGGAGCTTTTAAAAACTAACAATGCCCAGGTCCTACCTGAGACCTATTGCATCTGAATGTGCAAAGGTGCAGCCCAGGTACCTGTATTTCTCAAAACCTCCCCAGGTAGTTCCAAGGGACAGCCAGATGTGAGAATCACTGCGCTAGAAGGTAAATAAATGGCTCCTGGGAAGGGACAGACGGTGACATCATAGTGTGTGGTGTGGACTCACCCAGCCCATTCTCCCTTCTTCTGTTAACAGCTGACTTAGGGAACTATGCCTCCCCAACCCTCGGTCCTGATGGTTTGGGATTGGTCTTGCTCCTAGACCCGGGGATGGTCACACAACCCAGGCTTGGCCAATCAGAGTTCTGAATCTCCCTAAAGACAGTGGTTGATTCAAGAAGGGCGTGTAACCCAAGTGAGCCCGGTGGGAATCAGCCGTAGGGCCTCTGTGGGTGCCGCTAAGGAAGAAAAGCTCTCTTCCCTCTGGGACTGCTAAGTACGGACATCCTCCCTTCTGGAGAGAATCTGCCTGCGAATAAAGCCGTAACAGAGGAACTGCAACATCAAAAGGTGAAAAGAGACAGATTCCAGTGAAGTAGTTTGAGTCCTGGATCCAGCCATGCCTGAAGGATGATTTCAGTTACTTGAGCCCATAAATTCCCTTTTTCCTATTACCCTGTCTAAATTGTGTTTCTTTTATTTGTGGTTTGGAAAAGTATTAACTGATGCTGCTGTTACTGATACATCTGCCCCATGGTGAGATTGATGAGGTGAAGCTGTGGGCTAGATTCCACTCCACATACCCCAGGCCAACCAGCATGGCGTGAGCAAACCAGGAATGGGAGGGAAGAACAGCTCTCTGCCCTCCTCCATGGAACCTCCTTCCTTACCATTACCTTCCTCTCCTGCCAGCATGGGTCTCCTGCAGCCCAGATTATACCCTAGAACAGGCCATGTGCAATAGCCAAGCCACTGCACAGCCAGGCCTCCCCCATGTATGCAGTGCTTCCTGGGTGTGTGTATGAGAGTCAGAGGCTTGGATTGCAGCCCCATCTCCACCTTTTGGCCAGGGCTGGCACTTACATGCCTCTGGGGTTGAAGGGCCTCCTCAAATTTTGCATTCTAGATCCCTCATCTTAGTCCCAGCTTGCTCCTAGCAGCCGATTGACTTAGGGCAGATTCCATAACCTCAACGCCTTCACTTCCTCATTGAGAAACCACAATAGTTTTACAGAGTGCCTACTAGGTGCTGTTCTCATCGTTTTTCCTGTGATGCCTCACTGGCCCCACATGGCCAGCCCCCTCACCTCCTGGGGGTCTTCACTGAAGTGACACCATCCCAGCGAGGCCCCCCTAGACTGTTCTCTTCACAATTGCAACCCTCCCTGCTTTATTTTCCTTGTCACCACTTAACACCATCTAACACGCTCCACAGGTCACACATTTATTTGTGGTCTGATTCCTCCCACTGGGATGTAAGCTCCAGGAAGACAGGATTGCTTTTCTTTTCTTCACTGCTGTATTTTGGGGGCCTTGTACAGTGCCTGGCACATAGTAGGTGCTCAAGAAATGTGCACTGATGGAAGGAATGGATTCAATGCTCAGAAGTAAGCAGTCAGGTAAGTCCAATTAGCATCTCAAGGTAGACATTGTCCCTGAGAATACAGCATTTAGGAGGTCCTGAGCATATAGTAGGTCCTTAAAGGATGTCATTCACAAATGCTCTTTTCTTTCTTTTTTTAAAGAGACAGGGTCTTATTCTGTCATCCAGGCTGGAGTGCAGTGGCACAATCATAGCTCACTGCAGTCTCAAACTCCTGGGCTCAAGCAATCCTCCCACCTCAGCCTCCCTAGTAGTGGAGACTACAGACATGCACCACATGCCTGGCTAATTTTTTGTTGTTGTTGCTATTGTTTTTTATAGAGATGGGGCCTTGTTATGTTGCCCAGGCTCACAGCAAGAGCCTGGTCTTGAACTCCTGGGCTCAAGTGATTCTTCCGCCTCGGCCTCCCAAACTGCTGGGATTATAGGTGTGAGCCACCGTGCCTGGCCAGCTCTTTTCTTGAGCTGCAGAGCAACTTGAGAAAGAACTTGGTGATGACTTTGCCAGGTATCTCTCCAGGTCATTTATAATAAAGCAAATCATTTGACATCTGCTTCTTCACTCGGGCTCTTCGTGGGGCCAATCAAAGGGACAACAAATTTCCCATCTCAGAGCTGCTAATGAAGGTTAAATAATTAATGCCTGGAACAAAGTAGAGGAGGCTGGACAGCTTCCCGGCTGCAATCTCCTGCCCATGCCTGTGGACATCCCGCTCTGATCTCAAGCCCACCGTGCTCAAACGGCTGGCTTCATGCCGCTGCCTCCATCCCAGCCCCACTGGCCTTTCTCCTCATGGCAAGCACAGAGTATAGAATGGGCAGAAGTTGTTTCTAGGAGCAAAAACTCAAACCAGAAGAGCCCTTGAAGAGATACTCAGAGGCACTCCTCATCAGGGAAATGCATGTTGAGGCAATGAGATGTCGTTTTATGCTTTATACTGATTAGATAGGCAAACAGTAGAAAGCTGGAGAATGCCCAGTGTTGGTCAGGATATGGGAACTTTAAGCAGTGCAAATTCAACGTAATCTACGCTGTGACTCCATCAGCCTGCACCTGGATGCACACTCCAAGTGGATCCTTGGTCCTTAGGAGGACACAGGTCCTTAGGATGCACACAGGTCCTTAGGAGGACAGGCCTGAGGATGTTCTCTGCAGCTTCCTTTGTGGTGACAAGGATTTGGAAACAAGCTCGTTGTCTATCACTAAGAGAACAGACAGGCACAGGAGGAGCGCAGTGTGGAGAATCAGGCGGGTGTTGGGTTAGGTATAGACACAGCCACATGGATAATCTCAAACAGAGTGCATGAAAACTGAAGAAACAGAATGAGATCTATAGCACAAACTGAGATCAACTGCATTACTGTTCAGCAGACATTCACAGCCGTCCTTCTTGGGGAACAGTCTTCCCCACTGTTTCAGTCCATTCTCGTACTGCTATAAAGAAATACCTGAGACTGGGTAATTTATGAAGAAAGAGTCTTGTTCTGTCACCCAGGCTGGAGTGCAGTGGCATGATCTCGGCTCACTGCAGCCTCTGTCTCCTGGGTTCAAGTAATTCTCATACCTCGGCCTCCCAAGTAGCTGGGATTACAGGCATGCACCACCACACCTGGCTAATTTTTGTATTTTTAGTAGAGATGGGGTTTCACCATGTTGGCCAGGCTGGTCTTGAACTCCTGACCTCAAGTGATTCACCTGCCTCAGCCTCCCTAAGTGTTGGGATTATAGGTGTGAGCCACTTAGCCTGGCCAGAACAGAGGTTTCATTGGCTCACTGTTCTGCAGGCTGTACAGAAAGCATGATGCTGACATCTGCTTGGCTTCTGGGGAGGCCTCAGGAAACTTACAATCATAGCAAAAGGCAAAGGGGAAATCAGCAATTCGCATGGTGGCAGCAGGAGGAAGAGAGAAAGGTAGGAGATGCCACACAACCGGATCTCACTAGAACTCACTATCGCCATGACAGCACCAAGTGGGGATGGTGTTAAACCATTCATGAGAAATCCACCCCCATGATCCAGTCATCTGCAGCAGGCCCCACCTTCAGCATTGGGGATTATAGATTTGGGTGGGGACACAAATCCAAACCATATCACCCATCCTACTAACTTTGGGCCTGAACATGTGACTTGCTTTGTCCAGTGACATAGGGGCAGAGGTGACCATGTGCCATCACCCAGCCAGGGCTTACACAGTATCCCAGATCATGGCTCACCCCTGTTGCATTTCCACCGCTGCCATAAGAATATCCCCTGGTGCTGGCCCCAGTGTGACAGGAGATGTGTCCAGCAAGAAGACCTGAACACAACCCTCAGCCTGGACCCAAGGTAACCCGCCCAACCTGCAGACTCACAAGCAAGAAAAATAATGCTTGGTTATGGAAGCCACTTGCTGAGTGGTGGGGTGATTTGTTACACAGCCTTACTGCAGGAATAGCTGACTAATACACATACTATTCATATGAATTTAAAATACATGCAAAAGGGGGCACCTTTGTAAAAACACATACAAGCAGAAATACTTCAGACAGAATTGGATGGTTGCCAGTATGGAAGGGAGGGGAATGGAGAAAAGAATAACCCATTATTCAATCAACTGGAGACTGGTATGGACCATTCAGGACCATAGCCTTGACCTGAGCAGCACTCTCAGCTCACTCTCTTCTCCCGAGTTTCTGTCTCACCAGAAACAAGTCCATGAGGGCAGGGCCCTAGAAATCATACTGGGGAGGTACAGAGTTGGTGTTCAATAAATATTTGTGAAGGCCAAGTGTGGTTGCTCACACCTGGAATCCCAGCACTTTGAGAAGCTGAGGTAGGGGGTTTGCTTGGGGCCAGGAGTTTTGAGACCAGCCAGGGCAACATGGCAAAACCCCCATCTCTATAAAAAATTTAAAAGTTAGCCAGGAGCAGTGGCTCATGTCTGTATTCTCCACTACTCAGGAGGCTAAGGCAGGAGGATTGCTTGAGTCCAGGAGTTCTAGGTTACAGTGAGCTATGATCATACTACTGCACTCCAGCCTGGGTGACAGAGCAAGACTTTGTCACAAAAAAAAAAAAAAAAAAAAAGTGTGTTGAGCCAATGACTAAGATAAAAAGTCTGAAGACTTCTTTGACCCTCAGAACCCCAGAACCTCCCTTCTGGAAGAAAATTTGCCACTATCTTCTCAAAATGCAAAACTCAAATTCCAGAGGGGTCTTCCAATGTCACCTTTTCCTTGAAGTCCAAGAGAGGTTCGGAAACAGGCCTGAGGTCCCGTAGCTGCTCAGGGCTGGGCCCTGCATTCAACCCTCGATCTGCTGGTAGCCAAAGTCCCTATTTTGAACCCTGCCACCCTCCACGGGGAGGATGAAGGGCTTGGAGTTGAACTCAATTAAATCTTCCTCACTCTCTCAGCCAGTTTATTTGTCCATTTGAGTCTTAAAGAGGCGTTGATGAGAACTCCACAGGAAATCATGAGACAGCAGAGGTGCTTTGCAGCAGAGAAGGCAGGGCGGGGCAGAACAACCTTCCCCAGCACGCAGGTCATTAGTTCCATTTGCAAGGGCCACTCCCCGCCAACACTACTACCCTCCAGCTCATTTAATTCAAAATAAATGTACAGGGCAGGAAAGTCATTGAGGTGCAAGAAAGGAGGGAAGGCTTTAAAAGCGAGCTATGGGCCAGGCGTGGTGGCTCACGCCTGTAATCCCAGCACTTCAGGAGGCCAAGGTGGGAGGATCACCTGAGGTCAGGAGTTCGAGACCAGCCTGGCCAACATGGCAAAACCCCATCTCTACAAAAATTAGCCAGGCATGATGGCAGGTGCCTGTAATCTCAGCTATTTGGGAGGTTAAGGTAGGAGAATCGCTTGAACCTGGGAGGCGGAGGTTGCAGTGAGTCTAGATTGCGCCATTGCACTCCAGCCTGGGTGACAGAGTGAGACTCTGTCTCAAAAAATAAATAAATAAAATAAAATAAAAACAAAAGTGAGCTATGAATTTCATTTCCAAGGAAAGGAGAATACGGAAGAGAGAGTGGAGAAGTTGAAGAGACCCAGAGGAGCATGGCACCATGGGAGAGCTGTGGCTCCAGCGTGCAGCGGCCCTGGGTTCAAATTCTGGCTCTGTCATTTCGCGGTTGTGCGAGGGTGTCACATGCTTAGCCTCTCTGAACCTCAGTTTACCCATCTGAAAAATGAGGACCAAAGTGGCACCTATTTCCTGGGGCTGTTGGGAGGATCCAATGAGACCATGAGCTGATCTATGCATAACACCTGGCTCAGAGCAGGCTCTGGAATGTAGCTCACATATTTTCTGGGCACCTACTGGATGCCAAGCACCATGTGGGGATTTGGCATTGAACAAGACAGGCAAGGCAGTGCCCTTGTGGAGTTCAAGGTCTTGTGAAGAGAACAAGACAGAAAACATGTGAACGCATAAAACGAGATCATTTCGGGGATTTGCAGGAGGGACAAAGCAAGGTGACTTGAGAAGGTGTTTATTTTAGACAGCACGGTCCAGGGAGGTTTCTCCAAGGCGAGGACATTGAGGTGAGACTCGGATGGAGCCCATTATGGGGAGCAGCGTCAAAAACAGTGAGCAGGGGAGCCCCTAATCCCATCAGCAAACAGCTCCCACCTGCCCTGGAATGGCTGCTGAGAGAGGTCCCTGTGGGTCCCCAGGCCTCTGAGAGCTGCCACAGCCCGGCCAGCCTTCCTGAGCTAGTCCCATCCTGATGGGGGAATGGGGGGCTTCAGAGTCAACAATGAGGGCTCTGCTTGCGTTTTTATTTCTGATGCCAAGTGGTGTCTATGATGCAGGGTCTGACTTGGGGCTCTTGACACCTTGCATTTTGGGGATATTAAGTCAAAATCTTAAATGACCACTTAGCGTTAGGCTCTCGGCTATACGCTAGAGACAGACGTGAAGAAGTCCTGCCTCTCAGGCCATGCTGAGGCTCTCCCCAAGATCTGGGCAGGGCTGCTTCACAGCCATGCCACCCCTCTGCCTCAAGGCAGCTGTGAATCAGTTTTTGGAGTTCAAATCAGATCGTGCCACCTGTGATTCCATTGTCTTGCAAGTGGCTTCCAAGAGGTAGCCCAAGTTCCTCAAGGTGACATTTCAGGTGTGTTGCAACCCAGCCCTGCTAAGCCCTCCCGCCTGGCCCCTCCTGCTCCCTGGTCCTCAGTGTGCCAGCAACAGCCATTAGCTGCTGTAGACAGAACCGGACACAAGCATCCATCCTCCTCCTTGAAATTGCATGTGCTGTTCCTCCCATCTAGAATGCCTTTTCCTACCTTCACTGCTCAGCCTGCAGGATGCATCACAGATGATGCTGCCTGGTGAACCCTTGCCTAGCAACCCGATCCGTATCTCAAGTGAGGTCAGGTCCAGCTCTGGGATCTACAGGACAACTACACCAAAATCTAAGACCCCTTCATCCCAGGACCCAGGGAATCACCCCCACCCTTCAGGACCCTGCCAGACCTTCACCCAGCCTGCCTTTCAGGGCACTAAGCCTTTCCATGCCCAGGTCAATCACAGTCGCACAAGGAAAGAACAAGGAAGTGGTCAGACTCACAGCATCCTTATCGGCAGACCATCCTGCCCACTTTACAAGGAAGGGGACTGAGGCTTTCACTTTATAAGGTCACTGGGTGCTATAGTTTGGTTTATGTGACCCCCTCCAGATCTCAGGTTGAAATTTGATCTCTGCTGTTAGAGATGGAGCCTAATGGAAGGTGTTTGGGTCATGGGGGAGGACTCCTCATGAATAGATCAATGCCCTCCCTTGTGTGGGACGAGGGTGGAAGTGAGTTCTCACTCTATTCGTTTCTGCAGGAGCTGGTTGTTGAAAAGAGCCCGGCACCTCCCTCCGTCTCTTGCCTCCTCTCTTGCATGTGACCTCTGCACACAGCAGCTCTCCTTTGCTTTCCTCCATGAGTGGAAGCAGCCTGAGGCCCTCACCAGAAGCAGATGCAGGCTTCTCGTACAGCCTGCAGAACCATGAGCCAAATAAGCCTCTATTCATTGCAAATTACCCAGACACAGGTATTCCTTTACAGCAACACAAACAGACGTAGATGCCCAACTTGCAAATCAGAGCCTGGATTTGAACCAGATCTTTGGTTCCTCTGGCTCAAAGTCATCCTCTTTCTACTACATTGGTACAAAAGTAATTGCAGTGTTTGCCACTGAAAGCAATGACAAAACTGCAATTACTCAATGCATGCAGGTCATTAGTTCCATTTGCAAGGGCCACTCCCCGCCAACACTACCCTCCAGCTCATTTAATTCAAAATAAACGTCCAGGGCAGGAAAGTCATTGAGGCAGCCCATGCATCCTCACCTACTTACTCTTGTCCTGAACATAACAGAAGAGCTCTTTTCTGCTCTTCCTAGAGGTTTTTGCCAGCTCAGTCCCTCGCGGTGGGCACTTGCCCGTCCTGACAATAACCTGATGACCTTCGCTGCTCTGATGTTCACTCTGACCTGCTGCCTGGACAGCTTTTGGAAATCTCCTTCTCCAGCAGGGCGTCTGCTCCTGTGGCTCTCAAGGCTCCAGCCAGTGTTTCCAGGGACATTTGTCTCAATGGGAACCTTTGGGCAGCCTAGAATTTTGAACTGTTGAGAAGCCAGCGGTCTTTCTCTCTGCTCTTCTGCCTTTTTTTTTTTAATGGAGTCTCGCTCTGTCATCCAGGCTGGAGTGCAGTGGTGTGATCTCGGCTCACTGCAACCCAACCTCCATCTCCAGGTTCAAGTGATTCTCCCGCCTCAGCCTCCCAAGTAGCTGGGATTACAGGTGCCCACCACCATGCCCAGCTAATTTTGTATTTTTTAGTACAGACAGGGTTTCACCATGTTGGCCAGGCAGGTCTTGAACTCCTGACCTCGGGTGATCTGTCTGCCTTGGCCTCCCAAGGTGCTGGGACTATAGGCATGAGCCACCACGCCTGGCCCCTTCTGCCCTCTCGAAGGACCATCTCCCTTGCTGACAGGGCATCTGCCAATCAGCAATCTTTCACCTCTAGGTCACTCTCCAAGTAAGACAGACCAGGGCGATGACTGGGGAGCACTTCCTAAGTCCTTGGCACCATCGTTGAGTTGGCGGCTGGTGGGGGTTTTAGAAAAGAAGAAAAATTGGCTTCAAGGACCACATCCCACTCAAACTAGCTTAACTCCAAAGGAAGTTCTGAGAGGCCACAGGGGACTGTCCTGGGCCCAGGAGGTGTTCGAAGAGCAGACTTAGAACATGAGATGGGGACTCCCTCTCTGTCTCTGATTACCAGGGGTCTTCCCTTGACGCCTCTACACATCCGTTTCATTCTTTTGTTGTGGCGACACCCACATGATGACCATGGCCCCATGGTTGTCTGCCCCACCTCCTAGCTCAGCAGTGCACCTGGTCACCCCACAGTCAATGAAATCTCTAGGTCTCCTTTTCAAAAAAAATCCAAAGAGAGAGATTCTGATTGGTCCAGTTGGAGCCGGGTCCAGCTCAGGTCCAGTGAGCTGAGGCGAGGGGTAGGGTTGCACCATGCAGAGAGGCGCCCCTTGGGGCTGTGGTCAGTTTCATTAATAAGGGAGTGTAGCTGGGGAGGCAATGATTGGCACCACTAATATGGGTGGGGGATGGGGAGTGCACCATTGTTTGGTTTATTATTAGGTTGGGGCACCTGTAGTCCCAGCTACTTGGGAGGCAGAGGCGGGAGAATCACTTGAACCTGGAGATGGAGGTTGGGTTGCAGTGAGCCGAGATCACACCACTGCACTCCAGCCTGGATGACAGAGCGAGACTCCATTAAAAAAAAAAAAAAGGCAGAGGAGCAGAGAGAAAGACCGCTGGCTTCTCAACTGTTCAAAATTCTAGGCTGCCCAAAGGTTCCCATTGAGACAAATGTCCCTGGAAACACTGGCTGGAGCCTTGAGAGCCACAGGAGCAGATGCCCTGCTGGAGAAGGAGATTTCCAAAAGCTGTCCAGGCAGCAGGTCAGAGTGAACATCAGAGCAGCGAAGGTCATCAGGTTATTGTCAGGACGGGCAAGTGCCCACCGCGAGGGACTGAGCTGGCAAAAACCTCTAGGAAGAGCAGAAAAGAGCTCTTCTGTTATGTTCAGGACAAGAGTAAGAAGGTGAGGATGGATGGGCTGCTTGGAGCCAAAGGTAAGATTCTGAAAGCATGGTGGTAGGAAGTGAGCAGAACGTCCCTGATTCTGCTTTGTTTCAGACTCCTCTGGCAAGAAAGAGGATCACTTAAACCACAAAGAGCAGCCCAAGTACTGGCAAGGCAGAGCCAAAGTCCAAATGGAGCCAAGGTTCTGAGCCTTCTGAATGTGTTCCAGCCTCCCAACATGAACAAACATGGACTGTGGCATTGGGACCCTCCGTGAGGATGGATGGATGCTTCATTGCTGTGCAGTGGGGACTCTGGGGAACTAACGGGGAACCCAGCACTTGAAAGCACATAATGACATTCCAACTGCAAAAAAAGAAAGAAACTAGAGTTTGTGAGCTCAAGGGTAGCAAACATTCCAGCTGAATTTTTTTTTTTCTTTTTGAGACAGGGTTTCGCTCCGTCACCCAGGCTGGAGTGCAGTGGTGTGATCATAGTTCACTACAGCCACGACCTCCTGAGCTCAAGCCATCCTTTTGCCTTAGCCTCCAGAGTAGCTAGGACCACAGGCACGCACCACCACACCCAGCTTTTTTAAAATACATTATTTTGTGTAGAGGTGGAGTTTCACTATGTTGCCCAGGCTGGTCTCAAACTCCTGGACTCAAGTGATCCTCCTGCCTCGGCTTCCCAAAGCACTGGGATTCCAGGCATGAGGCACCAGGCCAGCCCCCAAATTCTCAAGTTAACTACAGTGGGATGAACCTTGAGACCTGAACTGAGCTTTTCCCATGCCCTTCCATGAATGTGTCTTTCCCCACATGTAACTGTTGCTGTATGACAGAATGACACACTGGTCAGCAGAGAGGCAGCTCAGGCCACCAGAACAGGACTTCTGAGTTACAAGAGTCTGGGCTTTTAAGTTCAAAAGCCACGGTTTTCACTGTATGTAATATATTTAGAAGAAGAGATGAAAGTCCAGGCTGCCACCTCTCCCCACTCTCCCCATATGCCATACGAAAGTTCCCCTGGCCTGGGGGACCGAGGAAGGGATGTCAGAGAATATGACAGAGACTTCATGCATCACCAAAATTTGTTTTCTTTCCCTCATGCATGCCACCATGCCAGGCTAATTTTTTTTATTGTTGTTGTTGTTTTAACTTTTAGTAGAGACAAGACCTGGCTATGTTGCCTGGGCTGGTCTCGAGCTCCTGGGCTCAAATGATCCTCCTGCCTTGGCCTCCCAAAGTGCCGGGATTACAGGCATAAGCCATCGTGCCTGGCTGGGAAAGACTTTTTAAATAGGCCAGAGAAAAAAACAAACAACCCCATCAAAAAGCGGGCAAGGATACGAACAGACACTTCTCAAAAGAAGACATTTATGCAGCCAAAAAACACATGAAAAAATGCTCATCATCACTGGCCATCAGAGAAATGCAAATCAAAACCACAGTGAGATACCATCTCACACCAGTTAGAATGGCAATCATTAAAAAGTCAGGAAACAACAGGTTCTGGAGAGGATGTGGAGAAATAGGAACACTTTTACACTGTTGGTGGGACTGTAAACCAGTTCAACCATTGTGGAAGTCAGTGTGGCGATTCCTCAGGGATCTAGAACTAGAAATACCATTTGACCCAGCCATCCCATTACTGGGTATATACCCAAAGGACTATAAATCATGCTGCTATAAAGACACATGCACACGTATGTTTATTGCGGCACTATTCACAATAGCAAAGACTTGGAACCAACTCAAATGTCCAACAATAATAGACTGGATTAAGAAAATGTGACACATATACACCATGGAATACTATGCAGCCATAAAAAATGATGAGTTCATGTCCTTTGTAGGGACATGGATGAAATTGGAAACCATCATTCTCAGTAAACTATCGCAAGAACAAAAAACCAAACACCGCATATTCTCACTCATAGGTGGGAATTGAACAACGAGAACACATGGACACAGGAAGAGGAACATCACACTCTGGGGACTGTTGTGGGGTGGGGGGAGTGGGGAGGGATAGCATTAGGAGATATACCTAATGCTAAATGACGAGTTGATGGGTGCAGCACACCAGCATGGCACATGTATGCAGATGTAACTAACCTGCACATTGTGCGCATGTACCCTAAAACTTAAAGTATAATAATAATAAAATAAAATAAAATAAAATAAAAATAAAAAATAAATAGGCCAAAGAAAGCATTAATCCTAAAGAGAAGGATGGATAAATTTAGCTGCTTTAAAATTAAGTATTTCTTTGGATATTTACCTTAAACCATCTATAAAAATTAACTCAATATGGATCAGAGACCTAAACAGAAGAGCTAAAACAATAAAACTCTTAGTAGAAAACAGGAGGAAAACTTCATGACATTGGATTTGGCAACAGTTCCTTGGGTATAAAACCAAAAGCACAGGCATCAAAGGAAAAAATAGATAAACTGAACAACATCAAAATTAAAACTTCTGCATCAAAGGATAATATCAAGACAGTGAAAAGGCAACCCATGCAAGGAGAAAAAATATCTGCGAATCAGAGATATCTGATAAGGTGTTAATATCCAGAATATATAAAGACTCCTCCTGTAACTTACCACCAACAAAAAAACAAACACTGTGATTCAAAAATGGGCAAAAGACTAAGCTATGAGGTTGCAAAGGCATAAGAATGACACAATGGGCTGGGCGCAGTGGTTCATGCCTGTAATCCCAACACTTTAGGAGATCAAGGCGGGTGGATCACCTGAGTTCAGGAGTTCAAGAACAGCCTGGCCAACATGGCTAAACCCCGTCTCTACTAAAAATACAAAAAATTAGCTCGGCATGGTGGCAGGTGCCTATAATCCCAGCTACTCAGGAGGCTGAGGCAGGAGAATCACTTGAACCCCGGGAGGCAGAGGTTGCCGTGAGCCAAGATTGTGCCACTGCACTCCAGCCTGGGGCATAGAGCATGTTAGTGTATCTTCACAACACACAACAGCCAACAGCCAAGGGACCCACCTGTCCCTCAACAGACAAATGGATAAACCAGGTGTGTTACATCCATGCGATGGCATATTAGCCTTAGGAAGAAATGGAATTCTCACACGTGCTGCACCAGAAATGAACCTTGAAGACATTATGTTTCATGAAATAAACCAGACACGCAAATACTGGTGATTCCACTTAGATGAGGTACCCAAAGTAGTCAAATTCATAGAGATAGGAAGTAGAATGGTGATTGCCAGAGGCTGGAAGGAGAGGCAGATGGGAAGTGAGTGCTTAATGACTACAGAGTTTCAGTTTGGGAAGATGAAAAAGTTCTGGAGGTAAATGGTGATGATGGTTGCAGAGAATGTGGATGTATTTAATGCCACTGAACTGTACACTTAAAAATGGTTAAAATGGTAAATTTTATGTTATATATTTTACCATAATAAAAAAAATTAAAACTTCTTCTTTTTTTTTTTTTTTTTTTTGAGACTGAGTCTTGCTCTATTCCCCAGGCTAGAGTGCAGTGGCACAATCTCGGCTCACGGCAACCTCTGCCTCCCGGGTTCAAGTGATACTCCCACCTCAGCCTCCCAAGTAGCTGGGACTACAGGTGCTGGCCACCACATCCAGCTAATTTTTATATTTTTGGTAGAGATGGAGTTTCACCATGTTGGCCAGGTTGGTCTCAAACTCCTGACCTCAGGTGATCCACTTGCCTTGGCCTCCCAAAGTGCTAGGATTATAGACGTGAGCCACCGCACCTGGCCAAAAATGAGAACTTCTTAAAAGACATCTGAGAAAAGGCAAGCCACAGAGTGGGAAAAGGTATTTGCAACATATACAAGCAACAAAGATTATCGTGTGTAAAAAAGACTCCTATAAATCGGTAAGAAAAAGACAATCTAATAGAAACCGTGGCAAAAGATGCAAACAGGCACTTCATGCAAGAGAAGTTCCAAATAGCCATAAACACAAAAAGATGTTCAACCTCATTAGTAATCAGGGAAACGTAAATTGGAAATCACAATGTGATACCATTTCTCACCCACCAGATTGGCAAAATTTATAAATCTGATGAATGCCAAGTATTGTCAAGGATAGAGAGATGGGAATTTTCATAGCCCACTAGTGGGGGTGTAAACTGGTACACACACTTTGCAAAATGGGATAGAAAACTTAATAATGTTGAAGATACACTAAGTCAACCCAGGAATTCCACATCTGGGTAGATGCGAAACCAGTGGTTCTCAGACTGGAGTATGCATGAAAATCACCCACAGGGCTTATGGAACACGAATTGCAGGGTCCACTGCTTCTAGTTCAGGAGGTCCGTAGTGGGACTTGAGAATTTGCAGAGTGGTTTTGTTTGTTTGTTTGTTTGTTTGTTTTTGAGACAGGGTCTCACTCTGTCACCCAGGCTAGAGTGCACTGGCATGATCATAGCTCACTACAGCCTCGAACTCCTGGCCTCAAGTGATCCTCCTGTCTTGGCCTCCCAAAGTGCTGGGATTACAGGCATGAGTCACTGCACCCAGCCAAAATTTGCATTTCTAACAAGCTCCCAGGTGATGCTGATTCCACCAGTTTGAGAATCACACTTGAAGAACCAGTGGCATTGTTCCTAATAAAAACTGAAAATGACCCAAATATCCATTAAGAATAGAATGAACAAATAGAAGGTGGTGTAGCAATACAGCAGAATATTACATAACAATGAAAAGAAATAAACTACAGTTACATGATCAACATAATGTCAAGCAGAAGAAACCAGACACAAAAAAGTACACTGATCACATTTAGGCAAAAAATTCGAAAACAAATAAATCTATATACTTGGTAAAACCACAAGGTGAGATCAGCTAACATTTTCTTTTTCTTTGTTTCTTTTTTTTTTTTTTTTTTTTTTTTTTGAGGCAGAGTCTTGCTGTGTCACCCAGACTGAAGTGGAATGGTGCAATCTCGACTCACTGCAACCTCTGCCTCCAGGGTTCAAGCTATTCTTATGCCTCAGCCTCTCAAGTAGCTGGAACTACAGGTGTGCACCACCACACCCAGCTAATTTTTTGCATTTTTAGTAGAGACAGGGTTTTGTCATGTTGGCCAGGATGGTCTCAAACTCCTGGCCTCAATCCTCCATCCGTCTTTGCCTCCCAAAGTGCTAGGATTACAGGTGTAAGCCACCATGCCCAGCCAGCTAATATTTTCTATAAAGGGACAGACAGTAAATATTTTATGTTGTGCAAGACAGATGGTCTCAGCCATAGACCATACGTAAAGGAGTGGGAGTTGCTGTGTTCTGATAAAACTTTATTTACAAAAAAACACAACAGGCCATAGTTTGGCAACCCTTGTTAGAAAGTGAAGCAAGGCAGTGATGACCCTCCCCTGGGGAAAGGGATTTGGTAGTGGCCAGGAAGGGTTACAGGGGCTTCTGGGAGTCTGACAATGACCCATTTCTTAACCTTAGCTGTAATAAAGTTTTTGCCTTACAATAATTTGTCAGGCTATATATGTATATGTTATGCACCTTGCTGCATTGTACTAATTTCCCAATTTTAAAAAGGTTTTAAAAATAAATAAATAAATCATGAATAGATCAAGAAAATGTAGTCTACCCATACAATGCAATATTATTTTGCAATAAAAAGGAAGGAATGGGCCGGGTGTGGTGGCTTACTCCTGTAATCCCAGCACTTTGGGAGGCCGAGGCGGGAAGATCACCTGAGGTCAGGAGTTTGAGACCAGCCTGGCCAACACGGCAAAACCCTGTCTCTACTAAAAACAAAAAAATTAGCTGGGTGTGGTGGCATGTACCCATAATCCCAGCTACTCGGGAGGCTGAGGCAGGAGAATTGCTTGAACCCAGGAGGTGGAGGTTGCAGTGAGCCGAGATCACGCCACTGCACTCCAGCCTGGGTGACAGAGTGAGACTCTGCCTCAAAAAAAAAAAAAAAGGAAGACGTGAAGTACTGACACCCACCACATTATGAATGAACCTTGCAAACATTATGCTAAAGAGAAAGAAGCCAGTCACAAAAGTCCACATATTCTATGCCTTCGTTTTTATGTGCCTATAATTAGCAAATCTATAGAGATAGAAAGTAGATCAGGGCCAGGTATGGTGGCTCACACCTGTAATCCTAGCACTCTAGGAGTCCCAGGCAAGAGGATCACTTGAGTCCAGAAATTCAAGACCGACCTGGGCAACACAGTGAGACCTCATCTCTACAAAAAATAAAACAAAATTAGACGGGCATCGTGGCGTGTACCTGTAGTCTCAGATACTCGGGAGGCTGAGCTGGGAGGAGCACTTGAGCCCAGGAGGTGGAGGCTGGAGTGAGTTATGATTGTGCCACTGCAGTCCAGCCTGGGTGACAGAGGGAGACCCTGTCTCAAAAAAAAAAAAAAAAAAAATAGATCAGTGTTTGCCTCCGTCTCTTGGAGGTGGGAGGATTGAGGGGTAAGTGCTCAAGTAAATGGGGTTCCTTTTCAGGTTGATGAAAGTGCTCTAAAATTGATAGTGATGATTGCACAACTCTGAATACACTAAAAACCACTGAATTATACACTTTAAACAGGCAAATTGAATGGAAGTGAATTACATCTCAAAAAAGCTGCTATCAGAAATTTCTTTAATGTAAAACTAATGAATAAAACTGACAACCTCTGCCCTCACCGCCAGAGATGGGCCAGGGAGAGGCATGTGTGACAAGATCAACCAGACAGAAACCGGCTTTGGAGAAATCACTAGCCCCTCCCCCTGCTCCAGAAGCCCCCAGTCCCACATGGGACCCTTTCTCTGCCTTTGGCAAACGCGAGCGGAAGATCGGAAGCCCAGGAGGCCAGAGATTCTGCAGACAAGCAGGGGCCAGGGCATCCCCGCCAAGAGACAGAGGACTTTTTAAATCCAAAATGAAATTTCAAGCAGACGCCTGAGCAAAGTAAACCCCAGCCGGTTCTGCGGAGCCAATTGCCGGGCAGCCAATGGGAGAGGGGGCTCCAGCCCTCTGGGAACAGTTCCTCTGAAAGGACCTCTCTCCTGAGTTTCCAGTTCCTGGTGGCTTCAAGGCGTAGGTAGGGGTCTCAGGGGCATGGGCCTCTCTGCTCCCCGTGCAGGCTGAAGGTGGCACATTTGGAGGTTCTGTGTTACATCTCAGGCTTTGCAGCATCTCCAGGGAGCCTGACAGATGGCTGCAAATGATGAGGCCACAGGAGCCAGCAGATGGGATGCCTGATGAGCAGAGGGTAACTCGGGTCCCCTCAGCTGCTGCCTCCCTCCTGCTCCACGCAGGCCCTGACAGCTGTGAGCCAAGGGGCCTCCCCGCCAGGTCAGAACACACAGCAAAGCAGACCAAAGAAATTCCTGGGCCTGAGCAGTGGAAGAGGAACCAGGAGGCACCAGGCAGGGTGAAAAGGCCCATGAGGTGTGGCTGAAATAGCACAGGACTGACGGGATACGTCACTTTGCTGTGTGACCTCAGGCAAGTGGCTCAACTTCTCTGAGTCAGCTGCCCGGCCACTCTGGTGTAAAGCAGAGATCACAGTACCTAACCCAAAGAGCTGTCGAAAGAACTAAATGAGGTCAGTCGCGGTGGCTCATGCCTGTAATCCCAGCACTTTGGGAGGCCAAGGTGGGCAGATCACTTGAGGTCAGGAATTCGAGACCAGCCTGGGCAACATGGCGAAACCCTGCCTCTACTAAAAATACAAAAATTAGCCGGGTGTGGTGGCGGGCACCTGTAATCCCAGCTACTCAGGAGGCTGAGGCAAAAGAATCGCTTGAGCCCAGGAGACAGAGGTTGCAGTGAGCCGAAACTGTGCCATTGCACTCCAGCCTGGGCCACAGAGCAAGACTCTGTCTCAAAAAAAAGAAAGAAAGAAAGAAAGAAAGAAAGAAAGAGAGAGAGAGAGAGAGAGAGAGAGAGAGAGAGAGAGAGAGAGAGAGAGAGAAAGAAAGAAAGAAAGAAAGAAAGAAAAGAAAGAAAGAAAGAAAGAAAGAAAGAAAGAAAGAATTAAATGAAGCAAGGGGTATGAGAGTATCAGGCTGTGAATGGAATTCTGTGCGTTATTCTATAAAGCTTAGTTGAATGTTTTAGCTGAGTAGAAATAAACGCAAACTGAGTTATTCCAAGTTAGCCTTCCAGCTGGCTGGGCCACACTGAAGAGATGGGGGAAATCCGACAGGATATTCAAGCTGGAGTTTGAGCCAGACGTTGTGCTAACTCCTCACATGGATCATCCCACTTGATTCTCAGAAGAATCCCACAAAGTGGACGCTGTTATCCCTATTTTACAGATGAAGACATGAAGTCACTAAAAGGATCAACAGCACGCCTGAGGCCCCACCACTAGAGAGCCAGAGCTGGAATCTGAACCCAGAGCCCGGCTCTCAAAGCCCTGCATCTAAATCCAAGCCCTGCTACTGACCTGGAGCAAGTTTTGTTTTTGTTTTGTTTTGTTTTGAGACAGAGTCTTGCTCTGTCACTCAGGCTGGAGTGCAGTGGTGCAATCACAGCTCACTGCAGTCTCGACCTCCCTGGCTCAAGCCATCCTCCTGCCTCAGCCTCCCGAGTAGCTAGGACTACAGGTATGTACCACTACGCCTGGCTAATGTTTCTTAACCTCTCTGAGCACAGCTTCCTGATCTGAAAAAAGGAGAAGAAAGAAGAAGAAGGAGGAGGAGGAGAGAAAGAAAGAAAGAAAAAGAAAGAAAGAAAGAAAGAAAGAAAGAAAGAAAGAAAGAAAGAGAAGGAAGGAAGGAAAGAAGAAGGAAGAAAGGGAGGGAGAAGAGAAAGAAAGGAAGAAAGAAAGAAAGAGAAAGAAAGAAGGAAAGAAAGAAAAAGAAAGAAAGAATGAAGGAAAGAAAGAAAGAAAGAAAGAAAGAAAGAAAGAAAGAAAGAAAGAAAGAAAGAAAGAAAAAGAAAGAAAGAAAAAGAAAAGTTCTCTGTGGGTTGTGTGATAACATGCATGAAAGGGATGAGTATACTCAGTGAGTGCTTACTGTATATGTCAGGGTCGGGCTAAGGGAAGTTGCCCCAGAGACAGGACCCTATTTCTTAAGGACCGGTATGCAGGAGGCATACTTCATATGCTCAGTCCATGGCAGCCACAAAGAGTTCTATCTCTGGGCCTCAATTTCCTCATCTGTTAAATGGAGCAAGTGGGACCGGCTCTCGGAGCCCTTTGCACTCTGACATTCCATGCACAAGGGTCAGACTATTTTCCTGGAACTAGAAGCACAAGAAGAAGAAAGCAGAAGGAGGTGCCTGAGGCTGGAGGGCCTCAGAGAATCACAAGTGTCACCCCCATGGTGTGACGGCCAAAGGGGAGGAATAAAGATTCCTCCCCAGCCCTACCTGGCCGACACTTACCTCGCCCTTTCCTTTCACTGGATTTCACTCCTTACCCCCCTTGCTGGGGCAGTCTTTTCTATTTTATTAGTTCACCTGGGGACAGGAAGTAAAATGGCAAAGGCTAGGACTCTGCAGCCCCTACCCAGGTTCAGAGCCACCTCTGCCACTTAAAACGCACATGATCTTGGTTGGGAAAGATGATGTAAACTACCTGGGCCTCAGTTTCCCCATCCATAACCTAGTGTAACAGCAGTACAACCTCTTCAAGTTGTTGGGGAATCAAGTGGGCCTGGCATGTTGCTAAAACAGAAATAAGGTTTTGGTATTCTTATTCTTATTCTTATTCTTATTACTTTGAGGCAGGGTCTCGCTCTGTTGTCCAGGCTGGAGTGCAGTGGCGTGATACTGGCTCACTTCAACCTCCACTTCCCAAGTTCAAATGATTCTCCTGCCTTGGCCTCCCAAGTGGCTGGGATTACAGGCACCCACCACCACGCCCAGCTAATTTTTGTATTTTTAGTAGAGACGTGATTCCACCATGTTGGCCAGGCTGGTCTTGAACTTCTTCTTCTTCTTTTTTTTTTTTTTTTTTGAGATGGAGTCTCGCTCTGTTGCCCAGGCTGGAGTGCAATGGCTCAATCTTGGCTCATTGCAAGCTTCACCTCCCAGGTTCACGCCATTCGCCTGTCTCAGCCTCCCGAGTAGCTGGGACTACAGGCGCCCGCCACCGCACCCGGCTAATTTTTTGTATTTTTAGTAGAGACGGGGTTTCATCGTGTTAGCCAGGATGGTCTCAATCTCCTGACCTCGTGATCCGCCTGCCTCGGCCTCCCAAAGTGCTGGGATTACAGGTGTGAACCACCGCACCTGATCTATTATTATTATTATTATTATTATTTTGAGAAAAGATCTCATTCTGTTACCCAGACTGGAATGTGGTGGCTCAATCATGGCTCACTACAGCCTCTACCTCCCAGGCTCAAGTGATCCTCCCACCTCAGCCTTCCGAGTAGCTGGGACTACAGGCACGTGCCACCATGCGCAGCTAATTTTTTATTTTTTTAGAGACAGGGGTCTTGTTATGCTGCCAAGGCTGGTCTCTAACTCCGGGGCTCAAGCAATCCTCCCACCTTGGCCTCCCAAAGTGCTGGATTACAGGCATGAGCCACCGCCACTACTCTATCATCATTATTATTATTAATTTGAAAGCATCTTGAAAAAATAAACTGGCATACTAAAACTATGAGTTGACAGATATTACTGCTCAGGATGAGACTAAAATAATTAGACTTTTTCAGTGAATGAATGTGAACAGAAATAGTAAATGAGCAGTGGTATGGGAGGCGGGTATGGCACACGGCCGAAATTGGGAAGGCAGCGTGAAATGAAAATGAACAGCCCTTCGTTGAAAGATTATTAAGAATTTCTCAAGACAGTAACCAAGTGTGGTGGCGCAAGCCTATAGTCCCAGCTACTTGGGAGGCTGAGGCGGGAGGATTGCTTGGGCCCAGAAGTTCGAGGTTACAGTGAGCTACGATTGCACCACCGCACTCCAGCCTGGACGATAGAGTGAGACCCCATCTCTAAAAAATAAAAAGGAAACATGACAGGCCGGCGCAGTGGCTCACGCCTGTAATCCCAGCAATTTGGGAGGCCGAGGCGGGCGGATCACGAGGTCAGGAGATCGAGACCATCCTGGCTAACACGATGAAACCCCGTCTCTACTAAAAATACAAAAAATTAGCTGGTTGCGGTGGTGGGCGCCTGTAGTCCCAGCTACTCGGGAGGCTGAGACAGGCAAATGGCATGAACCCGGGAGGCAGAGCTTGCGGTGAGCCGAGATTGCGCCACTGCATTCCAGCCTGGGCGACAGAGTGAGACTCCGTCTCAAAACAAACAAACAAACAAACAAACAAAAAGGAAACATGACAAAATAGTGTCCCAGATTTCCAGCATAACACAGGCAGTGTGGTTTAGCAATGAGGTGCAAGTATAGACATGTATGATGATGTTGTCTTTTTTAACCCTATCTGTGAATCCCTGGGCCCCTCATACAGGATGTTCACTGCCCAACCCTACGCCATCATAGATCAGTACAAATTGTGAGCCTTCGAGTTATATTATCATTTCTCATAGCAAAGCATGCTAAGACCACAGAGCCATTTAGAAATTTAAATTACTGCTGTTTACCCTTAACAGAGTCTATTTGCCATGGAGAAACTGTTTCCAATTACAAAACATGAAGGCTGGTCACCGTTTGGGGTTAATATGATGCTCTGTGGAAGAGTGAGCAGGCAAGACTGCCCAAATACCTAATTACCTGGAAAGATAATCTTGAATAATTGGAATTAGAGCAACTAAAGCAATTATTAGATGTTGTGATCTCCAGGAGCAATCTTCCACCAGGCTTAGGGATTTAATCACCTTTAATAAGAGCACATAATTAGAGGAATCCAGAAATTCAGAAAAGAAAGTGGCAGAACCAGCACTTCAGAATTAAGGAGGTGGGAGGGCCAGGTGTGTTTCTCAAGCAAATGCGTCTCGAGGGATGGCTGAGAAGGAAGGGTGGGTAGCAGGGTAGGCTTGAAAACCTCGGAAGCCTAGAGGCTGAGCCTGACTCTGACCTAAACCTGCTGTGTGACCTTGAGCAAGGCAGTTGACCTCTCTGGGCTCTCCCTTCCTTCCACCCTTCAGTCACTTAGCTATGTCCACTGAGCACCTGCCAGGTTCCCAGCACTGAGATACTCAGTGTCGCCTTTTGCACAGGCTGTTCATTCTACTGGGACTTCCTCTGACACCCCTCATGCACGAGAAGGAATTGCATTCTGTCTTCGAGATGCTTCCAACATGGCGCTCCTCCACTCAATCTTCCTAGACTGCCATCACACCGCAGCCCTCTGTCTCCCCTCACGGATTGTGAGTCTGGATCCCCTCATCTGCCTTCCCACTAGAAGATGAGCTCTTCAAGAACAGAGCGAGGTTAGGGATGGTTCTCCTCCCTGCCTTATTTCCTGACACACACCCTGGCATCAAGGGATACTGACGACTGGCCCAAGGCAAGATGGACGAAGGTTACTGCAGCCCACTCCTGAAAGCGAGGTTGCAGTCTGCCCTGCCTCCGAGAATTAACTGGCATCAGGTGAGCCAGCCTCTGCTGTGAGTTGACTGACAATGGCCAGGCATCATAGGAAGATTCTAGAGCTCCACGATGGAGCAGGGCCATTCAGATGGTGGACAGTTCCCAACCTGGGTCGCAGGGCTGGGAGTATTATCTCCATACTATCTGGGAATGGTAGGTGAGAAGGAGTAATGGAGTGTGACCAGTATCCTGCCTTTCTGTGTCTTGAAATGTCTGTCTCTTTGAAATGGAAAGAATCACAGCTTCCATGTTTCTGGGCCCTGGACCACCAGGAGGTACCCAGTCCCTCGGGAGCATCGAGTGAGAGTAATTGATGCAGTCTGGGGATGAAGGAGGGCTTTGTGGAGGCAGGACCTTTGGGTTGGCTCATGAAGGTTGATGGAGGGTTCCCCAGACAGCCAGGGGTGTAAAGAGCATTGATTAACTCTCAGGCAAAAAGATGCTCTAGCCACCTGGCGTATTCCGGCTGCAGCCAGTAGGTTGACCTGTTTTTAGCTCAGATGTCAGTTTGGGCAGCTGTGGAAGCAGCTGTGGAGAGGGGCTCCCCTCTCTGCTCAGCATGCTCTGATCTATGCACGTTTCAGTTCTATGACATAAATCAATAAAAAGCACTAAATAAATTAAGTGAGCAGCAGAATTGTAAATCGATTTCAGGCGGAGAACAGAGAGGTTGAGGGAACGAACAAGAGACTATTATAGGAACTGAAGTGAGAAATGACTCACGCAAGACTCAAGAGTGTGACCATGGAGCCAACCACATTGTTACACATCCCTGAAATATTAAACAAATGAAACCTACAAGCTTTGGAGATTGCTTCACAAAAATTGCTGGCTGGTGGCTGCCAGAAATCCCAGGGCACCAAGAAACAGGAGCAGGGAGCAGGGATGACTTAAAATACAGTTCAACCCAGGTGGGTCAGAGGAGATCACAGCTTCAGGAGTCAGATCCAGGTTTCTAAGCCCAAATGGGCCACCCACTATCTATAACCTGGCCCCTATTCATTCACTCATTCACCCATTCATTTATTCAACAAACCTTTACTAAATTCTTGCTCTGTACAGCCCCGTCGGGCACACAGGCGCCACAAAGACAAGATGCAGTGCTTGTGTTGAGGGAGTATCCAGCCTGCTGGAGGAGGTCACCACAACACAGCGGGATCAGTGCTCAGAGGACCAGTCTCTGTAAGTAGGTTCCTCTGGGGGTTTAGGGATAGCTTTTCACAAAAGGTCATTTCTAAGCTGGGTTTTGAAGGATGAATATAAGTTTGCAAAGCAAACGAGGTGGTAAAGGCAAGTCAGGCAGAGGGAACAGCACATGCAAAGGCACAGAGGCATGAGAGGTGATGGATAGTTTGGGGGAAATGGATGTGTGCAGAGCATCAGGACTGGAGCACAGGATTCACATAAGGGACTGTAGGAGGCAGGGATTGAAAAGGCAGACAAGAACTAGACCGTGCTGGGCCATAAATGCCAGGTTAAAATGCCCTGTGTATGTTTGAGAGCCATGCAAAGGTTTTCAGCAGGGGCCTGATGTAACTGGATTTTCATTTTAGAAAGATAATTTGAAATTCAGCATAGGAAACACTTTTCTTTCCTTTTTAGCAAAGTATACAACACGCACACAGAAAACTGCATATATCCTAAGCATGCAGCTTGGTGAACTTCCTTTAAACTGAACATATACACATAATTAGCACTCAGATCAAGAAACATAATGCTGCCAGCTGCCAAGCCCTCCGCAAGTTCCCTTTCAGTTACACCTTCTCTGCAAGGGCAACCGCTGACCCAACTTCTAACAATACAGATAGGGCTTCTGCATTTTCCGGTTTTGCAGGAATGCAATCATATGGAATGTATTCTTTTGAATGCAGCTTCTTTTACCTAACATCCATGTTGTGAGCAGTCATATTTGTTTTTTTCTTTTCTTTTTCTTTTAGAAACAGAGTCTCACTATGTCATCCAGCCTGGATTGCAGCATGATTACAGCTCACTGCAACCTCTACCTCCTGGGCTCAAGTGATCCTCCTGCCTCAACCTCACAAGTAGCTGGGAGTACAGGTGCGTGCCACCACACTGGGCTAATTTATAAATTTTTCATAGAGATGGGGTCTTGCTGTTTTGCCCAGCCTGGTCTCAAATTTCTGGCTTCAAGCGATCTTCCCACCTTGGCCTCCCAAAGCACTAGGATTACAGGTATGAGCCACCATGCCTGGCTGTACATTGTTCATTTTCGTTGCTCTATAGTTTTCCATTAGGTGTGTTGATGAGCATTGAGGAATGGATTTTAAGCAGCGCAGACTGGAGTCTGGGAGGCCAACTGAGAGATTATTGTCATGGCAGGAGAGATGTGATGAGAAGCAGAAAGGGGCTGTGGCAGTGGAGATAGAGAAGACGCACCAATGCAAAAGGTATTTAGGAGATAGGCTGGGTGCAATGGCTCATACTTGTAATCCCAGCACTTTGGGAGGCCAAGGTGGGCAGATCACTTGAGGTCAGGAGTTCAAAACAAGCCTGGCCAACATGGTGAAACCTCATCTCTACTAAAAATACAAAAATTAGCCAGGCATGGTGGTGCATGCCTGTAATGCCAGCTGCTCGGAAGGCTGAGGCAGGAGAATTGCTGGTACCCAGGAGGCAGAGGCTGCAGTGAACAGAGATTGCACCACCGCACTCCAGCCTAGGTGACAGAGCAAGACTCCATCTCAAAAAAACAAAGAAACAAAGATATTTATGAAACAAAAGAAACTGAACTTGTCAAATAATTGAATTTGGAAAGAGTTGAGGATGACCTTCTGGTTCCTGGCTTTGGAATCAGAGCAGATAATGGTGAAGACAGGACAATGGACAAAGAAGGGTCAAGTGTTTTCTATTGTGGACCAGCTGAGTTTGCAGTCCCTGGGGGCACTCAGGAGGAAGTGTCCAGGAGGCAGTTGGAGGTGGAATCTAGAGCTCAGGAGAGAGACCTGGGTTTACAAAGTCAAACCTGGGATTGAACATGGGGCTGAACCAAAGGCCACTGCTCTCTTTCAATACCGCCAATCATTACAGTTAAGGAATAAGAAAGTCATAAATCCTCAGAACAAAGAGGATGTGACAAGAGATAACAATAGAAAAAAAAGATGGCAGCAACATTTTAAAAGCTAGAAATTTCATGAATAGTTGGTTAATGACTTAGCAGATAGGAGAAGGCTGGAAGTTGACTACCCGCATGGAGGAAGCCACAGAGGAAACTTCAGAAAATCCTTCAAATAGAGGAACCAGGCCCAGCTGAGCTCCATACTGAAAACCAAGAATTAAGTGAAAGTCTACATGTGTGCCACTGAGATACCTCCCAGGCCCCCCATTTGATTCCCAGAATGCTGATGGCTGAGTTTATTAATACACTGGAGATGGGAGAGTTCCTCTTGCGGGAAACTGATCAGTGCAAGAGAAAAAGCCTCGTGACAGTGCGTATGGGTTCATCAGATGAACTTTTTGTTTTGTTTCATTTTGTTTTTGAGACAGGGTTTTGCCCTGTCACCCAGGCTGGAGTGTGGTGGTACGATCCTAGCTCACTGCAGCCTTGAACTCCCCAGCTCAAGCAATCCTCCCATTTCAGCCTTCTGAGTAGCTAGGACTGCAGGTACACACCACCATGTCCAGTTAATTTTATTTTTAAATTTTTCATAGAAACAGGGGTCTCACTATGTTACCTGGGCTGGTCTGGAACTCCTGGCCTCAAGCAATCCTCCTGCCTCAGCCTCCCAAAGTGCTGGGATCACAGATGTGAGCCATCATGCCTGGCCCAAATGAACTTTTTGGATGAGGAGTTTATAGCTCAGATGATTGGGAAGTCCATTGGCCAATATTCTCCCCATCTCCACTGTATCTTGAGCTTCAAAATAGTAAGTTCGCACCTCACTGTTAAACGTGAACATCAGATGTTTAAGGAAAACAATATAAAAGACAGTTGAAATTAAAATAAGATAGGCAAAAGAACTTGGAAGAAACAGAGACATTAAAGGGTAGAGAAGCAAACTTAAAAAAATTAATATCATTGGAGAAATATGAGAAGATATTGTGTCCATAAAACAAAAGCAGGAGACTATTAAAAAAAAGAACATTCCTATAACAAGAAAAAGCTCTTAAAATTAAAAGTATGACTGTAGAAATGTTAAAAGTAGACTGGCTGATTGAAATATAAAAATTGAATAAATATCTGAGGAATAAATAAAAAGGCAAATAAAAATGAAAATGGAAGATTAAAAAAAAGTGAGAACAGAAAATAAGATATTAAAAGCTTCCAGAGAGGGGAAAAAATCAGATCACACAAAAGAATCAGAATAACATTGAAATTTTCAACAACACTGGAGTCTGGAAGACAAGGGAGCAGCCAATCCTTCCCAAATTTTGTGGGAAAATTATTTCCAACCTAAAATTTTATACCCAGCAAAACATCTAGTCAAGTGTGACAGACAAATAAAAACAACATGAGACATAAAGGGTCTCAACCATGCTGTCTTTCTCAGGAAGTTACTGGAGGATATTTTTCCCCAAAATGAGGAAGTAATCCAGAAAGAAGACTACCTGGGATCCAGGAAGCAGTGGAGCCAACATGAGAGAGGGGAGGAAATTTCAAAATAATGGTAAAAAGGGCTTCCAGAATAACAGCCCTAGATAATCATTGAGTCAAAATGGGGCTGCAGGTCAAAAGACTCCATAAGAGAAGAGGAAGGAAGGAAGGAAGGAAGGAAGGAAGGAAGGAAGGAAGGAAAGAAGGAAGGAAGGAAGGGAGGAAGGAAGGACAGGAGGGAGGGAGGGAGAGAAGAAGGAAAGGAGGAAGTGTTATTATAATTAGCCAGTTGTCTTTGAAGACATTGAGAGAACATTTACACATTTGCCAATAATTTGCAAAAAGGATGAACAGTTTTCTTTTGAAGCTAGAAAGTTTAATGATAGTTGGTTAATCTAGAAAATTTAATGATAGTTGGTTAATCTGGAAGGTTTCATGACTGTTAATAGTTATATATTTTTAACCAGAAAGTTGGCCAAAGTCTGTGCACATAAAACAGTTCTTCAATCTCAGAAGAGGAAGCAATAATAGACCATTTAGCAGCCTGATGCCAACCAGGTTATAGATAAATATTCAAATATTTAGGTCACTTTGGGAGAAATAAAGATCCTGACAATGACCAGAGGAGACCTTGACAAGCAAATTAATGAGTCTCACACTCATGACCAGAAATCCAGCCAGGCTGGCTCCAGCTGCCACCCATCCTTGAGACCTATGGTCAGGTCCGGGTGTGGTCACTTAAATTATTGATCAGCAAACATTCACTCCAAACACCCCACCCATTCCTCCATGTGAGCAGTATACTTCTTGCCCCATTGATGTTGGACTTGGCCATGGGACTGGCTGTGGCCAATGGGATGTTGGTGGATATGATCCAAACAAGGTTTAAAATGTGCTTGTGCAGTTGGCTCCCCATCTTGCATTTCTGTCATTACCATGAAAAAACCTCCACCAAGCACCTACTATCCCCTCTACCTGAACAGACACAAGTGGGGCAGATTGAGCCCAGCCTATATCCTGGAACCAAGCCTTCCGACATGAGCTAAACTCAAGAAAACCCACAGACATGTGAGGAAAAAAAAAAAAACTGTGTGAATGCCACTGAGTTGTGTGAATGCCACTGGGTTGTGTGATAGCTCGTTACATAACATTATTGTTGGTCTTACTGGCCAATGCACCAGGTTTTAAGATTATCCTGTGGGTCACAGTTATTTGGTAGGAGACTCTTGCCCTAGTGAATAAATGACTGAGGTTTTGAGAGACAAAGGAACCCTTGAGGAGGAAGACAGGGAAGTAGGAGAAACTTTTCTCTGCATGTTCAGTATCAAGTTCACAACATCAACTGGGTGCGGTGGCTCATGCCTGTAATCCCAGCACATTGGTAGGCCAAGGCGGTTGGATCACCTGAGGTCAGGAGGTCGAGATCAGCCTGGCTAACATGACAAAACCCAGTCTCTACTAAAAATACAAAATAGCTGGATGTGGTGGCACACGCCTGCAGTCCCAGCTACTCGGGAGGCTGAGTCACGAGAATCACTTGAACCCAGGAGGTGGAGTTTGCAGTAAGCCAAGATCACACTACTGCACTCCAGCCTGGGTGACAGAGCAAGACTCCACCAAAAAATAAAAAATAAAAAAGTTCATAACATGGAGGCATTGCTGTTGATCTGCGTTTGTACATTTCATCTTAAGTTGCTCAGGCATCTTTGATCACTTTCTTCTTCTCTGCCTGGCACAATCTACTGTGCAGACCTTTGTTATACTGCTTATACTGTCTTGCCAGTGGTACTCCAGTGCTGGGCTAGGACTTGGAGACCCAGAGGTAAATGAGAAATTATGCTACCCATCGAAGGTCTTGGGCTTGTAAGGGACAGAGAGATGTGCACAAGTCACTGTTATTCAGCTACAATACAATACAGAACACTCAAGTGCAGTTCAGCTAGACAGCCTGGTTTAAACACATGTCAATATACGTGATAGTCCATGTTGCACTGCTATAAATACCTGAGGCTGCGTAATTTACAAAGAAGAGGTTTATTTGGCTCACAATTCTGCAGGCTGTATAAGCATGGCGCCAGCATCTGCTTGGCTTCTGGTGAGGCTTCAGGAAGCTTTTACTCATGGTGGAAGATGTAGAGGAAGCAGGCATGTCACATGGCAAGAGAGAGAGTGAGAAAGAGAGGAGAGGAGGTGCTAGGCTCTTTTAAATAACAAGCTCCAGTGTGAACTAATACGGTGAGAATTCACGCATTACCAAGGGGACGGCACCAAGTCATTCACGAGGGATCCACCTCCATGACTCAAACACTTCCCACTGGGCCCCACCTCCAGCATTGAAGGTCACATTTCAAAATGAGATGTAGAGGGGACACACATTCAAACTATATCAGTCACAGGCCAGGCACGGTGGCTCACTCCTGTAATCCCAGCACTTTGGGAGGCTGAGGTGGGCAGGCCCACCTGAGGTCAGGAGTTCGAGACCAGCCTGACCAAATTGGTGAAACCCTGTCTCTACTAAAAATACAAAAATTAGCCAGCTATGGTGGTAGGTGCCTGTAATCCCAGCTAGTCGGAAGGCTGAGGTAGGAGAATTGCTTGAACCTGGGAGGTGGAGGTTGCAGTGAGCCGAGATCATGCCACTGCACTCCAGCCTGGGCAACAAGAGACAAGAGTGAGACTCCATCTAAAAAAAAAAAAAAAAGAAAAGAAAACTATATCAGTCATCATGCGATAGAATATCCTACACCTGTTTCAAGATAAGGACAAGTTCTATGTACTGACATGAATAGCAAACCATGATTTTATATATCAAATATATGTATGTACATACGTGTGTGTATGTATACATTTTTTTCAAGAACTGATAAACCAAACCATTCATATTAAATACCCAAGGGTGGGTTTATAAGAGACTTTCATCTGTAATTTACGCACTTGGGGCTATCAAAACTTCTTTTTCTTTTTTTTGAGACAGAGTCTTGCTCTGTTGCCCAGGCTGGAGTGCAGTGGCATGATCTCGGCTCACTGTAACCTCCACCTCCCGGTTCAAGCCATTCTCCTGCCTCAGCCTCCCAAGTAGCTGGGATTACAGGTGCATGCCACCATGCCCAGTTAATTTTTGTATATTTAGTAGAGACAGGATTTCACCATGTTGGCCAGGCTGGTCTCAAATTCCTGACCTCAGGTGATCTGCCCGCCTTGTACTCCCAAAGTGCTGGGATTACAGGCATGAGCCACTGCACCCGGCCACGGTTGTTAAAATTTCTATAACAAGTGTGTATAATCGTGATACTGTGATATAACAAAAAACATATATTTGGTCTCATGGTTCCTGGCAAACAGCTGCTAAAACCCTTGAAACCTCTGGAGTGATGAGAGTGTCTTACGTGTGCTAATGAACTGGCTGTTGATTGGGGTTTCCTAGGTAGCTTCAGGATAGGGGTTCACTTGACCAGGTGCAGTGGCTCATGCCTGTAATCCCAACACTTTGGGAGGCCAACGTGGGAGGATCGTTTGAGTCCAGGAGTTTGAGACCAGCCTGGGCAACATGACGAAACCCCATCTCTACTAATAATACAAAAAAAAAAAAAAATTAGCCGGGCATGGTGGCGTGCGCCTGTAATCCCAGCTACTCGGGAGGCTGAGGCAGGAGAATCGCTTGAACCTGGGAGGCAGAGGTTGCAGTGAGCCAAGATCACACCACTGCACTCCAGCCTGGGCAACAGAGTGAAACTGTGTCAAGAAAAGAAGAGAAGAGAGGAGACGAGACAAGACGGGAAGGGAGGGGGAGGGAAGGGGAGGGGAGGGAAGGGGAGGGAAGGGAAGGGGAAAGAGAGAAAGGGCAGAAGGGCAAAAGGGAGGACGGGAGAAAGGAAGAAAGAAAGAAAAAATGACCATTTGGGCACCAAGCGTGGGGCATGGTAGTGCGCACCTGTAGTCCCAGCTACTCGGAGCCTAAGGCAGAAGGATTGCTTGAGCCCAAGAGTTCAAGGCGGCAGTGAGCTACGATCGCACCACTGCACTACAGATTGGGCAACAGAGCAAGACCCCATCTCAAAATATAAAATACAGATCATTCAGGTACCAAGCAAATCAGGGAGCAAGAATGAAAGGAGGTAACCACTTACAAGATTGTGGCAGGAATCCGGATAAAAAATGGTTGTGGCTTAGGCTAGCATAAAACAAAAAAGACATTTCCCATGTAAAACACAAAACTAGAATAGTCAGGCAAACGAAGAAAAATGTGTGATGCTATGGTAAGAAACTGATGATGGACAAATATTTTGCCAGGAGGGAGAGGGTAGGTGAGCAGGGGACAAGAGGGTATTGGAGAAAATGGGAATGGGGAAGTGGCATTTGAGAAGGGCCTGGAAATCTTGAAATCATGCCTGCGGTTTGCCAGGTGGGAGGAGCTGGAGGCAGGAAGGAAAGCACTCACCGGACCTCAGCTGATAAAGGGAGTACAGATATCCCCCAGGCTCAGAAGCCCTAAGCTTTTCAGCAGGAGAACCAGACATTTAAGAGCCAGACTGTTCAGGTTCAAATCCCAGTTCCCCCATTTTCCAGCCGTGTGGTTGCTCTGTACCTCAGTTTCCTCACCTGTAAAATGGGGATTACAGGAGCCAACGTGTGCCAAGTTCTCAGCATAGCACCTGGCACACAGTAACTACCGTATGAAAGCCAGTTAGTGCCAGTGTCGCGATTATCGTATGTGGCAGACCAGAAAGATGCCAGGAGGGATGTCCCAGAGGGAGCCAGTGCGGGAGCCATAACATAGGGAAAGAGTATTCCTTGGGAGAACACAGCTGAGTGTGGACATCCAACCCCGCACACTTGTTCCCAGTGCGGCTGGGAACAAGTCCCTCGTCTCTCTGCCCTCAGATTCCTCTGTGAAATGGAGAAGCTGAGTGTGGTGGGGAGAAAATGGATGGGTCTGAGGGTGCCACGTTACTGCGGGTGTCTACTGGAAGGGCTGGGCCCGTATACATGGGGGGAGGCCACACGGGCTGCCTTGGACCAAACCCTGCCAACCTCAAGCGAGAGCTACAGTGTTTGAGAGACAGCGAGTACGTGAAAATCATTCAGCACCTCAGTGGCAAAGCCAGCCCACTCAGCCTCCTTGTAAACATTTTTATATACACAGCCAGAAGGTTCTCGGTGTGGCTGCCAAGCCCTAAAAGTAAAATCACAAGGCCAGTAAAACACAAAGATACAACCTCTTTGGGGTTCTTGTAAAAGAAGCAAAATAAAGGCCTGATACCTTCTGGAGGGGCACAGGCCACCCACCTGCCACTGTACACAGACACACACACACACACGTACTCAAATTCACACACGCACTCACATGGGCACACAACCCGTATGTGCTCACCCTAGAACACACCTGTGCTTATGCACACATGGCACCTGCACTTACATGTGCACGCATGTGTACACGCCTCCATGCCCACGTTCACACATGCTCACCCAGCTCATCCACAGGCATGCATGCGTGCACACACATAGCAGCAGCCACTCATGCACATGCACACTCACCCTTACCCGGGACACACGCACACATGCATGTGCACATACACAGGCCCTGCTTTCTGGAAGCCAGATTTGGAGCAAAGTTGACCCAGGAGCTCCAAGGCCTTGGGAATTATGGGATGCACATCCCAGAGGACTGCACATCCCAGAGGGCTGCACATCCCAGAAGGCTGCAGACAGTGGAGAGGTGTGAAGCGCAGGCCTGGATTTCACCCAGCTCTGCCTCTCATGAGGTGTGAGACCTAAGTGACTTCATCTCTCTAAGCCTTGGTTTCTTCATCTGTCAGGTGGGAGTGAGAATGACAGCCCCTTCCTCAAGGGGTTGTGGGGAGGTTTCTCAGTTGATGCTTGCGACGTGCTTGGCACTGTATCCGGCACATAGTAACTGTTCAACAAATATCAGCCATGCAGTGGTCATATTATTGTGTTTCCCAGTGATCTCAATTTGGAAGCTGTGGCTTGAGCCGCCCAGCCAAATGTTTTGGAGATGGTCACATGTAGCAATTAAACAGAACACAGCCATGGGGACATCAAAGAAATGGAGGAGGCGGTCCTGACTGCCAAGAGGCTGCTGGGGGGTAGGGAGTCCTTGTCGCTTTCTGGGAACTGAGGGCCCGGTGGGTTCCCTGTCTCTTGCCCCTCAACTTCACCAGCTGCCACTTGACTGGAGCGCTCCAAAAAGACAGTGTCTGCAAAACAGAATGTCACCAGCTTCCAGGACACATGGTGCCCTTCTGCCTCAGTTTCCCCTCCCCTGACTCCCAAGCCCAGAGCCCTCTCTTAATCTCCAGGCTATCTGAAGAGACATGCATACCTGTTTCACTCTTGGCAGCCTATCTCCTGGGTGGCAGAGGGTAGGCAGGTGGGGAGGCAGCCACACTCCCCCGTGTCCCTGTGGCAGGCTCTCCTCCTGTGTCCATTCTCTTGTTCTTCCATAATAACAAAACTCCTGACTTTCAGCTAGGCACAGCATTGCCCAGGATAAAGACCACATTTCCCAGCCTCCCTTCTAGCTGGGTGTGACCATGTGACTAGTTCTGGTCAAGGAGATATATGCAGGTGTTGTGGGATAACTTCTGGGAACCTTAGAGTTTGCCCTTCCTGCATCCTGCTGCCTGGAATGCAGATGTAATAGCTGGTGCTCTGGCAGCCATCTTAGACCATGAAGAAAAACACAGTGGGACAACAGAGAGAGTGGCAGGGGCCAGGATCCTGAGGACTTTGTGGAGCAGAGCCACCTTAGATTGTCTACTTTCAAACTTTTATAAAGGAGATAAATTTCTCCATTGAAATTAGTTCCTTAGGGTCACTATTACTTGCAACTAAACCTAATCCTGACTGCTATCCCCTGACTCAAGCTGTGCCCTGCTCCTGATAATCCAGTCACTGCCTTGCACACCTCTGGACATCTCTGTGGGCTCAGAGCCTCTGCTGTCGGGCTCTGAACACCAGTGAGCCCTCTCTGGATGGTGGCATCCAATCAGACTGGCCCTCCCCACACCTGTGAGATGACAAAGGCCAGGCACCTGGCTTCCCTCCCCCAAGGTCAAATCCTACAGCTGGAGGCAAACCCCAACACCAGTCTTGCCTGAACCAAACGTCCACACCCCCATCATCCCTCCCACAGTCCCAGCATGCACTGGACAGAATGGAAGGGTGATGACCCTCAGGACTACTCTGTCAGACAGGGAGGGCAGACAGTCCCCATCCACCAGCCTCTCCCACTCCACTGAGAGCTCAAGAAACTCAGGGCTTTGCAACAGGGTGTCTGGCTCCCAGGGCCCTGTTGCCCAGGGATGCTGAAGAAGATGCTATCACAGGGCTTTGGGGAGCCACCAAGGTAGGAAAGATGTCCCCAGAGAGAGCAGAGCTGCCACAGCTCAGCTGGGGTCACACTCACCTTTCTCCGATGCCGGGGCCAGGTCAATGAAGCTGCGACATTTTTCACCTTTGAAAAGAAGAGAAGCGTTTTCAGAATGTGAGAGGACACGTGGGCTTCCGAGGTTTGCCTGCTCCCATCCCATGAGCCCTGGAGCAAGCCAGTGTCTCTGACCCAAGCCCAGTGACATCTTTCTCCAACCCTGGTTCCTAGAAGCCCAACATCCCAGGAGTGTGGATGGCGAAACTGCCAATTCTCCCACCTCCTGACCCCATCCATCCTGGCCCATCGCTTCCACCTCCACGATAGCAACCTTGTCCCTTTCCACAGCCTCCCCCCAGAATCCACGCTCCTCCTCACTGGCCTCCCCAGGCCTCCACTCTGGCCCCTCTCCAATTCATTCTCCACGCTGCAGCTGGAGGGATCATTTCAAAACACAGCTCTGATCACATCCAACACACGCACACACACAGCTTGCTCCTGTTTGAAACTCTTTGATGACTTCCCAAAGGAGAAAGTTCAAATTCCCATTTGTGGACCCAGAACAGGCCTTGACTGGCCTGTCCACCCACTGCCCTCTCCCTCTGCCCCCGTTCCTGGTACACCCCTGTGCAGCCTCCCACCATGGCTTTGCACATGCTGTTCCCCGCCTGGAACATGCTCCCGCTGTTGTAACTCTCACAGCACCTTGGATTTCTATGGGGCATGGCCACCATCCTGAGTCTGCCTTTGCATGTGTGAGTCTCAGGTGCAAGTTAGTGGCACTGAGATGATAAGTCACTGAAAGAGAGTGTACTGACCGCCAAGAACTGGAAGGGAGGATTTAAAAGAAAGAAAACAAAAGTGGTGTGCTACAGTGGATGGATTTTGAATGAATTGCTTTATACTTTTTTTAATGTTACATTGTTTCCTCAAAGGCTAGAGGGAGGGAAATTCAACATACAGATCATACTTTGGGAGGCCGAGGCGGGCGGATCATGAGGTCAAGAGATGGAGACCATCCTGGCAAACATGGTGAAACCCCATCTCTACTAAAAATACAAAAACTAGCTGGGCGTAGTGGCATGCACCTGTAGTCCCAGCTACTCGGGAGGCTGAGGCAGGAGAATTGCTTGAACCTGGGAGGCAGAGGTGAGCCAAGATCACACCACTGCACTCCAGCCTGGGCGACAGAGAGGGACTCTGTCTCAAAAAAAAAAAAAAAATGTGCATATCAGCATCCACAGCCACATTGAGGCATTGGTGGGCCTTCGGCCATTTTGCCTTGATGAGCCCCTTCCTAAATAAAAATTAATTAAATAATTAATTGTTGTATTTATCAATCGTGGATAGCACAATTGTATTTATCAATTGTGGATAGCAGCACTATCCAAGATTTGGAAGCATCCTAACCATCAACAGATGAATGGATAAAGAAAATGTGCTACATATACACAATGAAGTACTCTTCAGCCATAAAAAAGAATGAGATGCTGTCATTTGCAACCACATGGATGGAATCGGAAGTCATTATGTTAAGTGAAATAAGCCAGGCACAGAAAGACAAACTTTGCATGTTCTTACTTATTTGTGGGATCTAAAAAACAAATAAATTGAATTCATGGACATAGAGAGTAGAAGGATGGTTACCAGAGGCTGGGAAGGGTAGTAGGGGATTGGGCGGGGAGCAGTGGGGATGCTTAACAGGTACAAAAAATAGTTAGAAAGAATGAATAAGACCTACTATTTGCTAGCACAACAGGGTGACTGTAGTCAATAATAACTTAACTGTATATTTTTAAATGACAAAAAGAGTATAATTGAATTGTTTGCCTGTGTCAAAACATCTCATGTACCCCATAAATATATACACCTACTATGTACCCACAAAAATTAAATATTTTAATTTGTTTTATTTTATTTGAGACAAAGTCTCACTCTGTCGCCCAGGCTGGAGTACAGTGGTGCAATCTCGGCTCACTGCAACCTCCACCTCCTGGGTTGAAGCAATTCTCCTGCCTCAGCCTCCCGAGTAGCTGGAATTACAGGCACCCACCATCACGCCCAGCCAATTTTTGTATTTTTAGTAAAGATGGGATTTCTCCATGTTGTCCAGGCTGGTCTCGAACTCCTGACCTCAAGTGATCTGCCTCAGCCTCCCAAAATGCTGGGATTACAGGCATGAGCCACTGCACCCAGCCAAAAATTTTTAATTTAAATAAAATTTAATTTAATTAAATTTTTAAGTAATTTTAAAATTATGTTTTACAGTCACATTGGTATAGAGACTAATATACAATATTACTATTAAGTATTAAACATTTTCTTCACCTAAAAGTTTCTTTTTCTTCTTCTGAACTTTCTACTTCTTCCAGACCCTTTCTTACAAATAGAAGAAGCTCACTCCGGACTCTGCTTACACACACATTAATGTCTATTTCCCCCAGCAAGCTGCAAGCTCTGTGAGGACAGGGACCAAGTCTTCACTGCATCCCCAGCTAGTAAATGGCACCTCCATCCCCAGATGCTCAGGCCAAAACCCTGCTGCCATCTTTATCTCATTCGTGGCTCTAGCTTCCCAATGCGTCTAGCATCCAGCCACTTCTCGCCACCTCCGCTGGTCCAGCCACCATCAGTTCCCACCAGGATCACTGTAGTAGCCTCTGCACTGGTCTCTCTCTTTCTGCCCCATCCTCACAGTGACCAGAAGTATCCTGGTATAACCTAAAACAGATTATGTCCCTTCTCTGCTCAGAACCCTCCCAGCATTCCCAACTCACCCCAAGTCAGAGCCTAAGTCCTCGCTGTGGCCTGCAAGACCCTCTGTGATCTGTCTCTCCATCACCTCCCTGACCTCTTTCCCTCCTGTCTTCCCCCTTGCTCACTCCACTCCTGTCATTTTGGTCTCCTTGCCAATCTTTAAACGTGCCGGGCATTCTCCTGCCTCAGGGCCTTCGCACTGGCTGCCTCTGCTGCCTGCAGCACTGTTCACTCGCATACCTGAGTAGTTTACTCCTCCTCTCCCTTGTCATTTTTCTCAAATGTTATCTTCCCAAGGAGGCCTTTCCATTTAATCTATCTAAAATTCCAAATGTCCCTCCCCTGACACTCTCCATCTTCCTTCTGGATGGATTCCTAACAGCTACAACAGAACCTGGTGTGTACAGTGACTGCTTAATAAATATTTTCCCACCAGCCTGAGCAAGAAAGCGAGACCCCATTTCTACAAAAAAATTTAAAAATTAGCCAGCTGTGGTGGCACGGGGCTGTAGTCCCAGCTACTGGGGAGGCTGAGGCAGGAGTATCACTTCAGCCCAGGATGTTGAGGCTGCAGTAAGCTGTACTCCAGCCTGGGCAACAGAGCAAGACCCCATCTAGGAAAAAGGAAACAAACAAACAATATTGAAGGAATATATGAACAAATGAGCAAGAGAATGAATACACGAGCAAATGAATGAATAAATGAATGAATGCCACTGAAACCTTATGTCTACAAGAAGCTTCCCCTCTTCAGTCTTTCCTCCCAGGCCTCCCTGATGCCACGGACACAGACCTGGCCACCAAGGATGCAGCACTGAGCAAATCATGGCCCAACTTCTAGACCTTTCTAACAAAGAGAGGGGGCGCACGCTGGACCTATGCTCACAAACACATTTTGTTTGACCCACACGGGATCATAAAAATAGGTAAATTGCTACCTACAAATTCAGATTTGTAATTTTCTCTTAAAGAATCAGAAGATCCAGCTGTGCTGAGCCCACAATCCCACACAGCAACAATCACATGGGGCCAGGCAGCTGTGCCTCCTTTAGATAAGGCACCTGAAAGCTCTCTGGTTTGCCACAGTCCCCACCGCCCACTACTGCTCTGCCCCCAGCTTCACCTAAACCACTGAGATGGCCCCTGCGACACTAGACTGGATAAACTCTAGGGTGAGTTTGCAACCCCTGGCTTCAGGATGTTACTGCTGGTCCCAACAAAGAGACAGATTGGGTCAAAAGGGACCAATGTGGGTAGAAGAGTCAAAACGATCTAGAAGCTTTCGGCATTCTCAACTAATTTGTCTGCTTAGAGCTTCCTAAGTTCTCTGATAAGGTCTCTTGAAGCCCCTTTGGCCTCCTGAACCTCCTGCCAGCCCCATATCAATGCAAAGGCAGAGATGGAGGCAGCGGTGGGAGATGAGTCTGAGAAGGAAGGAAGGGGTCAGATCACAAAGGGTCTTAAATGTCAAGCCAAGGAGGTGCTTCCTCTCTTATTTATGTCACTCCTTCCAAAGAATCACACGGCCACAGATGGGTGAACCCTGCTCTGTGGTTCCAGCATTCTGGCTTCCCCTGCCCCCGCCTTGTGCTCCGTACTGAGATGCAGGACTCACACCTTCCATTACAGACAAAGACGATAAGGCCCAGGGCAGCTGAGGGACCATCCTGGGCCACACAGCACATTAGAGGTGCTGATATTTTAGCCCACTGAAAGAGATGTTTGCTGACAGCCAAGAACTAGAAGGAAGGATTAAAATTAAAAAGTGTTGGTCAGGCACGGTGGCTCATGCCTATAATCTCAGCACTTTCGGAGGATCACTTGAGCCCAGGAGTTCGAGACCAGCCTGGCCAACACGGAGAAACCCCATCTCTGATAAAAATACAAAAATTCGCTGGGTGTGTTGGCATATGCCTGTAATCCCAGCTACTTGGGAGGCTGAGGCAGGAGAATCGCTTGAATATGGTAGGTGGAGGTTGCAGTGAGCAGAGATCGCACCACTGCAGTCCAACCTAGGTGACAGGGTGAGACTCCATCTCAAAAAAATATAATATAATATAATATAAAGTGTTGTGCTGGAGTGGATGGATTTTGAGTGAATTGTTTTAAACTTTCTGTACTGTTATATTGCTGGAATGGAGGAGATGTAATGGCCAAATTCAGACCAACACCCGAGGCCACATTAAAATGTTGGTGGGCCTTGCACATTTTTGCCTATTAGGGGCCCTTCTTAAACTTCAAAACATAATAATAAGAATTCTATTTTACAACCACATTGGCAAAAAGATGAATATATTAAGTATTAAGCATTTTTTCACCTAAAAGTTTATATCTTCTTCTGATTTTAAAATAAATTAATTTTTTTCTTTTTTTGTTTATTTGTTTTTATTTTTAGAGATAAGGTCTTGCCCTGTTGCCCAGGCTGGAGTGCAATGGCTCAATCATAGCTCACTGCAGCCTTGAACTCCTGGGTTCAAGTGATCCTCCTGCCTCAGCCTCCTGAGTAGCTGAGACCACAGGCACATACCACCACATCTGGCTAGTTTTTTTTATTTTTTGTAGAGATGGGATCTCACTCTGTCACCCAGGCTGGTCTCAAACTCCTGAGCTCACGCAATTCTCCTGCATCAACCTCCCAAAGTGCTGGGATTAGAAGCGTGATCTACCACGCCCGGCCCTAAAACATTTTCATGGGCCCGTAGAATTTTCATGGCCCTAAAACATTTTCACAGGCCCAAGACCTTTATAGAAGTATTCTGGGCCCTCCGCTCTGTGCCTCCTGAGCCTAAGAAAGATGCCCGCCCTCCTGCAGCAGGCTCCCAGCTCTCACCACCAACTGGGCACCTCAATAATATTTAAGATCTATGTGCTAGGCATTTTCCCTTTTCTTTAACAATTTTATTGAGATATAATTCCCATGCTATACAATTCATACATTTAAAGTATGCAATTTGGCTGGGCATGGCTGCTCACACCTGTAATCCCAACATTTTGGGAGGCCAAGGCAGGCGGATCACTTGAGATCAGGAGTTCGAGACAAGCCTGGCCAACATGGTGAAATCCCTTCTCTACTAAAAATACAAAAATTAGCTGGGCATAGTGGCACCTGCCTGTAATCCCAGCTACTCAGGAGGCTGAGGCAGGAGGACCACTTGAACCCAGGAGGCGGAGGTTGCAATGAGCTGAGATCGCCCCACTGCACTTCAGCCTGGGCGACAGAGTGAGACTCAGTCTCAAAATAAATAAATAATATAAATAAATAAATAAAATAAAGTGTACAATTCAATGGTTTTTAGTATACTGTTAGCATATTCACCAGGCTGTGTGACCATCACCACAATCAATTTTAAAACGTTTTCATCACACTGAAAAGAAAGCTGTACCTATTAGCAGTCACTCATTTCCTGCAACCCTTCCAGCCCTAGGAAAGAGCTCATCTATTTTCTGTCTCTATAGATTCACCTAGTCTGGTCATTTCATGTAAATGGAATCTTACAATATTGTATGATTCATATAGATGGAATTATAGAATACACTCAATATGATCAGACAAGACATGAAATGCCATTTCATATAAATGGAATTATATAATCATACAATACAATCATATAATAATGTTTTGTGACTACCTTCTTTCACTTAGAATAATGTGTTTAAGGACCAACCATCTTTGTAGCCTATGTTATTTATATCACAGAATAATATTACATGATGTGGATATACCACCTTTTATTTATCCATTCATCAGATAATAGATACTTGAATTTGTTTCCACATTTTGGTTATTTATGAACGTTCATGTACAAGTTTTTGTGTGGACAAGTTTTTGTTTCTCTTGGGTATATACCCAGGAATAGAATTGCTGAGTCATATGTAACTCTATATTTAACATTTTGAGAAATTGCGACACTTTTTTCCAAAGCAGATGCATCATTCTATGTTCCCATCAGCAACATATGAGGATTCCAATTTCTCCATGTCTTCAGCAACACTTGCTATTGTTCGTCTTTTTTTATTATAAGCATCCTTGCCAGTGCCATGCGGTATCTCACTGTGGTTTTAATTTGCATTTTCTTAATGACTAATGATGTTGAGCATCTTTTCATGGGCTTATTGCCCATTTCTATATCTTCTTTGGAGAAATATCTTCTCAGACCCTTTGCCCACTTTTTAATTGTGTCATTTGTCCTTTTATTATGGGTGATTAGTTCTTTATATATTCTGCATACAAGTCCCTTATCAGTTATCTGATTTGTAAATATTTTCTCTCATTGTGTGGCTTGTCTTTCCACTTTCTTGATGACATCCTTTGAAGCAGAAAAGTTTTTAATTTTAATGATGCCCAATTTGTCTATTTTTCTTTTGTTGCTTGTGCTTTTGTTGTCATATCTTCTTTGTTATTAATTTAAAAATAGAGGCTGGGTATGGTGGCTCACGCCTGTAATCCCAACACTTTGGGAGGCCGAGGCAGGTGGATCACTTAAGGTCAGGAGTTCAAGACAAGCCTGGCCAACATGGTGAAATCCCATCTCTACTAAAAATACAAAAAGTAGCCAGGCATGGTGGTGCACCCCTGTAATCCCAGCTACTTGGGAGGCTGAGGCAGGAGAATCGCTTGAACCCAGGAGGCAGAGGTTGCAGTGAGCCAAGACCACGCCATTGCACTCCAGCCTGGGCAACAGAGTGAGACTCCATCTAAAAAAAGAAAAATAGAGATGGGGTCTCACTATGTTGCCCAGGCTAGTCTTGAACTCTTGGGCTCAAGTGATCCTCCTGCCTCAGCCTCCCAAAGTGCTGGGATTACAGGCATAAGCCACTACACCTAGACTAGTGTTATACCTAAGAAGGGTGTGCCTAGCCCAAGATCATGAAGAGTTACTCCTATTCTTTCCCCTAAGACTTTTGTAATTTTAACTCTTCTATTTATGTCTCTTATCCATTTAGAGATGATTTATGTGTATGGTGTATAAAAGGGGTCCAGCTTTATTCTTTTGCATGTGGATATCCGGTTGTCTCAGAAGCATTTGTTGAAAAACTATTCTTTCTCCACTGAATTGTCTTGGCACACTTGCCAAAAATTAATTGACTATAAGTAAAAGCGTTTATTTTATACTCTCAGTTCTATTCCATTAATTTATATGTCTCTCCTTATACTACACTATCTTGATTACTGTAGCTTTGAAGTTTTGAAATTGGAAAATGTGGGTTCTTCAACTTTGGCCTTCATTTTAAAGATCATTTTGTCTATTCTGGGTCTCTTGCATTTTCATATGAATTTTAGGATCAATGTGTGAATTTCTTTAAAAAAGCAAGTTGGAATTTTGAAAGGGATTGCACTGAATCTGTAATGGGACCAATTTGGGAAGTATTGCCGTCTTAAAATATTAAAACTTCAAATCCATGAACATGGGATGTTTTTCCATTTACTTAGATCTATTCAAATTTCTTTTAACAATGTTTTGTAGTTTTCAGAATATAGGTTTCATGCTTATTTTGTTAAATTTATTCCTAAGTATTTTATAATTTTTGATGCTATTATGAATGGAATTGTTTTCTAAATTTCATTTTGGATTGTTCATTGCCAGTGTATAGAAATATAATTAAATTTTGTATATTGATCTTGTAAACTGCAATCTTGCTGAACTCATTTATTAGTTCTAACAGTTTTAGTGGATTCTTAGAACTTGCTATATACAGACTCATATCATCTGCAAATAGAGATAGTTTTACTTCTTCATTTCCAATCTTGATCTCTTTTATTTCTTTTTCTTGCCTAATTGCTTTGGCTAAAATGTCCAATATAATATTAAATAGAAGTGGTAAGAGTGGACATCCTCATCTTGTTCCTGATCTTGGAGGGGATGCATTCATTTTTGTACCATAAAATTTGTTGTTAGCTGTGGGGTTTTTTTAATATATGCCCTCTGTCAGGTTGGGGAAGTTCCCTTCTATTCCTACTTTGTTGAGCAGTTTTATCATGAAAGGATATTTGCCGTCTCTTTAGTCCCACAACAAACTTCAATGAGAATCTCCACTTTCAAGACAAGCAAAGTGAGGGTCTGAACTTTCGGTGACTTGCCTAAGACCACACAGCCAGTAAGAAATGGAGCAAGACTCAACCCAGGTCTGCAGACTCCACACCACATCCTAAAATCTTCCCAGCTCTCTGCTCCCATTGCTATGTCAGAATTTCCTACCAGAACCAGATGTTCCCACCATGGACAGCTGGGGGTGTCCTGAAAGAAATCTCCTAGGAATATACCTCCATAGAGACAGGGAAAATCCAAGAGGGGCCAAAATAAATGGCTCTCACACTTCCATTTCTGCTACATGGACAAGGCTAAACAGAAGATGTTTAAGCAGAGGTGATCAAACTTAGCCCACACTGCCCAGGCAGGTCAACGCTGAGGTTTAAGGAAAAGTCATAGAGATGACATGAGGAACACAGGATACTTCAATGGCCAGAAGTCTAACAGCTGAAATTCAAACACAGAAGAGATGTTTTTCCTCCAAATCCTTAGTCTCTGTGATAAAGATTATCTAAGGATTAATGAGCTAGGTATTAAATGGCACCATATTGGCTTGCCGCTTTTAGAAGTGACCCATAAAATATCAAAATCAATGGCAATTAAGTTTATATGTTTAGTTAAGGGATTTATTTTGGGCATTAAACCTTAAGACAGGTGCACTTGTCTCTCAATCACACTTCAGACTGGGGCTTGACAATTAGATCACAGAGCTGTGGCATGTTACTGCCACCTGATGGCAGCATACCTTTGGTGAACCATGGAACTTGAAAGCTGAGAAGAATCCTATTAGGTCAATCAATTTACGTGATTCTTAACCCCGGAAATGTGAATCCCAGGCCCCACCCACAACGATTCTGATTTCATTGGTCAGGGTGGAGCCCATATATCTTAGCGTTTTAAAAGCTCCCAGGTGATTCCAATGTACACTCAGGGTGAGAATCACAGCCTATTAAAAATATCCTTCCAACATTAGAAAAACAACAGAGAGTCATTTTAGTGATGGCTCATGTGATGGCACCGGCCGATCCTTCAGGGAAGGGCATTTATGGGGCAGAATAGTTCAGTGGTCAGGGGTCTGACTTCTGGAATCAGCAGAGCTGAGTGCAAATGCTGGCTCTGTCACTTCCTGCCATGTGAGTCCTCCCATCTTTCTGTGCCTTTATTTCCTTGTTGGCGAAATGGGCACAGCACCTGTAGGGGTCTTGTGAAGACTCAACATGGGCAAAGAGCTTAGATGCAATGCCTGGAAAAAAGTAAGTGCTTAGGGCCAGGTGCGGTGGCTCATGCCTGTAATCCCAGCACTTTGGGAAGCTGAGGCAGGCAGATCACCTGAGGTCAGGATTTCAAGACCAGCCTGTCCAGCATGGTGAAACCCCGTCTCTACTGAAAATACAAAAATTACCCGGGCGTGGTTGTGCACACCTGTAATCCCAGCTACTCAGGAGGCAGGAGAATCACTTGAACCCCGGAGGTGGAGGTTGCAGTGAGCTGAGATTTTGACACTGCACTCCAGCCTGGGCAATAAAGACCCCATCACAAAAAAAAAAAAAAAAAAAAAAAAAAAAAGAGTGTGTGCTTAGGAGATGGCTTTCGTTGTCATCACTGTCACCTACATGCGGGTCAGAGGAAACATGAGACACGGTCTTCTGCAGCCTAATTGGGGGAAACAAGAGTGACATGCAGGTACCATCACAGACTAGCACATGGCCAGGGGGTCACGCACTGGTTCAGTGCAGGGATTCTAGAGCCAGGCCTGCCTGGGTGCAGCCTGGCTCCATCACTCACTGCACGTGTAACATCAATATGAACCTTTTGGTGCCTCAGTTTCCCTACCTATAAAAACATGAAGATCACCAACGCTGGTGTTTCTACAGTGCATATTATAGGGTAGGTCGGCAGGGCTTGTTGTCAACCACCAGGGGGTACAGCTGGGACAACTCAGTGGGCGGCAGTCCAGGTTGCCTGAGGCTGCTGCAGACATGCTCTGGGCTCCTTCGTGGGCCCCAGCCTGGGTCCTGGCCCTGCGCCTTCCATTGTCTCCTCCATGCCCATCAATGTTGCCTGGGAACGGCCTCATTTTTGCCCCTTGAAGATGCCCTTTCTCCCATTACCCCCTCCCCATCTGATTCCCTTTGAGCTGCTAAGATAGCAAAGGTGAATGGAGCTGGCATCTCCTGCCCTAGGAAGGAGACTCCTTAAAGGCCCCTTGTATTCCCAGAGGCCCACTGGAGGGTGATGTCTTCCTGCTTCAGGGAGGGGACAGCAGAGGGAATTCATGCAGAAAGAAAGGGGGGCCATCAGATTCCAAGAGGAGAAGATGTTTGGGGATCCACAGCACCCTAAAAGATGTCAGGGCCTTCAAAGAAAAACGTCACGGGAAAGCTGGACTTTGGGGTCATAGGTTATTAGCTCAGCCAAAATCTTGCACCCAGTGAGGGTCCCATGGTGCCCATGAGGCCAGAAAACCACCAGCTGTGGGGAGAGGAAGGGTAGGGGAAGACCAGAGCGTTCTCTCAAATGGCCTGAAAACTTCATACGACCCAGGGGCTGAAAGGAAATCTCAAAAACTGGAGATTGAATTTCTTGCTATTCTGGGGAGTGGAAGCTCAGAGTTCTATCCTACTGGGTCTACAGGAATAAATGACTAGGGCATTCCTTGGCTAGAAGAAGTGAGAGTGCCTGTTCATACCCACCATAGCCTTAAAGAGAAATGCCATGTGTGACTGCCCTCACCATCACACACCATTGCATCTTGCTTGCAGGCCAGGGGCACACAGACAGGACTTAAATCTCAGCCTCAACTCAAGGTCACCAACTCAAGCCTTCTCAATGACCAGCAATGACTGAGGCGAGCCTGTGGGGACTGGGTGACCGTGAGAGGGTGTGCCCTGTCTAGATGGGGATGAACTGACATGCTGGTCATCTGGACAGTCAGGGTCTCTGCAGGAAACAGATGGTACCTCCGAGGGGCTCACTGAAGACCGACGAGTGAAGAAATTATGTATAGGGGTGTGGACAGGGTTGAGGGGCTGGTAACCAAGGGAAACCCAGGTCTGAAGGGGCAGGGGAGGGAAAGGAGCCTGGAAGAGGTGAAGCCATAGAGGAGGAGCTGCCATCAGGAGCTGAATTCACACTTAACAAGCCTCAGAATCAGAACTTAAGCATCTCTGGGCCGGGACTTGAGAATCGGTCTTTCCAACATGTTCCCAGAGGATGCTGATGCTGCCGGCCTGGGAACCACACTTTGAGAGCCACTCCTTAGAGAAATGTAGTCACTGTCAAAACCGCAACAGGGAGAGAACAAGATGAGCCAGAAAGGAATGCCCTGATCTTTCTCTCCTTCTGCCCTCTTGATTCCCTGTAGGTGCCTCCTGTTGGCCAAAACCAATGGGCACAGAGTCCAGGCAGTTCCCAGGGCACCGAGAAGGGCAGGGAATGGACATGGAGGGGTGGATGGAGAACAGCTGGCACACCGCCCTACTTAAGGTGGTCCCCACCCCTCCTCACCGCATCATGCTTATTCCTGCACCTGCGTTGCTTTTCTTCCATAGTGAGACCACCATCACGCTCTGAAATTGTCCTGTGTATGGATTTGTCAACTTGTTTAGTACACGTGTCCTCTACAGGACGTGCAGGGGACTTTTCCTCTGCTTTCGGATCTATTTACGTGTAGTCCTGTGTGCACTGTGGGCTTAACCACTTTCTAGACTAGGCTGGAGGCTGCGTACCCTGAAATCCTGAGAATTCATATTCTATCTCTCTATCTTAGGCATCAAAATCACAACATCAAGTAGTGATATCTGAAGGTGTCTGAATTAATCTCAATCCCCAAAAGTACACTTCTCTTCTCTTAAGTTCCCAATGTCAACGTTTTATATTCACACAGTTGTATCCCATCAACATTTATTGAGCACCTACTATGTGCCAGTCCTGGTTTTAGGTGCTGGAGACACAGCAGCGAACCACACAGACAAAATCCCTGCCCTCACGGAACTTCCATTCTCATGTTAAAGTGTACATATCAGTAATTCTTTGGAATCCTCTCTCCAAAAAATGATGTTTCCTGGCTCTTCTAAATAACACCCAGACAGGCCAGGCGTGGTGGCTCACGCCTGTAATCTCAGCACTTTTGGAGGCTGAGGTGGGCAGATCACCTGAGGTCAGGCGTTCGAGACCAGCCTGGCCAATGTGGTGAAACCCTGTCTCTACATAAAATACAAAAATTAGCCAGGCCCAGTGGTGCACGCCTGTAATCCCGGCTACTCAGGAGGCTGAGGCAGGAGAATCGCTTGAACCCAGGAGGTGGAGGTTGCAGTGAGCCAAGATTGAGCCATTGCACTCCAGCCTGGGCAATAAGAGCAAAACTCCATCTCAATAATAATAATAATAATGCCCAGACAATGTCTCTGCAACACGGAGGCCACATGTTTTCAGCAACAAATAGAAACTTCGTGACCATGTATGTCTTGTTCGCTGTTGTGTCCTCAAAGCCTGGAGCAGTGATCAGTGCTGCAGACATGATTGTGGAATGAAGCAATTAATAGTACTTCATAAATCGTCTTTCTCAAGAATCTCACAAGAGCGGGGACCTACTCTGCAGAATCCAGAATGTATGGCCACAGTGAGACAGAAATTGAATCTTGGGAGCAATCTAAGACAGAAGAGACAAACAGAAAGGGATATCTACACTAGCCAAGAAAGAGCTGAGGGCTCCAACAGCAGACATTGGGCAGCCACATTGAGCCTTACACCTGCCACGAGGCAGCAGACTTAAGATCGGGAGGTCACCTTAGCCATCACGTCTGCATTCTCAGCCTTTTCCCATGGCTGGGTCTCTGTTCTTGCTACTGCCTTAATCTCAACATCTCTCTCTCTGTTTCTCTAAGTCTGAACCATCCCCAGCCTTCAAGATCCAGCTCAAATGTCCACCCCACTCTCCCGTCATGAAGCCTGTCTTGTTCACCAACCACTCGCTCCATCCAGAAGCAACATTTCTCCACTCTAAATTTCCCAAGGGTTTTATTGCAATATCACTCATCGTATTGTCACGTGCTACCCTGAGCGTGGCTTGGCCCCTCTGCTAAGCCCCTTTGGAAGGCAGATCCCACCCCAGGCTCGAGTTTGTCATGTTGCCTTAGAGCCAGGATCCCACAACCCGGAAGAGAGTCCAGAACAAGCCCCACGCAAAGGACTTGGCGTTCATCACAGCAATGGCACGAAGTCTGAATCCATTCCCATTTTACAGATGAGAAAACTAAGGCTCACAGAGGCAGAGTGACCTACCCAAGGTGACACAGCCACTATGTGGCAGAATCAGGATCTGGACTTAAGTCCTTATCTGTCCAAGGCTCTGTTATCATGCAGGGGACTGACTTGGTCAGAAACGGAACAAGACAGGACAGGCGCGGTAGCTCATTCGTGTAATCCCAGCACTTTGGGAGGCCAAGGCAGGTGGATCACTTGAGGTCAGGAGTTTGAGACCAACATGGTCAAACCCTGTCTCTACTAAAAATACAAAAAATAGCTGGGCGTGGCAGTGTGCACCTGTAGTCGAGGCTGAGGCACAAGAATCGCTGAAACCTGGGAGGCGGAGGTTGCAGTGAGCCAAGATCGTGCCACTGCACTCCAGCCTGGGCTACGGAGTGACACCCTGCCTCAAAAAAAAAAAAAAAAAAAAAAAAAAAGGGCAAGGACACATTCCAGAAGGCATTCTATGGCCAGACCAGGTATCTCTAAAATCTTTTTTTAAACATTTTATTTATTATGGGAAATTTCCATCTTTTGCAAAAGTAGAGAGACTAGTACAAAAAGCCCCATGTCCCCATCACCAGCTTCAATACCTGTCAACTCAAGGCCAGTCTTGTCACCTCTACACCCCACTGTCCCCACCACCATGAGATTATTTTGAAACAAATTCCAGAATTGGACCTAGATATGTTTTTCAGGGGTGTGTCCACCGTTCAGAAAAGACAAATGGAAGGTCATTTCTTCCTAGACCTTGTGGCATCACCTTATGGGGCAGCTGGATTTTGCAGCATGAGAATCAAACAGAAAATTCAGGAGGCCCTGACCTCCCCTCACCGCTAGCCCCTCTGAGTTACTGTCTCCAGGGGCTCTGGCTGAGCGAGGATGGATGGGGGCATCACTCAGAAATTGCCCTCAGTGCAGCAGCTTGAGCTTGTCAGCAGGCACATCGAGACTGCCATGAAACGGAGAGCCTGGCACGGGCCCTCAGCAGAAATGAGTCTTCCAGGAATCCACCACAGATAGAACTGGCCGGGTCACAGCTGCCTCACTCTGGCTCACCACTCAGGCCTGATTCCAGGAATTCCACCCCCAGATCTCCTCCTGTAGGTCTGGTTTAATTGAGAAAGAAGCTCCTGTGTGAAGGCAGCAAGGAGAGCCATGGGGTGCACCAGGGTCACCAGGAAGCCGGACAGGGTGTGCTCCCTGGTTAAAAGCTGGGCTCTGGCTTCCCGCAGACCTGAATTCAAATCCCCACTGTGCCAGCTGGGCGCAGTGGCTCACGCCTGTAATCCCAGCACTTTGGGAAGCCAAGGTGGGCGGATCACGAGGTCAGGAGTTCGAGACCAGCCTGGCCAACATAGCAAAACCCCATCTCCACTAAAAATACAAAAATTAGCCAGGCGTGGTGGCACACACCTGTAATCCCAGCTACTCAGGAAGCTGAGGCAGAAGAATTGCTTGAACCTGGGAGGCGGAGGTTGCAGTGAGCAGAGATCTCGCCACTGCACTCCAGCCTGGGTGACAGAGCAAGACTCCATCTCAAAAAAAAAAAAAAAAAATCAAATCCCCACTGTGCCACCTGCTAGCTGTGGGACTGGGAGTAAATAATGGTTTTTTTTTTTAAATATATATATTTGTTTGGTTGGGTTCTTTTTTGTAGTTGTTTGCTATTAAGGTTGACCATTCCAATCTTCTGGGGTTGCTGGGAAGGCTAAATAAGGTCATTGGCATAAAACAAGACATCTTCAGTTAGGATTTAATTCAGACAACATCTGCAAAGGAATCAGCTCCATGTTTTGACACCCACACCCTCAATGTCATTCATCACAGGTCTGGAGGCGCCAGCACAAGGAGGTGTCTAGGCTCAGAAGCCACAGGACGTGAGTTCAAATCCATCCTCTGCCTCCTCATAGCCAAGTGATCTCAGGGAGTGGCTTCACCTCTCTAAGCCCTTTCCTTGCTTGCCAGACGGAAATCAGAGCGCCTTCCATCCAGGCTTGCAAAAAGGATTCAAACAAGCCAGGCATGGTGGCTCATGCTTGTAGTCCCAGCTACTACAGAGGCTGAGACAGGAGACTCACTTGAGCCCAGACTAGACAACATAGCAAGAATCCATTTTTAAAAAAGAAAAAAAGGTCGGACATGATAGCTCACGCCTGTAATCCCAGCACTTTGGAAGGCCGAGACGGGTGGATCACCTGAGGTCAGGAGTTTGAGACCAGCCTGGCCAACATAATGAAACCCCATCTCTACTAAAAATACAAAAATTAGCCTGGCGTGGTGGCAAGTGCCTGTAGTCCCAGCTACTCGGGAGGCTGAGGCAGGAGAATCGCTTGAACCTGGGAGGTGGAGGTTGCACTGAGCCACCAAGATCATGCCCTTGCACTCCAGCCTGGGCGACAGAGTGAGAATCCATCAAAAAAAAAAAAAAAGAAAGAAGGAAGGAAGGAAGAAAGAAAGGAAGGAAGAAAGGGAGATGGGCAGGAGGGAGGGGAAAGAAAGAAAGAAAGAAAGAGAGAGAGAGAGAGAGAAAGAAAGAAGGAAGGAAGGAAGGAAGGAAGGAAGGAAGGAAGGAAGGAAAGAAAAAGAAAGAAAGAAAGGAAAGAAAGAAAGAAAGAAGGAAAGAAAGAAAGAAAAAGAAAGAAAGGAAAGAAAGAAAGAAAGAAAAGAAAGAAAGAGAGAGAGAGAGAGAAAGGAAGGAAGGAAAAGAGAAAGAAAGAAAGGAAAGAAAGAAACGAAGGAAGGAAGGAAAAGAGAGAGAGAATTGAAATGGGAGAAAGTGTGTGAAAATGGCTGCCCTGTGCTTGGCTCCATAAATAAGAGCTTTTTAAAAATTCTTTCCCTGGATCCTAAGTTAGAGACACATGTCACTCCTCCCAAGGAGAGCCCGGGCGTCTTCCCAAGCCAGAAGCAGGAGGCTGTAATTCTGCAACTTCAGCCTGAGCAGGTGGGGGGAACCTGGCAGGGCCACAGGCAAAATCAAGGGGGGTGGCCAGAGGCAGATGCCCAATGCTGGCAGAAGGTGTGCAGAGCATTGAGGGTCTGCCAAGTTACCCTTGGCATGGACATTGGGCGCCCAGGTCCTGGTTGGCAGCAGAGATGTGGGCAACGAGACAGGGGGAAGGGGTCACTAAGGAGCCCAGCATCCTTGGCTGAATCCCCAGATCCTGGGTCTGAAGATCGTGACTTAATTCCATACCCCACCAGATGGTGTTGCTGAGGCTTCCATGGAGTCAGGAGGTGGGGAGAGGCGGGGAAGGCAGGGTCAACAGAGAGAGGCAGTAGCAACAGTTTCACAAAGTCAACCAGCCAATAACACGTGCTGACATGCTTTATGCGCCTACCAACGTGTGTTCTAAGTGCTTTACATGCATCAATTGCTAATCTGCACGACAGCCTATGAGGCAGCTCCTATGACCACACCCATTTTACAGATGAAGAAACTGAGGCTGGCTGGGCACGGTGGCTCAGGCCTGTAATCTCAGCACTCTGGGAGGCTGAGGTGAGCAGATCATTTGAGCCCAGCAGTTCGAGACCAGCCTGGCCAACATGGTGAAACCCTGACTCTACTAAAAATACAAAATTAGCCAGGCACGATGGCACATGCCTGTAATTCCAGCTACTCTGGAGGCTGAGGCAGAAGAACCGCTTGAACCTGGGAGGCAGAGGTTGCAGTGAGCTGAGATCACGCACTGCACTCTAGCCTGGGCAATAGAGTGAGATGTCGTCTCAAAAACCAAAAACCAAAAAACAAAAAAAAAAAAAAAAGAAAGAAAGAAAAAAAGAAACTGAGGCAGAGGGAGATTGAGTGAATCACTTGTCTAACTTTACACAGCTAGTGGTGGAGCCAGGATTCCAATCAAGACAGCTTGGCACAGAGCCTTTGATTTGGTCATTCCTCTGTACTACATCTTAGCAGAGCAGGCAGGTCCTAGTAAAATTCATTCCTCCTAAGGAAAGTCCCACACACCCTCCAGAGACCCCACACGTGGCAGGAGAACCTAGCAGCCTTCCAGACGTGCCCAGCGAAGTGGACTCAAATCTGGCTGGTTCAAAGTTTGACCCTGGTTCCGAGACCCAGATTCCACAAGCAGCAAAGCTTTTTGGCAGGTGCATGGTAAATTTTCTTCATAGTTGAGTGCTTTCAACTTGCTGGGCGGGCAGAGAAGAATCAGTCCTGGTCCCCAGCAAATGAGGCCAATGGGGAATGATTTTAACTGGTTGGCAAGGGCAAGAGTTCATACACCTTTGCTGGCCAGATTCAAGGAATTCAGCTGGGGGAAAAAAATGCCAACAGATCTTGTGTGAAGCTTCTCCTCTCACTATCTGGGCTGGCGGCAGAGCCTTGGCAAGCACTTCCTTGGATTCTCCGGAGGCCTCTGCCAGTTCAACTGACGGGGCAGCAGATGGCACACACTTCTCTGCTGATGATATTTTGATTTATTTATCTCTTACAGATGGTACCATGCCTTGATTTCTGGCAGGAGTCCAAAATGCAGGTCAACTTTCTGGGGATAATCGTTTCTACAAATGGATGAAATACTGAAGACTAAAACCCCGCTTGGCATCATGACTGCTACACCGTGGCCTCCAGACATACGTTGCTTGGGCATTTGGGGCATTTTGTATAAATCAAGGGAAGAATTTTGTTCTCAAGAATGTTAAAGCTGAAGAAGCTAAATGCTTATCTAAAATTAGAATTATAGTGATTAAATGTAAGAGATTTAAACTTACAGAGTCCTGAATTCAAGTCTCAGCTCTGCCACATACAAGCTCTGTGACCCAGGGGTCAGACTCTCTGGGTCTTAGTTTCCACATCTGTAAAATGGTTATAATTGTCACCTCTACCACATCAGGTATGGCAGAAACAGCTAGCTATCTACCAAAAGAAGTGATCTTCTGTAGTATGGAGTTATTGCTAAGAAGTAGCTGCCCTGGCCAGGCACCATGGCTCATGCCTGTAATCCCAGCACGCTGGGAGGCTGAGGAGGGAGGATCACTTGAGGCCAGGAATTTGAGACAAGTCTGGGCAACACAGCAAGAGCTTGTCTCTATAAAAAACAAAAAATGAGCCAATGTGGTGACACGCACCTGTAGCCCTAGCAACTCAAAAAGCTGTGGTGGGAGGATTACTTGAGCCCAGGAGTTCAAGGCTGCAGTGAGCTATGATTGTGCCATTGCACTCAGCCCAGCCAGGTACAATATTTCCCAGCATCCCCCGCATCCCAGTGGGGTCATGTGAGCAGTGGGTCACGTGACTAGTTCCTGCCAATATGATGTGTGTGTGCGTGAAGTGAGGCAATTCCTGGGGAGGGCTTTTATGAAATGGGTGTACTCTCTCTTTCCTCTTCCACCTAGATGCAAAGGGCTCTAAGGCTCCATGAAATGGAACAATTTGGAAGTTGCATAGTCCCCTGGGTTAGTCTATTTTGCGTTGCTATAAAGGAATACCTCAGACTGGGTAATTTATAGAGTATGAGGTTTATTTGGCTCGTGGCTCTGCAGGCCATATAAGCATGGTATCAGCATCTGCTCTGCTTCTGGTCAGGCCTCAGGAAGCTTTTACTCATGTTGGAAGGTGAAGGGGGAGTAGGCGTATCACATGGTGAGAGCAGGAGCAAGAGAGAGGAGAGGACCTTCCAGTTTCTTTAACAACCAGATCTTGCATGAACTCATTGTCGTGGGCAGGGCACCAAGTCATTCATAAGGGATCCACGCCCATGACCCAAACACCTCCTACCAGTCCCCACCTCCAACATGGGGGATCACATTTCAACATGAGATTTGTAGGGGACAAATTACCAAACCATATCATCCCAAAACACTATGTAGAGTAGAACTGCCATCCACCAGGACCACCTGTGCTGACATGTTACATGAGCAGGAAACAAACTTCTATTGCTAGCTGGGCACAGTGGCTCACACCTGTAATCCCAGCACTTTGGGAGGACAAGGCAGGAGGATCACTTGAGTCCAGGAGTTTCAGACCAGCTGGGACAACATGTTGAAACCCTGTTTCTACTGAAAATACAAAAATTAGCTGGGCATGGCGGTGCATGCCTGTAGTCCCAGCTACTCAGGAGACTAAGGAAGGAGGATCACTTGAGCCCAGGAGTTTGAGGCTGCAGTGAGCCCGGATCATGTCACTGCACTCCAGCCTGGGTGACAGAGCAAGACTCTGTCTCAAAAAAATAATAATAAAAATAAAAATTAATAAAAGAAAATAAACTTCTACTGTTACTCCATTGACATTTCAGGGCTTATTTGTTACAGCAGCTAGTGCTGCCCTACACATAGGGTAGCTGGAGATAAATGAGGTAATACATGTGAGGCACGTGGTGCAGGACAAGGACTCAGTTTCAGGGAAGCTTGATAAATTAAAGAATTGTGATTTTTGTAATGTCATCCCATATGTTTGGTTTGGTTTAAAGCAAGGCAAATATTTTCCCCTTATCTCAGTCTTATTTCTGCCCTTTTTCTAAATATAGAGATGGGGTCTCACTATGTTGCCCAGGCTGGTCTCAAACTCCTAGGCTCAAGCAATCCTCCCTCCTCAGTTACCCTATCTCATTCTCCAAGAGCATGCTTTGAAAGAGAAATCAAAATGGGGGGCAGGGATACTGGGGAGTTTTTTTGGAGGCATTCTATGGCTGACACTGTGAGATTGTGGCCCATGATTATCTGCATCTCAGCTTGCAGGAAAACAGCCTGTTGCATGGCAAGAGTGACACCATCTTGAAGTGAAATTGCCATGATGAACAATGTTTGACTCCCGCAGCAAGGTCTTTAAACGACACCTGTGGCATAAATAACCCCTGATAGAGAAACAATGCCCATAGCATAGATAACCCCTTGTCAAGATGCTTATCCAACATCCTCAGTGGTCATGAGTTTTGCAAGAAAGTCTGAGGTGTGACCAGCTACGCATGGTTTTTATCCTAAAAGTTTGCTAGAGAAAGGATATTTTTTGGAGGTCGGTGCGGGAATCCACTGTTGCATGGCCGCAAGACACCACTTCTGTTTGTAAGCCCTTATTAATGTTTCTCTCTGAGAAACGGGATTTGTCAGCCTCTTTCTTTGGCATCTCAGCTCCCTTGGACCTTGGAGGTGGGTTTGCATAGGCCTGCTCACTGCAGAACATGTAGCAATCCAGCCAGGAGCCGAGAGACCAAGAAATGGGCAGAGGGAATGAAGCATCCATGGGGGACATCGCAGGGTAGCCAGCCACTTCTATGTGGAGTGGTGTGGCTCATCTTTTGGACACTTTTGGCCCATGGCATGAGTACAAGGATGCCCCAGAAATGTCAGGATCACTGCTTCTGTGGGCTGCCCATTGGGTGACGGAAGCCCAGCTAGCAACAGAAGCAAAAGTAAAATGGCTTGAGGAGGAATTATAATTAGAAAGAAGTTTTTTTTAGAGCTCTACAGTCAGAAGTCAGCTTAATTAGAAGCTAATATTCAGGTTATAATTTTTTTTCTAGATAGGGGAAGGCCTTTATCCTGTTTCTGGCATTTTTTTTCAGTCGACTGAAACACCTTTTTAAAAATTACATTTGATCCCTCTGTTTGGTGTCTTTTCTGTTGGTATAATTTTTATTTTTTTCCTTTCTTTTTTTTCTTTTTTTGGAGACAGCATCTTGCTCTGTCACTCAGGCTTGAGTGCAGTGGCACAATCATGGCTTACTGCAGCCTCGACCTCCCAGGATCAAAGTATCCTACTGCTTCAGCCTCTGGAGTAGCTGGGATTACAGGCGCGAGCCACCACGCCCAGCTAATTTTTGTATTTTTTGTAGAGATGGGGTTTTGCCATGTTGCTCAGGCTGGTCTCGAGCTCCTGGCCTCAAGCAGTCTTCCCGCCCCAGCCTCCCAAAGTGCTGGAATTACAGGGATGAGCCCTCATGCCTGGTCTTGTTGGCATGATTTTTGCTCTTGCTCTTCCATTTCCTTCCACTTCTGCTCCTCCTGCCTTTTGCTATCTTTGAAGCCAAATGAATCAATCTAGAGGAGACTTCCTGTGCCCCTGAGACCCTGATAGAGTCTGGATGTTTGTCCCCTCTAAATCTCATGTTGAAATGTGACCTCCACTGTTGAAGGTGGGGATTGATGGCAGGTGTTTGGGTCATGGGGGCAGATTCCTCATGAATGGTTTGCTGCCGTCCTCATGGTAATGAGGGAGTTCTTGGTCTGTTAGTTCACTCGAGAGCTGGTTGTTTAAAAAGAGCCTGCACCTCCTCCTCTCTTTCTCTAGCTCTCTCTCTCACCATGGGACACACTGCCTTCCCCTTCACCATCCGCCATGATTGGAAACTTCCTGCAGTCTCAGCAGAAGCAGAAGCTAACACGATGCTTTCCGCTCAGCCTGCAGAACCATGAGCCAAATAAACCTTTCTTCTCTATAAATTACCCAGTCTCGGCCGGGCACGGTGGCTCATGCCTGTAATCTCAGCACTTTGGGAGGCCGAGGTGGGCAGATCACCTGAGGTCGGGAGTTCAAGACCAGCCTGACCAACATGGAGAAACTCCATCTCTACTAAAAAAAAAAATACAAAGTTAGCCAGGCAGAATCCCAGCTACCTGGGAGGCTGAGGCAGGAGAATCGCTTGAACTCAGGAGGCAGAATTTGCGGTGAGCCAAGATCGCACCATTGCACTCCAGCCTGGGCAACAAGAGTGAAACTCTGTCTCAAAAAAAACATTACCCAGTCTCAGTTATTTCATTATAACAACACAGACTAACACGACTCCTTGAGGAACACAGGAAAAGGTGCCACTCACCCCCTTTTTGGGGTCTTCTGCCTTCCTTGTGGGGTTCCAAGAGTCATGAGAAGGTTTCTCTGTGGTCTAAAACTCTGCTCTCTTTTGCATTGCTTTCTCCCATCTTTGAGGCTTTTGGGAGTACCAGGGATTACTTAGTACTATGACAGAATATGACCTTTGCGTGTGCCATGGCTGACAAGTCACTGATGAGGGCTGCCATTTTGAGGGTGGCTGACAGTGTTTACAACGAGAGTTATTGCCGCAGGGAGGCTACTCCTTTCTTTGCATGTTTAGATAAGAAAAGTGTGATCTGGCCAGGCGCAATGGCTCATGCCTATAATTTCAGCATTTTGGGAGGCCAAGGCAGGCAGATCTCTTGAGGCCAGGAGTTTGAGACCAGCCTGGACAATATGGGGAAACCCCATCTCTACTGAAAATACAAAAATTAGCTGGACGTGGTGGTGTGCACCTGTAATCCCAGCTACTTGGGAGGCTGAGGCAGGAGAATGAGAATCACTTAAACTCGGGAGGTGGAGGCTGCAGTGAGCTGAGATCACACCATTGCACTCCAGCCTGAGCGACCGAGCGAGACTCCGCCTCAAAAAAAAAAAAAAAAAGATAGAAAAGTGTGATTTGGATACCTAGAGGCTATGGAAACACTTGCGACAAAGGGATAAGACTCCTGCAGGGGATGGGCTGATCACAAAGTGACTTACTGGTGCGGGGTTACCCACCAGCATTGGGGAGAATGTCCTTGCAGTGAGGTACACTGTCCTTTGCACTGTCCGTGGTGCTTCTTTCTTTTGGGGGACCCAGGATCCAGTGTAAAAGTGGGACCTTGATTTGGGGAGACCTAAGTGTTCTGCCTTCCAGCTGGACCTGCTTTTCACATCTGTAAGTATTAGGCCCTGGAAATTGCAATTCCTTCGTTGGTCCTATTTGTTAATGGGCTCCGCCCTGAACTCAGTGGTCCAGTTGGTAGATGGAGACTAAATTAGAAGCTAACCATCTAAAATGAAATTGGTCTCAGTTCAGGCACAGTGGCTCACGCCTGTAATCCCAGCACTTTGGGAGGCCAAGGCGGGCAGATCACCTGAGGTCAGGAGTTCGAGACCCACCTGGCCAACATGGTGAAACCCCGTCTCTACTAAAAATACAAAAATTAGCTGGGCAAGGTGGCAGGTGCCTGTAATCCCAGCTACTCAGCAGGCTGAGGCAGAAGAATTGCTTGAACCCGGGAGGCAGAGGTTGCAGTGACCCAAGATCGCACCACTGCACTCCAGCCTGGGCGACAAGAGTGAACTCCGTCTCAAAAAAAAAAAAAAAAAGTTTTTAAATTGTTCATAAAATAAAATAGAAATGTCTTCAGAATTATCAGTATTAAATATAATGCAGATATTTTCGCCTGGGTCTATGGTCAGATGGGTTTAGGCTATCTCTGTTGGATGTTTTAAGGTCATAAAACTGTTGCTTCTGTCTGTGAATTTAAGTCTTGGAGCCATTCGATTCTAGACTCTAAGCAAATGGCCATGGTGAGGCTGAGGGACATGTGTGGAGGTCTCCCTGCCCCTGCTGTGCCCCCTGGCTGTGCTGGGAAGGGTCAGACATTATCTTCACAGCTCTGTCCTCTGCCTTGAGCTTTATAGTTGGTGTGTTAACTCGGGACCCAGACAAGCCCTGCCTTTCATAGCCATCCCTGGGTGCCACGTGGGTACTTGGGACCCAGAGTGACTGGGGAAGACGTTAGAAAGGATACTTGTGGGCTGGTCGTGGTGGCTCACGCCTGTAATCCCAGCACTTTGGGAGGCCGAGGCGGGCGGATCACGAGGTCAGGAAATCGAGACCATCTTGGCCAACATGGTGAAACCCCGTCTCTACTAAAATACAAAAAACTAGCCGAGCGTGGTGGCGCATGCCTGTAGTCCCAGCTACTCGGGAGGCTGAGGCAGGGGAATCACTTGAACCCAGGAGGCAGAGGTTGCAGTGAGCCGAAATCGTGCCACTGCACTCCAGCCTGGCAACAGAGCAAGACTCCGTCTCAAAAAAAAAAAAAAAAAAAAAACCGGAAAAGATAATCGTGTCATAGTTTCAAATTCCTTTCAGTAATTTCAAATCTTAAAGTCATGTCATGTTAAATAAAGTAACAGATCATCATAAAATGTCTGAGTCATTTCTAGGTAAGATACTGGAATATTAACTTTTAAACACAAGTTTAAGTTTATATACTTTAAGTATATCTGTTAATAAACAAAAAATTAAGGAAACATCTTTCTGAAAAATTATGAAATAATTTTCATCCACAAATACTGATATAAGACAGTACAAAATTACTTACTTCCTGGGTTTTTCACTGGAAATTAAGCTTACTAGGAGTTGAAATTATGGTAATTTAAACTACTAGATATAAGAGAAACAATTCTATATACAGAGTGTATAAAGAAAGCAAAATGTATTTTAGGTTAAGAAATGTTATTAAAAAGACATGAGGTTGTGGTTTTTGCTGAAGGAAAAGTAATTTTTTCTAGTTTAGAGGTTATTTAAAGGTTGATTCAAAATGAAGGAGAAATGGTATAGATAAAAATAAATGAATCTAAAAGTTGAGGTAAGAAAAAAGTAGAAAAAAGTCTTATAAGCAGTTATAAAGGATTTGTGGGAATCTTATCTGTGTGGTCCAAAGCTGACTGAAATTGGATGGATTTGTTTATAGGGTTTTATTAAAATTAGCTTTTGTATTGATAATACACTAATATAAAAGTAAATTTTCATTTTCTCCTTTAAACAAGAATTTATGTCATATTAATAAGAGAGAAAATTATTTTGTTTACCTTTTCAGTCAACTGCAATTAAGAAAAAAAAAAAAAGGAGAGGGCTGGGCCTGGTGGCTCACGTCTGTAATCCCAGCACTTTGGGAGGCCGAGGTGGGCGGATCACGAGGTCAGGAGATCAAGACCATCCTGGCTAACATGGTGAAACCCCGTCTCTACTAAAAATACAAAAGTTAGCCAGCCATGGTGGTGCATGCCTGTAATCCCTGCTCCTCGGGAGGCTGAGGCAGGAGAATTGCTTGAACCCGGGAGGCGGATGTTGCAGTGAGCCGAGATTGTGCTGCTGCACTCCAGCCTAGGTGACAGAGCAAGACTCTGTCTCAAAAAAAAAAAAAAAGAAAAGAAAAAAAGAAAAAGAAAGAAAAAAAGGAGAGAAGGAGAGACAGTTTCACGCTGTCTTTATTAGGGCTTTGGATTTTTTGGAAAACTCAGTCTCCTCTCTATCAAAGAGTAAAGGTTTTTGCTTTTTGCCATCTTTGAGTTATCACTTTGGCTAAATGACTATTATTTTGCAGTCATCCAGGATCCTATTTTGATAAAGTGTTTTAAAGCTTTCTTACTTTGATATCAAGTGTTTTAACCTTTGATATTTGACATACTTCCCAAAAGCAAATTTCAAATTCTAAACTTAAGTCTTCTTGACCCAAACTAACTTAGACATAACAAATAGGCCCCTGAAAGGCCAAGAGAGATATACTAGGCTTATTTGTTATGTTAAAATTATACGGACCAGGAGCGGTGGTTCACACCTGTAATCCCAGCACTTTGGGAGGCCAAGGCAGGTGGATCACCTGAGGTCAGGAGTTCGAGACCAGCCTGCCCAACATGGTGAAACCCTGCCTCTGCTAAAAATACAAAAATTAGCCAGGCATGGTGGCAAATGCTTGTAGTCCCAGCTACTTGGGAGGCTGAGGCACGAGAATCACTTGAACCCAGGATGCAGAGGTTGCAGTGTGCTGAGATCACACCACTGTACTCCAGCCTGGGCAACAGAGTGAGACTCAGTCTAAAAAAAAAAAACAACAAACAATTATATGGGAAACGTTGTCAAATAAGAAATGGTGTTTAACTTTCTTTGAGTTGTATTTGTATAAATGTGTTATTAATATGTGTCCCAAAATTGGAGGAAATTCCTAAATGTCTGATATGTCTTGGTATATGCAGTTAATTGCTTTATTCTGATTCTTTTTCCTAAAAGCTTTTTGCAAACCCTAAAGTGTGGTGTCTTCGAGGAAATTCATGGAAAGGACCCTGACAAGTCATCTTGAATAACAGGTTTCTGATAACTTTGGAGATGATACCATTAGGCTAGTAGAAACGTCCAGGGCTCTTAATTAGCTGATGTGTTTATGAGGATTGCTAACCCAACATCAAGCAGAACAAGAATTACTCACATGGGTCTGAAATAATAAAGGACTGAAATCATTTTTATGACTTTTTGTTTGAACCATTGTTGTTTCTTTTTATGTTTTGTTTTTCAGAGTCAAAGAAATTTTTTTCTTTCTTTTGAGCTATTTATATCTACAGCAATTGGGCAAAGTATACACTTGTGAGCAAAATGGAGACATTTACATTTCCCTCTAATTTCTCCATAATTTGGAAACTATTCATGAATATTCTTATTTTATTATAATATAGTTATTAACATACATTCACTAAGAATACGTTTTCTTTTGCCACTGGACACATTGGAAATACTTATTATGCCAAGGTTTTGACTAGAATGGTGTATTTTTAGATATGACCATTCTGCTTTGAGGAATTGAGGTTGACTTAATAGAGCCAATAAAAGGTCCTCTGGAAAGACTGGCCTAGTTCCTTGTCTTATGGTTCCCTTGCAAGATTCCTGACCTGTGATAAATAAAGAATGACACTTTCTAGCAGGTCCAGGAACCTCAAGATATTTTGGGACCTCAAGAAGAAAAGAATTCACCCAATTCATACAGGTAGTTTAGGCACATTTTGATGACGAATCTGTGACTTGGCTTCCTAAATCCAGACCTTTAAAAGTCTAATTCAAGTCTTTGCTATTGTGAATAGTGCTGCAATAAACATATGTGTGCATGTGTCTTTATAGCAGCATGTTTTGCAATCCTTTGGGTATATACCCAGTAATGGGATGGCTGGGTCAAATGGTATGTAACAAACCTGCACGTTGTGCACATGTACCCTAAAACTTAAAGTATAATTTAAAAAAAAAAGTCTAATTCAAAATTCCTTATGTAAGTTCCAGCAAAGCCAACTTAAAAAGAGTCTATGTGGTCAATCGCTAGTCTTGCTCCACCTTATGCAAATAATCGGGCCAAGTACAGTAAGGCTAAAATTTATTTTGCAAATAAACTGGGTCTTACTGTGATTTTTCTTTGGTAGAAAAGGGGAATTGGAGACAGAAAAACTATCTTTCAGAAGAAAACTATAACACACCTGTTATTAGATTCCAGCCTTGACAGTTGTTTCTGAGCTTTTATTATTTGCCTACAATTTGGACTGAATGCTGAATTATTTCCTGGCTACAACAAGTCTCTAAAGGAGAACTGGGTTTTAATTTTCTTCGTGATGTTTTTAGTTTGCTCCCTGATAGAATAGGTTCTCTGTTTTTTGTTTTTGTTTTTTTTTCATTCTGGCATACAAATTCTCTTTTTGATTGTAGTATTTGTGTGCATTATATTTCTTTTTTTGTTTGTTTTTTTTTTGAGATGGAGTCTCACTCTATTGCCCAGGCTGGAGTGCAGTGGTGCAATCTCGGCTCACTGCAACCGCTGCCCCCCAGTTCAAGTGATTCTCCTGCCTCAGCCTCCCGAGTAGCTGGGATTACAGGCATGCACCACCACGCCTGGCTAACTTTTGTATTTTTAGTAGACACGAGGTTTCGCCATGTTGGTCAGGTTGGTCTCAAACTCCTGACCTCAGGTGATCCACCCGCCTCAGCCTCCCAAAGTGCTGGGATTACAGGCATGAGCCACCGTGCCTGGCCCATATTTCTACTATTCAAATTATTAATGCTATGTATCTCTCATTGTTTTACTTATTCTGAGAAAACCAAAATCGTGGTATTCCAAAGACTAGAGATTATTCAACAAAGGCTGTGAATCTCCCTCCTTTGGAATCCTACTGGGCCCAATCTATTTCCCATTGCCAATGCACTGCTGATAAATCTATACCATACCAAGCGTCTTCTCTCCAGACCCAGGGACTACCTCAGGAGAGGTGGGTGAGTGAGATTGTCAGGGCAGGTTTCCAGGGGTGGAGCGTAAGAAAACAGCCTGTTGCATGGCAAGAGCGACGCCATCTGGAAGTGAAACCTCCATGATAACTGATGTTTGACTCCTGCAGCAAGGTCTTTAAGCAATGCCTGTGGCATAGATGACCCTCGTCAAGATGCTTATCTAACCTCCCTAGTGATGATGAGTTTTGCAAGAAAGCCTGAGGTGTGACCAGCTATGCATGTTTTACCCTAAAGGCTTGCTAGATAAAGGATATTTTCGGTTGGGCCCAGTGGCTCACGCCTGTAATCCAAGCACTTTGGGAGGCCGAAGCGGGTGGATCACCTGAGGACAGTTTGAGACCACCCTGGCCAGCATGGTGAAACCTCGTCTCTACTAAAAATACAAAAAACTAGCCAGGTGTGGTGGCGTGTGTCTGTAATCCCAGTTACTAGGGAGGCTGAGGCAGGAGAATCACTTGAACCTGGGAGGCCAAGGTTACAGTGAGCTGAGATTGTGTCACTGCACCCCAGCCTGGGCAACAAGAGTGAAACTCCATCTCAAAAAAAAAAAAAGGAATATTTTCTGGAGGGTGGGTGTGGGGAGCTACTGTCTCTCAGCCACCAGACATACCACTTCTGTTACTAAGTTCCTATTAAATTTCTTTTTCAAAGAAGCCAGATTTGTGAGCCTCATTCTTGGGCCTCTCGGCTCCCTCAGCCTTTGGGGATAGGTTTGCATAGATCTGCTCATTGCAGAACACGCTTCCTCTTCTGTCCTCCCTTGACATACAATTATCCAGCTCTGCTAGAGATGGAAGCAGGAATTTAGGGATCACAGAGTCCACCACCCTCAGTTTCCAGATACAGAAACCATGGCCCAGGGAGGGCCTTGGGTGACTTGAGATCTCATCATGAGTCAGATATTAAGCTGAAGTTAGGACCCACATCCTCCACCTTATAACTAGAAGAAGGTATGAGGGAATGAGGTCCCTACAGTCCCTGCCTACAGAAAATAATAACAGCTAATGTTTATTGAGAACGTACTATGTGCCAGGTGCTACTGAAATGTCCATATGTCTAATTCTCATAATAACTATATGAAAGAGGTACTGTTATTATGCCCATTTTTGAATGGAGAAACAGAAGTACAGTGAGGTTTAGTACCTGAGTCAGGATTCCGGCCCAAGCACTCTAACTCCAGAGTTTCCACTTGCTTTTTGTTGTTGTTGTTGAGACAGAGTCTTGCTCTGTCACCCAGGCTGGAGTGCAGTGGTGCAATCTTGGCTCACTGCAACCTCCACCTCCCGGGCTCAAGCAATTCTCATGCCTCAGCCTCCCAAGTAGACAGGACTACAGGCATGCACCACCATGCCCAGCTAATTTTTTGTATTTTTAGTAGAGACAGAGTTTCACCATGTTGCCCAGGCTGGCCTCGAACTCCTGAGCTCAGGTAATCTGCCAAAGTGCTGGGATTACAGGCAAGAGCCACCGCACCTGGCCTAGAGTCCCCACTTTCAATCATATTTGGAGGAATGTAACTTGTAGGAAGGATTTTATCTGTTCTATTGCACTCCAGACAGTAAAACCAGGCTCAACAGGCCCAAGGAGAGGGACTCTGCCCAATATAATCAAAGAATGGCCCAGCCTCGAAAAAAGCCCCTGTGCCATGGCATTAAACTTTCCAGTGGTGTAAGTGAGAGAGGAGAAAGGAAGAAGCTGGTCAGGCAGGCAGTTAGGGTGGGTCCTTAGTTGAATTCTTTCAAGCAAAAGAACAGCTTGCAGGCACAGATAAGGAAACTTGCACATGGGGGCTTGCCTAAGACATGCCCACAGCCGCACAGATAAGAAAGGCTACACAGATGACTTGCCCATACATGTCCGCAATGGAAAATTCTGTCCCCTGACACATGTGCAGAAAGGGGAACAAAGCAATATGCAGTAACTCAAGCTAAGGGCTCACATGTGCACTAAGAGGACAGGGCGAAGCTACCAGAAATTCATGCCTTATGCAAATGAGACACCCAGGCCTCATCCATTTCTTATAAAAGGCTTTGCATTCAACCGTAAAAACAGCAACCCTCTTCCAGGCCCCCACTGCACAGGAGAGCTTTCTTCTTTTGCTTGTTAAACTTTTGCGCAACCTCATCCTTTGTGTCCATGCTCCTTAATTTTCTTAGTCGTGAGACAAAAAACTCCAGGTGATACCACAGGAGAGGCTGCTACAACGGCTACATTCTGGTGCATTGGCGAGACTGTAACATAAGGATAGGAGAAAGGCTTGAACCACCAAGGGGAGATGTTGCCAAGATATTCAAGCAGCTCATGGAGGATGGGGCTGGGCCAGTGTTTTCTCAGGTCCCTTGGGGGGGTTCAGAATGGTGGGGGGATGTGGCATTAAACTACACTGAATTGTGTCATAGGGAACAATTCTCCCTCTAATTCCTTTCCAACCCTTCAGATGACTTCCAAAAGAAAACGTCAGTTTTCTGCAAGCCTGTCTTTAACATTGCTCTAACTCTTGCTGATAATACTTCCTAATACTTCCTGTTTCAAAAAGAAAGAAAGACCACAATATCCAGCTAGAGTTTGATGGCATTATTTTTCTTTTATGCTCACATGTGCACACATGCACACACACACGTGCACATACATATTTCTTCTATTTTGGTGAGTTTTACTGGCTTTCCGCTCCCAATTTTGATCTAAAGTTCCCCTTTTACATTCATTTTTGTAAGAAGACTGTGAGTCAATAAAAAAAATCATAGTAGAAGATGAATATGTGGCTAGAAATAAATTAATAAAGGTGATATGAAAATAGCCAAAGTCTGGAAACACTGAGATAAAATAATTCTCTGCTTCTAGGCCCACTCCAGGCTGAGAGGTCACAGGGCCACGACATTGCACATAACGGAGCACCATTCACATTGTGGTTTACAGGAACAACATTCCCTGAATCGTGCAGTGCACAGCCTGTGCAGCTGTACACAGCTGCCATGGATATTTTTAGAGTTACAAATATCCCAAACATACGAGGGAAGAGAGAGAATCTTCTGGCTGGCTGCCCTGAAATTGGCAGCCAAAGTTTCCCCCTCCAAATTGTGTTATTTTCTGTTCATGATCTTCCTACAGCATCCCCAAGTTCAGGGGACCACCACGCATCCCAAGCAGCACTGGGTCTCAACCCAACCTCGAGAAGAATGGGAGAAACAGTCCCAGGGCTCTCCTCAGGGGAGACTCACGAACATAATCCCAGCAAGGCTGCAAAAAGATGAACTGCACGTTCAAGTGTAAAGGCAGCAGGCAGACATTCTCAGACACGAACGCCCTTGGAGAATATAGTATCCATGAGCCATTCTTGAAAAAGCTAGCTGACATTGAAATACAGCTCACCAAGGAAGAATAAAATAAGCCCAAGAATGGAGAAATCATAATAAAACCCCACGGTGGGTAAAGAATCTATGTAAACGCATAACCAAAATGAAACAACTGGAGATATTGTAGTTGGAACACCTCGATGCTGTAAAAATCATATAAGCACCAAAAATCAGGAAGTCAGGGGCAGGAAGAACTGTGGTCACCACGTATTTCTTAGAAGAAACCTAATATCAGAAAGATCTTGTTTAAAGACCACAGGGACACACTTCTATCCCCTTTCCCTGCAAAACCACAAAGATAATTGTCTCCCCCAAGGTTAAAAGGGCCAGGCAGAAGAGAATGGAGAGTGGAATTCAGGCCTGACACGTGAACACAAAGTGGGCCTCACTTGTCATGAGGGACACGAGTCCCAGTGGCTCTTGAACTCCTGGCCTCAAGCAATTCTCCCACCTCAGCCTCCCAAGTAGCTGGGATTACAGGCGTGTACCACCGCACCTGGCTCCAGTAGGCTCTCAACCCAGGGCCATTGAAGAAGGACCTCTCAGGTCTTAGGAAGTTCCTGTACTGATTAAAACACACACACACACACACACACACACACACACACAGCCAGGCACAGTGGCTCACACCTGTAATCCTAGCACTGTGGGAGGCCAAGATGGGAGGATTGCTTGAGCCCAGGAGTTTGAGACCAGCCTCGGCAACATAGTGAGACCCCATATCTAAAAATAAATAAAAACACACACAAGAAAATCAACTTACTCTCACCCATACCAACCCAGTCCTAAACAGCGCCCTCTCTCTCTCTCTGTCACTCACACTCATTTCTCTCTAGGTCCATTGCCTCAGCCTCTCCTCTGGACTCCTTGCTTCCACACCATCAGCCACAGGAATACTTGTAGAACCCATATCTGAATTCTGCTCAGGAACCTCCAATTGCCTTTAGCTCTCACCAGAATGGTGCCCTCAAACACTTCTGGAAAATGTGGACTCCTAAAGATGCATATTCTCTGTAACCCAACAATTCCATTTCTTGGAACTCATCTTACACGTGTGCAAAATTACACAAGGTCAAGATCATTCATTGCAACCTTATTTTAATGGCAAAGGACTGGAAATAACCTACATTTCCATTAATTAAATAAGAAACATACATTCAACTTATGGAAGGATCATGCCCATTAAAATGAACAAGGCTACTCTCTCTCTCAGAATATAATTATTAATTAATATTCACACAGAATATTAGTAGTACATGGAAAAGTGGGGACCTCACTGAAGTTTGAGACCCACTGCTCATCCAGAATAAGTCTACAGAACTCTGCCTGGCCCTTTTGTCTAGTGTGGTCTCTTGACATTCTCCATCAGACGCTCTATTCATTTTCCATTGCTGCTGTAACAAATTAACACAAACAAAACATAATGGCTAAAACAATACAAAATCTTTACCTTATAAATCTTTTTCCTTTTTCTTTTTTATTTTTAGACAGTGTCTTACTCTGTGCAGTGGCTCAATCTCGACTCACTGCAGCCTCTGCCTCCCAGGCTCAATCAATTCTCCTGCCTCAGCCTCCTGAGTAGCTGGAATTACAGGCATGTGCCACCACGCCAGGCCAATTTTTGTATTTTTTAGTACAGACAGGGTTTCGCCATGTTGGCCAGGCTGGTCTCGAACTTCTGACTTCAGGTGATCCACCCACCTCGGCCTCCCAAAGTGCTGGGATTCCAGGCATGAGCCACCGCGCCTGGCCTTATCTTACAATTCTATAGGTCAGGAGTCCACCATGGTTCTCACTAGGCTAAAATCAAGGTGTAGGCCCAGCCACATCCCCTAGAGGAGGCTCCAGGGAAGATATCATGTCCTTGCCTCTTCTACCTTCTCCTGGATGCCCACATGCCTTGACTCGTGGTTCCCAATATTCGAAACCAGCCATGTCAAATCTCCCTTCTTTCACAGACACACCTCTCCCTCTGCCTACAGCTGGGAAGTGTTCTCCACTTTTTTTTTTTTTTTTTTTTTTTTTTTTGAGACAGAGTCTTGCTCTGTCACCCAGGCTGGAGTGCAGTGGTGCAACCTCGGCTCACTGCAACCTCTGCTCCCTGGATTCAAGCAATTCTCCTGCCTCAGCCTCCCAAGTAGCTGGGATTACATGTGCCCACCATCATGGTTCTCCACTTTTAAGGACTCATGGAATGAGGTCAGGCCCATTTGGATACTCCAGGATAACCTCCCATATCAAAATCCTTAATGTAATCACATCTGAGAAAGTCCATTTGCACCACGTAAGCTAACACAGTCACGGGTTGGGTTACAAAGTTTGTGATGTGGACATCTTTGCTTGTTTTCTATTGTTGATTTTATTAATTTTTATTGTTATTATTTATATTTTTTTATTTCAGTGCTTTAGGGGTACAAGTGGTTTTTGGTTACATGGATGAATTGTGTAGCAGTGAAGCCTCAGATTTTAGTGCCCCCATTACCCAAGCAGTGTCCATCATACCCAATATGTAGTTTTTCATCCCTCACTCCCTCCCACCCTCTCCACTTTTTTTTTTTTTTTTTTTTTGAGATAGAGTCTCACTCTGCTACCCAGGCTGGAGTGCAGCGGCACGATCTTGGCTCACTGTAACCTCCACCTCCCAGCTTCAAGCAATTCTCCTGACTCGGCCTCCCAAATAGCTGAGATTACAGGCATGCGCCACCACTCCCAGCTTTTTGTATTTTTAGTAGAGATGGGGCTTCACCATGTTGGCCTGGCTGGTCTTGAACTCCTGACTTCAGGTAATCCACCCACCTCGGCCACCCAAAATGCTGGGATTACAGGTGTGAGCCACCACGCCTGGCCCCTCCCCACTTCTGAGTCTTCCATGTCCACCGTACCACTCTATGTGCCTTTGCATACCCATAATTTAGCTCCCATTTATAAGTAAGAACATACAGAGTCTGGTTTTCTATTCCAGAGTTACTTCACTTAGAATAATGGAAAAATATGGGATGCTTCATGAATGTGTGTGTTATCCTTGCACAGAGGCCGTGCTAATCTTCTCTGTATCATTCCAAGTTTAGTGTGTGTGCTGCCAGAGCAAGCACTGATGTGGACATCTTTGGAGTGGGTGACATTATTCTACCTAGCACAGATACCCTATATCCCCAGCTACCAAAGCATTTGTCACATCTCATCAAACACAAGACCTCACCAGGCGCGGGAGCTCCCGCCTGTAATGCCAGCATTTTGGGAGGTCGAGGCAGGAGGATTGCTTGAGGCCAGGAGCTCAAGGGCAGCCTGGGCAACACAGTAAGACCCCTTCTCTACAAAAATTTAAAAATTAGCTGGGCATGGTGGCATGAACCTCTAGTCCCAGCTACCCGGGAGGCTGAAGCAGGAGGATCATTTGAGCCCAGTTCAAGGTTGCAGTGAGCTGTGATCGCGCCACTGCCCTCCAGCCTGAGCAACAGAGTGAAACCTTGTTTTTAAAAAATAAATCAATAAATAATTAAAAAAAAAAACAACCCAAGGCTTCATGACTCTGAACCAGTCCCTCCACCTGAAATGCTTTCTCATCTGCCCAAATGCTACTCAGACATTCAAGGCTGAACTCAAAAGCCCCTTCCTCCATGAAGCCCTCTCTGATTTCCCCCAAACAGAGTTAATGACACAGCCAGCACTTTAAAAAAGTCCCTCTATATGACACGTGTCACTTGGCATTTGAATTATATGTTTACTTGTACATCTCTCAGTAGCCTGCAAGCAATTTAAGAGTGAAAACGGACATATTCAACCACACGTCCCCACCATTCATCACAATGCCTGGAGCATAATAGGGTTTAATATTTAATAATCAATGATTGGGTCAGGCGCAGTGGCTCACACGTGTAATCCCAGAACTTTGGGAGGCCAAGGCGGGCAGATCACTTGAGGGCAGGAGTTCAAAACCAGCCTGGCCAACATGGTGAAACCCCATCTTTACTAAAAATACAAAAATTAGTTGTGTGTGGTGGTGCATGCCTGTAATGCCAGCTACTCAGGAGGCTGAGGCACCAGAATCACTTGAACCTGGGAGGCTTCAAGGGTTGCAGTGAGCTGCAACAACAATAATAATAATCACTGATGGAAAGAATGACCAAATTCTTTCTATTTTACCATGGAGTGCACTATTTAATACATAATCCAAAATACGATTTTATGCATCTGTTGTTATTCCACATCCCTGGCCCATCATGGGAACTCTATAAATATTTGCTGCATAAATAAATTAATACTCATACCTAATATTTATTGAACATTTTCTATATGCCGGCACTTAGCTAAGCTCTTATAAGCTCTGCCTCCCTAACTTAATTCTTCACAATACCTCTCAAGGGAGTACTACTGTATTTGTTTGGGTAGTTAATACTAGCTGCTGTTACAAACACCTCAAAATCTTAAAGGTTCTTTCTTAGCTGCTTCTCCTGAATGACTCATATCCATGCAGTGAATCAGGGATCCAGGCTCCTTTTATGGTGTAGCTGCACCACAGATGAGGGAGAGAAAGTAGAGGGAGGACACACAGTATATTTGTCCACCTCAGCCCACCACTTCCACTCATATCCCATTGGCCAGACTAGTCACATGGCCATTCCAAGTGCAAAGGACGCTGGGAAATGCAGAGAAACTCAAGGCTACTGATAAGCATAGAGTCACAGCTGCAATCATCATCTTCCTCATCATACAGTGGAAGAAACAGAGGTTCAGAGGAATGGAGACACGGCTCAAGTCCTTTTAGCTACTGTGTGTAAGAGACGAGTTCAACCTCAGATCTGTCTGCAGCATAGAACCAGCCCTTAACCATTACTTGCTCACATGTGACATTCTGTGCGCTCAAAAGTTAGGCCACAGCGGGGCGCAGTGGCTCACGCCTATAATCCCAGCACTTTGGGAGGCCAAGGTGGGAGGATCGCTTGAGCCCAGGGTTCTGAGATCAGCCTGGGCAACATAGTGAGACCTCGTCTCTACCAAATAATGCTAAAGATAATAAAAGTAAAAATAAAAAGTTAGGCCACCTCAGAGAGTGAAGCCTAGGACCTTGCTGCATGGCGAGAAGGACTCCACCCTGGGATGGGACATTTCCTCTGGACGATCCCCCAGCAGATAATCCACGAAGAGCTAATCAGGAGTTGGCTGGGTCTTGCATTTTACTATCTATTTGCTTAGTCCTGCCAGAATCCATTTATTTATAAGCATCTAAATGATGACATGAGGCAGATGTTACGTGCTGATTTTCCCCTCCAGACTGGTGCAAGAGGGGAAATGAAATCTATTTTTTTAAATGAGCACCAGATGAAGCTTGAACAAAACCAATACCTCTTGCCGGACAAGCAGCTCTCTAAGCTTCCCACAGACACTCTCAGAGTGTCATTTCTGGGGTTTATTTGGTAGTTGTTTACTGTCTGGGAAGAAATACTGCTCCTTCCTGGATACATCTCTCCTCTCCTCCTCCTACAACCTTCCCCCAACAGTGTTAGCCCTTTGACCTTGTAGTTTAAAATTGTAATAAAAAATTTCCCCTTGACCCGCCATTGCTTTGCCAGGAACCAATCCAGAGTCAACGCCCTCTTTCCAAACCCCACCATTCTCCTTGCCTGTTCCTCATCTTCTAGCGTCAGCATCTCCACACTGAGACAATTGCAATTACAAGTCAATTCTCAATTATTCAGGGCTGATTATTCAGGGAGTGGATTGCTCAGGCTTTCTGCTTCCCCCTCCCTCTGTGGGCTTCGTTCTACTCATTAGCAGCTCCACCAGCAGACAAAAAAGGAAAAGAAAAGTTTGCTGAACTCCCATCCCTCAAAACCACTGGCTGGTTAGCCATTTCTGTTTGGCCAGGGAGGCGACTGGGATCCTGGACTTTATCTGTCCATGCTGCTTTCTTCCCCAATTCACATAGATAGTGCAGAATTGCCATCATTTTTCCAGGAAAGGGAGGAGAGGTACAGCCAACGCCAGCCTGGGTCTTTCAACCCCAGGGCTGCTCCCACCAGCCTGTGACGTCTGTGTGCTTGACAACAGCGTGTGCCCACGTGGAAGTGTATGCGTGAGTATGCACAAGACACACAGTGTTGTCAGCTACAGCGTACAGCTTGATGGCAGGGGCTGTCTCTTTACAGCATGAAATATGTCAAGGGACCATTGTGTGATGGCACATCTAATAAATACAATGAATTTTCAAAAACAAATCAGAGAGAGGCAGACGAAAGGCAATTCACCCACACGTGAAATCGTCTCCTCCACCAGCTTACCCAAAACAGGGCTTGTTTTTAGACCAGAGGCCCTCTCCCAGGTCAAAGCCTCTGATCTTGGGGGATGTGAATCATAGTCCCTTACTGAAGGGCTGTAGGACAAATGGGGTTCCTCCTGGAAAGATCATTTTGTGGCCCTCTAGAGAAAGAACAGACACTGGCCCAGTGGATAGAGTATGTATCAGCCCAGAAGGGGGCCCAAGGTTGGCCCAGGCAGAACTGAGTCACCTCTGCTACGATCACCACTCCGTGCAGCCTGGCAGCCTGGTCTCCACCCGCTGCTTGGCAACCTTCAAATTATCATCTACAAGGGCAGAGCAGCCTATGTATAGGCAAGAATGGGGTTCCTGTGTGGGAAGAACGAGATGGGCTTTTAACTCTCTTCCAGCAAACCTGGCCAAACTCCTGGCAGTCTAACTCTGGGCCATCTTGCCTCATTTTTGCATTCAATCAACAAATACTCATTAAGCACCTACTACGCGCCAGGCTGTGTTGGAAGCACTGAGGATTCAGTGGTGCGCAAGATGTGATGTTTTCATTCCAGCAGGAGAAACAGATGTAAACAAGTCAACAAATAAATAAACAACAGATGGTGATATGTGCCCTGAATAAAATAAAACAGGATGCTGTGATGGAATAACAGGGTGAGCGAGGCTTCTCTGATGGGCTGACCAGGGCCTTTTCTACAAGAGAGAACACTTCCAGCTCAAACCTGATGACGACAAGCTGGCCATGTAAAGATCCAGGGGGTGGCCACACACTGTGGCTCACGCCTATAATCTCAGCACTATGGGAGACCAACACGAGAGGACCACTTGAGCCCAGGAGTTCAAGACTAGCCTGGGCAACGTGGCAAGATCCCATCTCTACAAAAATGTTAAAAATTAGCCAAGCATGATGACATATGCCTGTAGTCCCAGCTACTCAGGAGGCTAAGGCAGGGGGATGGCTTGAGCCCAGGAGGTGGGGGCTGGAGTGAGCTGTATTTGCAGTGTACCACTGCACTCTAGCCTGTGACAGAGCAAGATCATGTCTCAAAACAAATTAAAAAGAAAAAAAGAGGCCAGGCGCGGTGGCTCACGCCTGTAATCCCAGCATTTTGGGAGGCCGAGGCGGGAGGACCAGAAGGTCAGGAGATCAAGACCATCCTGGCTAACACGGTGAAACCCCGTCTCTACTAAAAATACAAAAAAAAAAAAATTAGCCAGGAGTGGTGGCGGGCGCCTGTAGTCCCAGCTACTCGGGAGGCTGAGGCAGGAGAATGGCATGAACCTGGGAGGCGGAGCTTGCAGTGAGCCCAGATGCACCACTGCACTCCAGCCTGGGTGACAGAGCGAGACTCCGTCTCAGAAAAAAAAGAAAGAAAGAAAGAAAAACAAAAAAAGATCCAGGGGGAGAGCATCCCAGGCAAAAGGCACAGCAAGTCCAAAAGCCCTGGGGCAGGAATGAACTTGGAGTGCTGGAGAAACAGCAAAGAGGCTGTTGTGAGCGAGTCCTGGGACAATGGGAGAGGCCAGGGCCAGATTGCTCAGCCTCGTGCTGGGGCAGCCTTAAGGAGAAATGCTGCAGCTCTGGGAAGCCACTGAGGGCACCAAGCAGACGAGCACTGTGATCTGATTTGCATTCTTAAAAGCGCTATCTGGAGGCTGAGCGGCTGCAAAAGACAGAACCCACTCACAGGAGCTTGAGAATGGATGCTTGTTAACACAGAAGGATACACGGGCATCTCGCTGAACCCAGCAGCAGGGACTGCAGGGGACGGGAGCCATGGGAGCTGGGCAACCTCTCTCTGGCTGTCTCAGCCCCTCTCTGCTCCTCTGAACACATGCCTGCCTCCCTCAAACATTCCACCCCTTGTCCCTGTGACCAGCCCTACAGAAGCCAACCCACCTCCCAGAGTCCTCCAAACTCCCAGGACAGAGGAGCCAATTGGCCCAGCTCAGGTCACATGTCCAGCTCTAGTGGCCAATCAGCATGGCCGGGTAAATCATGGCCTTGCAGGAAAACGTGGTTGCCAGCATGGCCGTGACTGATGTTGGGGAAGCTCCCAGAGGAGAAGAACTGGGCCGGCCAGGTCTCTCCAAAGTGTCCGTTCCCCAGTGTTTCCCAGAATTCCCCCTGGCAGCCTTCCCTGATTTCCTCCATCCTGTCTCCATCTCAATCCCCACCCCCAACCCAACCAGGGGCCAGGGCTGGCCAGACCACAGGGTTCCTCGGACCTTAGGGAGTTGGGAGTTTCCCACTCAGGGCAACATGGACCCCAGAAGCAGGGGCAACAAAGGGAAAAAGTCAAACCCAGAAAGATGGAGGCTGGGATTTGGAGGGCAGGAAGACTGCTCTGAAAAGCTTGAAGCCAGGAACCAGGAGCAGAAAAAGAAGAGTCAGTGTGGCAGGATGACACGGGCGGCACAGCTGCTGGTGCCCACTGTGAGTGTCACGCACCAGCCAGGCCTGCTGGGGCTGCTGGGCTGACGGCCACTCAGCCCGAGGCGCCTGTGTGCACAGCAGGGTGGAGGGGGCAGGAGAGAGCCCACAGGGTGGTGAGTGGGGGCTGAGTTTGGCTCCTCCTGCAGCTCAGAGGCCTCCGCTCTCAGAGAGGGTAGCTCTCTGCCCACTCTCCTCAGTGCTGGCTGCTCCCTTGCCGCCAAGGCCCCAAGAACAGCCGGTGTGGGCATCCAGGGATGCTGGCATCTGGGCCTTGGTCTATCCACAGTTTAATTGCAAAGGGGTGTCCTGGGAGGAACAGTGGCTGGAGGGGGATGAGGGAGCTGAGAGGAAGGAGGTGAGGGACTTCCTGTCTCAATAGGAGCTGAGGGCCAGAAGGAGAGAAGGACGGAAATCCAGAGAGCCAGAAGCAGTGGGAGAGAGAAGGGGAGAGTGAGTGAGGAAAAAAAAAAAAAAAGGAGGCCGGGCAGGGTAGCTTACACTTATAATCCTAGGGCTTTGGGAGGCCAAGGCAGGAGGGTTGCTTGAGGTCATGAGTTTGAGACCAGCCAGGGCAACAGAATAGAATGAGACCCCATCTCTACAAAAAACAAAAATTTACCAAGCAAAGTGGTGCGTGCCTGTAATCCCAACTACTCAGTAGGCTGGGGCAGGAAGTTTGCTTAAACCCAGGAGGTGGAAGCCGCAGTGAGCTATGATTGCGCCCCTGCTCTCCAACCTGGGCAACAGAGCAAGACCCTGTCTCAAAATAAATAAACAAATAAAAGATAGAGAAAAAAAAATCAGAACAGAGTAAATCAGAGACAAAGAGACCAAAATGGAGAGAGTTGGAGACAGACGTGACAACAAAAACAGCCAGAGAGCCAAAGACTGACGACTGCCTGGGCTCGAACCCAGCTGCCACAACTAATGACAAGTTACACTTATTAGTCTGCTAGGACTGCCATAAAAAGCACCACAAATAGGTGGCCTGAACACCAGACAGTTCCTATCTCACAGCTCTGAAGGCTGGAGGGCCAAAATTAAGAGGTTGGTAGGGCTGATTCCTTCTGAGGGCTGTGGGGGAAGGATCTGTTTCCGGCCTCTCTCCTTTTTTTTGAGATGGAGTTTTGCTCTTGTTGCCCAGGCTGGAGTGCAATGGTGCGATCTCAGCTCACCGCAACCTCCACCTCCTGGGTTCAAGCGATTCTCCTGCCTCAGCCTCCCAAGTAGCTGGGATTACAGGCATGCACCACCATGCCCAGCTAATTCTGTATTTTTAGTAGAGACAGGGGTTTCACCATGTTGGTCAGCTTGGTCTCGAATTCCTGACCTCAAGTGATCTGCCCTCCTCCGCCTCCCAAAGTGGTGGGATTACAGCCCAGCCTGTCTCCCTGACTTGTAGATGCCACCTTCCCATCCACATGGCATTCTCCCTGTAAGGGTTTGTATTTCTGCATTTCCCCATTTTAGGAGGACATACTCCATATTGGATTAGGGCTCACCCAAAGGGCTTCATTTTAACTTGATTTATGTCTATAAAAACGTTCGCTCCAAATAAGGTCACATTCTGAGGTACTGGGGGTTAGGAGTTCAACGTATGAATGGTGGGGGGGGAGGGGCATAATTCAACCTGTCACATCCCTTAACCTCTCTGTGCCTCAGTTTCCTCTGTGCCTCAGTTTCCTATTCCTAAAATAGGCATAATAATAGTACCTTCCTCAGAGGTGATTCTGAGGAGCCAGGCATAGAGACCGGCAGAATAAAGGCTTAATAAGTATTAATTACATTGTCATTGTTTTGTTATTATTGGGTGCATTTCGGCAGAATAACAGCCCCCTAAAACGTCCACGCTTTAATCTTTGGAAGCTGTAAATATGTTACTTTACAAAACAGAAGGGACTTTGCAGGTGTAATTAAGGTTGTAGCCCCTGAAATGGGGAGATGATCCGTTATCCAAGTTGACCCAATGTCATCATGAGCCCATAATAGCAGAGAACCTTCCCCAGCTGCAGGAAGAGAGGGAGAAGCCAGGTGAGAAAAATTCAGCCCGCTGTTGCTGGCTCTGAAGATGGAGAAGACGGGGTGGGGGGTCCCCAGCCAAGGAACAGGGTGACCTCTAGAAGCCAAGAACAGCCCTTCGTTTGCAGCCAGCAAGAAAGCAGGGACCTCTGTCCTACCATCTGTAGGAACTGAATTCTGCCAACAATCAGAATAAGCAAAAAATGCATTCACCCCTAGAGCCTCCGGAACAAGGCACAGCCTGCCAACACCTTGATTGTATTTTATTTATTTATTTATTTATTTATTTATTTAAGACAGAGTCTCGCTCTGTCACCCAGGCTAGAGTGCAGAGGTGTGATCTCGGCTCACTGCAACCTCTGCCTCCCGGGTTCAAGGGATTCTTGTGCCTCAGCCTCCCGAGTGACTGTGACTACAGGCACACACCACCATGCCTGGCTAATTTTTGTATTTTTAGTAGAGATGGGGTTTCACCATGTTGGCCAGGCTGGTCTTGAACTCCTTGCCTCAAGTGATCTGCCCACCTCGGCCTCCCAAAGTGCTGGGATTACAGGCATGAGCCACCGCGCCTGCCCCATGTCACCTTGATTTTAGGTGGGTGAGACTGTCCTGGATTCCGGCCTGCAGAACTGTAAGATAATACATGTATGCTGTTTTAAGCCACTAAGTTTGTGGGGTCATTTATTACAGCACCCACAGAAAACTAATACATTCTGAAAATGCCAGGCAAATGGGAGTGGGTGATCTGGTCAACCAAGCCCTCCGGTGGGAGACCAGGTGGACACCAGTGCACCCTAGGGGTAGTGAGCCACCCTAGCAACCATGGAGAGGCCGGCCCACCTGGAGGACCCCTCGGGAACAGGAGTGGGACCCACACACTGGCCTTTGCAGCTGGCACAGCATCTAAAAGCAGACAAAAAAAGCCAGGGGTTATCTGCGCCTGGTCAGGGAGACACTGAGAGCCCCCAGGGAGATAAGGGAGCCCCAGGCTCCACCCATAGGCCCCTCCACCACTCCAGAGGGGACCCTGACTGTCAGAGACTGAGTAATGCCCCCACCACGAAGTCCACGTCCTAATCCTCGGAATCTGTGATATCTTACTTTACCTGGCAAAAGGGACTCTGCTGGGTGATGAAGATAAGGATCGAGAGCTGGGGAGATTAGCCAGGATTATCCAGGTGGGTCCGAAGTAATCACCAGGGTCCATATAAGAGAGAAGCCAGAGAATCAAAAAAAGATGATATGATGGTACAAAACCAAAGGTTAGAGTGACGGGCTTTGAAGATGCAGGAGATACCAGACAAGGAGTATAACCGGCATCTAGAGACTGGAAAAGGCAAGGAAACCTCCTCCCTGAAGCCCCCAGGAGTGCAGCCCTGTGGATGCCTTCATTTTAGACTCCTGTCCTCCAGAACTGTGGGAGAATAAATGTGCATGTGTGTGTGGTTGGTTGGTTGGTTGGTTGGTTGGTTGGTTGGTTGGTGGTTGGTTGGTTTTGAGACAGGATCTTGCTCTGTCACCCAGGCTGGAGTGCAGCGGTGCCATCACAGGTCACTGCCACCTCAATCCCCCAGGCTCAGGTGATCCTGCCACCTCAACCTCCTGAGTATCTGGGACCACAGGTGTGCACCACCACACCCAGCTAATTTTTTTAAATTATCTGTAGAGATGGGGGTCCTCCTATGTTGCCCAGGCTGGTCTCAAACTCCTGGGCTCAAGTGATCCACCCACTTCAGCCTCCCAAAGTGCTGGGATGACAGGCTTGAGCCACCATGCCCAGCCTAAATTTGTGTTGTTTTAAGCCACTGAGTTTGTGGTAATCTGAGGACCCTGGTGTATGGCAGATGCAATTGACAGCAATAACAACTTAAGCATACCCTGTATGGCAGACACACCTGACTTAAGAAATGAGGATTGCCAGACCAAGGGTGTTAAGTGAAAGTACTATAGAAACTGCACGCATTTTACGAGCCGTTGTTCTTCTGTCCAGCCCATCGCCACTGGAGCACCCTGTAGGTAAGTTCCCCCAAATAAACTGTATGGTTTTTGTTTGTTTTTGTTTTTTTAGAGATTGAGTCTCTTGTCACCCAGGCTGGAGTGCAGTGGCATGATCTCCGCTCACTGCAACCTCCGCCTTCTGGGTTCAAGTGATTCTCCTGCCTCAGCCTCCCGAGTAGCTGGGACTACAGGTGTGCACCACCACACACGGCTAATTTTTGTATTTTTGGTAGAGACAGGGTTTCACCATGTTGGCCAGGCTGGTCTCGAATTCCTGACCTCAGGTGATCCACCCGCCTCGGCCTCCCAAAGTGTTGGGATTACAGGCATAAGCCACCACGCCTGGCAAAACTCTATGTTTAGTTTGCTGGCTCCAGGTCTCTTCCTTGGCCTCTTGAACCTTGTGCCATCCCTCCTGAAGTTAAGAGGGGTCCAGCATGACACCTGGCCAAGGCTGCCTCCATCATCAGCCACTGCTGCCCCTTGTCCAGACCATTGCAGCAGCCTCCTCATGGCCTCCCTGCCTCCCCTCTCACTCCCTTCCATCTGTTCCAACCCAGGCACCAGGGAGGTCTTCTAGAAAAGTACGTCAGATTGCATCACCTCCCTTCCTGCCCACCAAGGACTTCTCATCACACTTAGAATGAAACCGAAGTCCTCACGGTGGCCGGCAGGGCCCTAGCCCAGTGGCTCTTGGCCCTCACTGCACATTTGAGTTACCTGAGGGGCTTTTAGAAAGAAGCAATGTCCAGAAAGTGGGGTGCAGTTGTCAGAACTTTTTTGTTTGTTTGTTTTGAGACAGAGTCTCGATTTGTCACCCAGGCTGGAGTACAGTGGCGGGATTTCGGACCACTGCAACCTCTGCCTCCCAGGTTAAAGCAATTCTCCTGCCTCAGCCTCCAGAGTAGCTGGGATTACAGTTACCCGCCACCACGCCTGGCTAATTTTTGTATTTTTAGTAGAGACAGGGTTTCGTCATGTTGGCCAGTCTGGTCTTGAAATCCTGACCTCAAGTGATCCGCCCGCCTTGGCCTCCCGAAGTACTGGGATTACAGGAGTAAGCCACGGTGCTTGGCCACATCAGTACTGTTTTAACTGCCCAGTTCTGAGCGCAGGTGCCCCATATGAGATGCCTGTTCTCCTCCCTGCTCTTTCCCCGACCTTCTCCCTCAATCATTGTGCTCCAGACCCTGTGGCTTCCTCGCAGCTCCCTGCACACACCAAACACTGTCCAGGCTCAGACATTGCACCTGCTTGCTCTGTCACCCCAGATACCTTTGGAGCTTGTGCCCTCAAAGTGGCCTTCCTGACCCCCCATTATAAAATAGCACCCCTGCCCCCCCTGCATGCCCTTACCCCAGACCCTGATGGATTTGTCTCAGTGACACTCAGCCTGCCTGTGGGAACACATGCATTTGTGTGTGTGCTCACCTGATTCCTCACTGGACCATCAGTTCCACGAGGGCAGAGTCCCTGTATCACTCACCACTGATTACCGAGTATCTGGTGCCTAGCACAGGGCGCGGGCTCATTACCTATTTGGTGAATGAGTAAATGCGTGCTGTGTCATTACCCCCGTCTCTGGCCCTACCAGGCAAGGCTCACCATGGAAGCAAACTCAGGACCAAACTCCAGCAAACAGGCTTCCATGAGGCAGGGATGCAGTGGAAACGGCACTGGCCTTGGGTCGGCAAGCCTAGAACGGAGTCCCACAGTGGGTGACCCTGAGGGAGTCACTGCCTCTCTCTGAGTCTCAGTTTCCTCATCTGTAAAATGGGGATTATGACTTAACTGCTTCAGCCCACTTCACAGCTGTTAGCCACATAACAAGTGAAGAAACTGTCTTATCTTAGCTGCTGGCACCAGAATTCCTCTTGAGGACAGAAATGACTTTGTGGAGAAAAATGTTTTGACAAGAGCTTCAGTGCAGAAGGCAAGTGCCCCAATGTCCTCATGCACACACACACACCCGCAAAACACACACACACGCTTGCAAGGTTGTATATCGGCGCCAACAGGAAAGGCTTCAGGGGAGAGGGAAGCGGCTTTGCACGCGTGAGGAAGAGACACCGGGAACTCCTTGGGAAATCAGGTAGAAGGAAGAGGGGCCAGGAGGATGCCAGATGCACCGTGTCACCTGCACTGTGCAATGGAACCTCCCACGGATCTTCAGTAAAGTCAGCAAAATCCTCAGACGCTCTTTGAGAGGGATTTGTCTCTATGGAAACCCAAGAAGGGGCAGCATCTTATCTTGACACTACCCCATTCAGGAGGGAGTCAACCACCAGAAACCCAGACCCCAAATGCAGAGGCAGGTTAGGGTTAGCGGAAGGCTTGGACCCTAGAGACAGCATGCACTGTGGGGGGATTTTGCTAAAAGGTACCTAGTCCCCAAGGGGGACACAGAGGCCCCCTCTGATTGCTGCAGGTCAGAAAGAAAATATTGGATTGGACTAATACGGGAGAGCTATTTGCAGACCAAAAAAGTGCTGTTCAATCTGGAGGTGCCACCGTGCCAAGGCCATTTCCAGCCTGCAGGGACCTTCAATCTCCATGAGACCTGCACCCACTGGAAGCAAACTTCTTTGCTCCCCAGCTCCAGTAAACTCATTCACATCTGCCTCTGACAGGAGAAGCCATCCATCCCTCCTCCTGCCTGATGGAGTCTCCGTGATGGAAGCCAGGGGTCAGGAATAATGGATAAAGATGGCACCAAACATCCCTCCACCGGAAATCATTCCTTGGCAACTGGTGCCCAGCAGGAGTGGGGAGCGTGTCATCTAGAACTCCCACAGGACGGTGATTGCAAAATTCAAATGCAGCCGCCCGCAACTGCCTCTGACAGGAAGTTTGATCAGCATCCTGAGTTACATGATGTCTCCCCTGTGCCAGCCTCAGCCTTTTCTAGGGTGGTCAAGCAGGCCTGGGAGCCTGAGGGTAGAGCTGAGGAGGGGCTCTGATGGGTCGTCGGGGCTCTGCCGGGCAGGCTGCACTCCTTGGATGCCCCTAAGAGCTCCCAGGAGAATGAAAGGCAGCCCTGTACACACGCCCAGATGGCTGTTTAGAAAAGAACCTCACCCTGATTTCCAACAAGGTTTCCCCTGGAGAGTCTACGAGTTTTAGAGGCAGAGGCAGTTGTTGGAACTGTGTTCACCAGGATGAAGGAAGAAAGGAAGGGATGTTCTCAGCAAAGAGCCTGGGCCTGGCCTGGTCCTTGCCAGTCCTGCCTCATGACAGCCGCCACTGCCCGAGAGAGCCTCCCAGCCCAGCCGCCTGCAGGGCATCCTCCGCCCTGGGTTGGGGGCTGTGAGCTCACATGCTTTGGGGACTACAGGGTCATGAAACTGAGCAAAGGGGCTGGTGTAAGAGGATTGAGCAATGGACACACTGCCTCGGCGGTCAGGGACAAAAGGGAGTGTGAGGACCGTGATGAACTGGAGCACATGGGCCCATCCGAAAGAGGCAGACATGGTCCAGATCGAGTCAGTCGTGGCCATGTGTGGCCCAGTCCTGCTAGATCCTTCCTGTCGTCCAAGAGAAGTCAGAACCCTGGTTTTTGGGTGGAATCACCTGATGTTTCAAGTTTGAAGTGAGAGAGACTGCTCTTTGGCCCCAATGTCCATCTGCCTCCTCCTTCTGTGCCTTCACGGCCATCGAGGACCATGTGGACCAGGGCAGTGCCTTGGGATGGTAGAGCAACTGTCTAGAGGGATTCTGGGCCCCTGAAGTAGAGCTGAGATGCCTGATTCGTTCAGACTTTCATGTGACAGAGGACAGAAAGCTTCTATTTCGCTTAAGCCGCTATAATTTTGGGTATTTGGCTCAGCAGTTGGACTTAACTCCTAACTAATGCAGTTTGCCACGGATTCCATTTTCAGATTCCCAGTGAGCACAGCCAACTCTGCCAGCCAGCAGCCGTCAGCTTGCAACCCTGACCTAGGGTGACATTCTAAACAGAACCCACCAGATCATGTCACTCCCCTGCTTACGAACTCTGAGAGTTCCCCTCAGCTCAACTAAGTCCAAACTCCCTGACACCCCCAAGCAGGAGCTTCACAACCAGCTCTGCTCTGGTCTCAGATTTCATACTCCCACGCAGTCGCTACAGCTGCTCCAAATGCCCCACGGTTTCTGAGCCCCCAAGGTCACTGCTTCCTCCAGGCAGCCACCCCTCCCCTAGGCTGAGTCAGTCACGCCCCCCTCTGCCCTCCCACCACCCCTTAAACACAGCCTATTAATACCCTGTTATGGCACACATCATGTGGTATTCTAATTGCATTAGCCTGTGAAAGCAGCAGCTCTGGAGGCAGCCCAAAATCCCAATGCTGAAACTCACTTGCTGTGTGATCTTAGGCCAGTCACTCAACCTCTCTGAGCCTCCATTTTCTCATCCGTGGTGAACCGGTGACAATATTGATTAAATATTTAACATGTGTAGACAGAATGTCTATTGGGCCAGGCAGTCTGCTAGGCACTGAACACACAAAACTGTACCTGTCATCATAGAGCTTACAAACTTAGAGTGCAGATTGACCTGAAATGAAATTTTATACAAAAAAAAAAGATACTTCTGGCTGGGCATGGTGGCTCATGCCTGTAATCCCAGTGCTTTGGGAAGCCAAGATAGAAGGATCACTCAAGGCCAAGAGTTCCAGGCCAGCCTCAGCTACACAGCAAGACCGTGTCTCTATGAAAAAATTTTTAAAATAAATTAAAATTATCGAGGGTGGCAGCATGCATCTGTAGTCCCAGCTACTCGGGAAGCTGAGGTGGGAGGATCACTTGAGCCCAAGAGTTCAAGGCTGCAGTGAGTTATGATCATGCCACTGTACTCCAGCCTGGGCAACAGAGCAAGAACTCTCAAAAAAAAAAAAAAAAGTTACTTCAATGCAATTTATAAAACTTACAAGTGCCCAGGTGCAGTGGCTCACACCTGTAATCCCATCACTTTGGGAGGCCGAGGCGGGTGGATCACCTGAGGTCAGGAGTTCGAGACCAGCCTGACCAATATGGTGAAACCCTCTCTCTACTAAATACAAAAAATTAGCCGTGCATGGTGGCATATGCCTGTAATCCCAGTTACTTGGGAGGCCGAGGCAAGAGAATCGCTTGAACCCAGGAGGTGGAGGTTGCAGTGAGCTTTCACCATTGCACTCCAGCCTGGGCCACAAGAGCAAAACTCTGACTCAAAAAAAAAAAAAACTTACAAGGGAGAAATATAATACACATGTGGATAATGGAGAGAGCCAACCTAGTCTGGGAGAGGTAACATTTATGGAGAGTTATACAGTAGGAGCCAGCTAGGCAAGTGAGGAGAGCTGGCGAGCAGAGGGAGGTGGGCGTCAGGAGGAAGAGATGGCATGTGCCCCTGCCACAGGAAGAGAATCTCCTTTTCCAGAAACCCAAAGAGATCATGACTATAATGTTTGGGGGTGGAGCAACTATGCTTTGGGTCTTCAGGGCCCAGAACAGTGCTTGGCAGGGAAATGTTACTAGACCCTGTTGCCCACCACTCTCTGATTTGGTGACTGTACGTCCACACATGGGCTTGGCATTTTCCAAGCACTGACCACGTGCCAGGTGCCACACAGGACATGAAGGAAGATGCGAAGATGGACCAGCCCTGGATCCTGCTCTCTCAGCATTTCATCTCCCACAGCATGGGGACCCCAAGCGCCACGTTAAGGCATCAAGGTTTGTATAATAGCAAACACTAGCGATTGTACACCAAAGCTGGTTTCTCTTCTTCCATGGCATTGCAGACACCCAGGCCTCCCAGACAGGAGGCATGGCCATGCAAAGCTCTTGCCAATGGCTTGTGAATGGACAGTCCGTGTCAGGGTGAAGACATCAGGCATCTCCTGCCTTCCTATGTGGCTCACTTCAGCCACACTGACAACGACCAGGGTGCCCTAGGGCATACAGAGCAATGACTTGGAAGGAGCCTGGCTCCTGGAATGACTGGCAGGGGCAGAGCTGCCCCACCAACCAGGACTACGACCTAAGAGAGAAACAGCTGCCCTGTTCTTCAAGCCTCCATATTGCAGGATCTCTTTGTTACAGCAGCATAGCCTTACCCTGACTCATCTAGAGCCTGAGAAAGGGACAGGGACCTAGGAGTTTGGAGGAGGAAGTGGCCATTTTGTGCTGCAAGAATCAAGGAAGACTTCCTGGAGGAAGATGACATTTGCACTAAGCTGAAAGGAAGTATGTATTCTGAATAAATAAAGGTGTATCCATGGGAGGACATACTAATAAACAGTTATTGAAGAGCACGAGGCAGATCCACACGTGCAGACACGGGAACATGCCTCAGTTATGTTGTCATGGGGAGAAAGCAGAGAGTAGAACTGTACCTCTCTGCTTCCATCTCTTTACATAGGTATGCGGTTGATAATAGAGAAAACAACTGGAAAAATACAGACTAAACTGAAGAGTGGGGATAAGCACACGGAAAGGGGAGTCATTTTCTTAATTTTCATTTTTTTAAGAGACAGGGTCTCGCTCTGTCACCCACGCTGGAGTGCAGTAGGGCAATCAAAGCTCTCTGTAACCTCCAACTCCTGGGATCCAACAATCCTCTCATCTCAGCCTCCCAAGTAGCTGGGACTACAGGCACGCTATTTTTTTTTTTTTTTTTTTTTTTTGGTAGGGACGGGGTCTCACTATGTTGTCTAGGCTGGTCTTGAACTCCTAGGCTCAGGCAATCCTCCCACCTCAGCCTTCCAAAGTGCTGGGATTACAGGCATTAACCACCGTGCCAGCCTCATTTGTCCCACTGGGCTGTTATATCTTTTGGCAATGAATACCTATTTGGTATAATAAACCTTTCTTGCATTTCTAAAGCAAGTGAGAAATATGCTTGTCTTGTCCTCTCGGGAAAGGAGCTGCTCTCAGTACTAACCTGGCCCCTGCCCTGCCCCAGCCAGGTTGTGAGCTTTGAGAGGAGGCACTGGTGTAACTACTAGTCCTTGCAGTCCCATGTGGCTGGGACAGAGTCCACTGTTGAAGCTTTTGAAATCAATTTCCAGTTGGTTACATCTGAGCTCAGTGGTTTCCCAGAGACAAAAGTCTTAAAGGCAGAGAGTGCCTTCTTTGCCTGGGCAAGGAACCAGGAAATTTGACCTCCTTGGGCCAAAACATGGCTAAACAATGAGGGTCTGGGCAACACCATATCTAATGTGGGATGGGGCTGGGCACAGCGGCTCACGCCTGTGATCCCAGCACTTTGGGAGGCTGAGGCAGAAGGATCGCTTGACGCCAGGAGTTTGGGACCAGCCTGGGCAACATAGCAAGACCCCTGTCTACAAAAAAATTTTTTTAATTAGCCAGCTGTGTCGGTGCATGGCTGTAGTCCCAGCTACTCAAAAGGCTGAGGTGGAAGGATCACTTCAGCCCAGGAATTCAAGGCTGCAGCCAGCAGAGATCACACCACTGAACTCTGGCCTGGATGACAGAGCAAGACCCTGTCTCAAAAAATAAAGGACCATGGATTTGGTCCCTGGGCTGTAGCTTGCCAAACCCCATTGTAGAACATCAGTGCTGAAAGACTCTTAGAGGACACAGTCTATCCTGCTATAAGGCAGGCTCCTTTGACCCAGGTTACCTCATTCATGATTAGTATGTAAGGGAAGGATGTTGAAATAATGAGGAAAGTGTGTCCATACAAGATTTTCTCCAGCACATTAATATTTTTAAGTAGTCAGGAACAAGTACAATTAAAGAAATATCCTTATCAGGACTTGAAAAACTGAAGAAAAAAGCTGGAGTCTACAGAAGTGCCTCTGGTACCAGCTTGGTTCCAGTGGTGGCCGGATTTGTGGTTTCAAGAACCTCTCTGCTGCCACTGGGCTGTATAATCTGGGGATATGGCAAATTGAGATGAAGAAGCTACAAAGTCCTTCCCACCTCTGCTGAAACAATAGGCCAGTGGCAAAGGCTACACTTTCAATCACAGTTTTTTGTTTTTGTTTTTTTGAGATGGAGTCTTGCTCTGTCACCCAGGCTGGAGTGTAGTGGCACAGCCTCGGCTCACTGCAGCCTCCACCTCCAGGCTCAAGTGATTTTTACGTCTCAGCCTCCCCAGTAGCTGGGATTATAGGTGCATGCCACCATGCCCGGCTAATTTTTGTATTTTTAGTAGAGATGGGTTTCGCCATGTTGACCAGGCTGGTCTTGAACTCCTGACCTCAGGTGATCTGCCCACCTCAGCCTCCTAAAGTGCTGGAATTACAAGCATGAGCCACACTGCACCTGGAACCAATCATAGTTTTAATGTGGATAAAAATGATCGTGATTAGAAGCAAATGTCCTCCTGGACCTACATCTCTGAGGAGGAAGCAGATGCTGAGGGTTGAAGGCTGAAACGTTTGATTGTGTGGCTGGGTACAAATGCCCTCAAGGATTTACCCGTGCTCAGATTTTATTAAGATTGTTATTGATTTTGTTAGCTAGTTTGGAGCTTAGTGCAATCTTCCCTAGGTTCGGGGTCATCTACCCCAACTCTATTTTTCTCATAAGCCTCTTTCTTATTAGCCCACGACTTTACAGATCATGAGGTTTTATAGGAATGCATGTATGGAATGTTAGCAATAATGTCTGGAACCTTTCTCAACCCCACCAAAACACTATGCAGATGAGAACTGCTACTAAAAGTAGCTGCTGACATTTATTGAGAACTTACTGCATGTCGGCATTGTGCTAAATGACTTATTCACCCCCTCTCTGCACAATTATCTACTGGTGTCATCCCCATTTTAATAGAAGGGGAGATTGACGCTCAGAGAGGTTAAATGATCTGTCCAAGGTCCATCATCAGAGCCCTGAGAGTCCTCTCACCTCCTTCCAAATCCGCTTGCCTCCCCCACAATGTCCACAGCATGCTCATCTCCCTGCAATGTGCAACTCTGAGAATCCTAGATCTTGCCTCCGCCTTTAGGGTTGATTATACAAAACGCAGAGGCAGAGAGAACCAAGGGAGAGAGATTGGATGCTGACCTTCAGGAAAAGTTCCCACTGTCTTGTGAATCAAATCAGGTGCAGTTCTGATGTCTGAGAATATCAAATTGGTTTTTTTCTCCTTATTGGAAACTCCAAAATCAGTTGAACCCAAAGATAAAGACCAGGACTGAGATAATGGCCTTATTTCAGGACCCCAGCATCATTCTGGGGTGACTGTTTGAAGAAGTATGGATGCTGATATGTAATGACACACAGGGAAAGGCATCTTCAAAGGTCAGAGGTCAACTTGGCAGGGACAGAGGGACATTCGGAACAGAACATACCCAGGACCAAATGTCAGCGAGGACGTGGGCAACACGGACATTCAGTCACTACTGTGTGAGGATAAGTAGGTGCAACCACTTGGGAAAACTTCTTGGCGTTATCTAATGAAAGTAATACGTCTTTCCCTGTGATCCAGCAACTCCATTCAAAGGAATCCGTGCCAGAGCAACTCTTCCCTGTGGCACCCTGAGCCATGGACAAGAATGTTTAGAGCAGACGGGTTGGTGATGGCAAAAGAATGAGAGACATCTCAACTGTCTGTCAACCGCAGAAGAAATACACAACCTGCAAGAGAGCCTTATAACAAAAACTACGCAGCCGTGGAAATAACAGATGCAGTCCTGCACACATCAACATGCACAAACTCAAAAACATACCGTACAACACAGAGGGCAAAAGAAGCAACTTACAAAACAATGCGTAGAGTCTGCATGTATTTAGATGAAATTCAAGGACAGGCAAAATTAAACATCATATTGTTTAGGATTATGTGGGTGTTAAAACTATCAGGAATGGCAGAAAGTGACTCATGCAAAATTAAGGATACTGGTTAACTTTGGGGAGGGACGGGATGTGATGGGGAGGGGCACACAAGGAATGTCTAAGACTTGGTAATGTTCTAATCCTTAGGTGGTGAGTACATGGGTATTTTATTATTCTTCTTAGACTATACAGATATGTTTTAAACATTCTTTTTTATAAGTGATATATTTCACTTTTTTAATTTAGAGATTTAAAAAATAGAAAATAGCCCCAGAAATATGATAGAGCCAGCACAACAAAATTCAAGCCTTTATCGGTATTTAAGGAGCACCCAATTTTCCACTCCATACCATCAGAGAACATGTTGTTCAAACACTGCCTGTAACATTAGTAATGCAACTTTTGGCTGTAATAAAAACCTAACAGTGGCTTAAATAATAAAGGCATTCAGTTCTGTCTCATAACAAGAAGACTGGAAGTAGGTAGCTAAAGATTGATCCAGTTGCTCAACAACATTAGGAATCTAAGTCTGCAATTCTCTGAGACTTCTCCTAGAGGCACAAGATGGCTGCGGTAGCTCCAGACATCACATCCTTACCCAACCACTTCCAAATGCAGGAAATAAGGGGCATTCAGGATGGTGAGAAAGACTTCACTCATATGCCCCCACATCCTTCCATCAGGAGGAAAAATACATCCCCAAAAGCCCCCAGCAGAGTCCTGCTTACATTGCATTGGCCAGAACTGGGTCACTAAACCACTGCTTAGCTTCAAGGGAGGCTAGGAAAGTAGCTTCCCTTTTCAGTCTCCTTGTCAGGTAGACAAGGAAGAATAACAAGAAAGAAGAGGGAACGGCCATTGTGCAGGAAACCACAATGCCACCTTCCCCCCACCCCCAGGCAAGTTAGATGCATCAGTCCCACTGTTGATGTCCTGAGATCAGTCAAATAACCCAGACCCCACCTCACCTGGAAACCGGAGCCCATAACATGCCGCCCCCACATGAAGTGCTGAGACATGTCTGTTTTCTCCATAGAGGCTTGAGGGATGCTCTGAATTGCCTTTGATCCCCAAGCCCAGCTGCGACCTGCACAGAGTGAAACACTTCATGATGCCAATCAGTGGACAATTCTCAGATGAAGGAAGTCAGCAAATGCTCCCCACTGCCATGATCTGCTCGGGTGGAACTCTGGTGTGAAATGGGCCCTTCATGCTAAAGGGAGAAGCTGGTCGAGGTGTCCATGAGCCACTGTACACCCTGTGTCAGAGGCGTTTGAACCACAGCAACTTCATCTTGAATAAGGCCTGGGTAAAATAAGGCTGAGACCTACTGGGCTGCATTCCCAGGAAGTTAGGCATTCTAAGTCACAGGATGAGATGGGAGCACAAGATATCAGCACAAGATACAGGTCACAAAGACCCTGCTGATAAAACAGCATGAAGTGAAGAAGTCAGCCAAATCCCACCAAAACCAAGATGGCCACGAAAGTGACCTCTGGTCATCCTCACTGCTCATTATATGCTAATTATAATGCATTAGCATGCTAAGAGACACTCCCACCAGCGCCATGACGGTTCAAAGATGCCATGGCAATGCCCGGAAGTGACCCTATATGGTCTAAAAGGAGGAGGAACCCTCAGTTTCAGGAATTGCCCACACTTTTCCCAGAAAACTCTTGAATAAGTTTTCACGAGTAGCCATTGGAGTACTCATTCTTTGACACCTATGGAGTCACCATTCTTTTATTCCTTTACCTTCTTAATAAACTTACTTTCACTTTCTATGGCTTCACCTCAAATTCTGTCTTGCACAAGATCCAAGAACCCTCTCTTGGGGTCTGGATCAGGACACCTTTCTGGTAGCACCTGGATGCAAATTACAGGACAGCTCAAGCATCAATCGTCCAAAGGGTCACTGTAATTGTGGACCACAGCAGCAAAGCACTCAGAGAAGGGAGCAGAAATTTAGGCCACGCTAGACCACAGTCTTGCAGACAATGACTTGCTGGCACTTCTAACAGTGGCCCCAGAGACAGAGCATGTGCACTCCTGTTTGCCACAGCCCCTACCACTCCCTATTATTTCTCCATCACCAAGGTCAGGGGTCAGCTGCTGCTCTATCATCATGCTCACCTGGTTCTTCATACCCTTGGCCACTTCCCAAACTTGGGTCACCTGTCTCGCCTTGTAGGCACTAGAGTTTCAGATCCTTGGACTAAAGCACTGAAGATGGTCAAGTTTCCTGTTCTGTGTTTGAAAGTAGCAAGTCCACTCTCTCATCAATGCCTTCGTTCGCGCAGAGACATTGATGTGGCGAGTGATTGAAGTCAAAGACTCAATGCCTGTTCCCAAAGAGATCAAAATCGGCCCTACTGTCTTGCTGGGCATTGGCGACTCAGTCCACCCAGTGAAGCAGACATGCAAAATGGCTATGCAGGGTGCCGTCTTTGTGCGGTGGCTCAAACAGTTCTGGCGGCTACTCCAAAGCGCTGCTATTCATGATCATTGTTATAAGGGGTGTCATTCCAGGGAATCTGAGAACCAATCTACATTTGCAAAATTAAGCAGTAAAGTAATACCCAGAAGAATGCATGAAGGGGATGTGTCTGGCAGCATTTCTGAAACAATAACGATAACTAGTGCTCGTCTGAAGTTTACAATATGCCAACCATTGTTCTAAGTACCTTTCCATGGATTGATTCACTTAATCCTCACAAAAACTCTATAAAGTGGGTACTCTTGTCCTTATGTCAGAGGGGGTGTTGCAGCCAGCCACTGTGACCCCTGGTGAGCTTCATCTCCTGGTCTGCCTGCCCTTTTGCCGTCCTCTGTCACATTGAATCAGGGATGACTTGTGTGACCAACAACTGCAGAAGTGGCAGTGTGTGATTCCAAGGCTAGGTCACAAAAGGCATTGCAACTTCTTGCTAGGGCTTTTGGATTGCTGAATCTGGGGGAAGCCAGCTGCCATGTTGTGAGGACGCTCAAGCAGCCCCGTGGCAAGGTTCATGGGGAAAGGAGCTAACTAGCCAGCCCCAACCAGGCAGCCATGTACGTGAGGCCCCTTGGGAGGATTCTCCAGTGCCAGTCAAAAGTCTCAGATGACTGCAGCTTCAACTCACACCTACTGCAGCCTCCTGAGAGACCCCCAACCCAGAACTGCCCACCAAACTACTCCCAAATTCCTGATCTACAGAAACAGTGAAAAATAATCAGCAATTATTGCTGTTTTAAGCCACTACATTTGGGGATGATTTGTTAGGTGGTGTATTAGTCCTTTCTCACATGGCTATAAAGAGATACCGGAGACTGGGTAATTTATAAAGGAAAGAGGTTTAATCAGTTCATGGTTCTGCGGGCTATGCAGGAAGCATGAGGGGGCATCTGCTTGGCTTCTGGGGAGGCCTCAGAAAACTTACAATCATGGTGGAAGGCAGAAGGGGTGCAAGTACACAGACTTATCAGGTGGCAAGTGATAACTAATCCAGATGGTAAAACTCAGGGTTGGGGAGACAGAAGTTAAATCATTTGCCCAAGGTCACACCACTGCTAAGCAGTGGAGCCAGGATTTGAACACAGACTGTCCAATCCAGAGCAGCTGACCACTCCACTATAGTGCTCCTATGGCTACTTCCAAAAGACATTTGGTTCGTGTTCACCTGTATTCATCTCCCTCTAACTGAGTGCCTACTCTGGGCTCCAGGTTTTACCTACGTTAATGCATTCCGTCTTCCCAGGAACTCCAGCAAATAGGTCTTATTTTTTCCATTTTATTCTTTCTCTTAAAATTTAATCAGTTAAATAATGCATCAATACATTTCTCCTTTAGAAAAATTCAGATAGTAGATAAGACCCCTAAATCTCTTTAGAACTCTTCTGTCCCTACCTCTGGGCTCCTCTCCCAAACTGACCTCATCACTTTGGTGGGTACCTTTCTAACCCTTTTTTTTCCTAATCATTTACATTCATATTCATGTCCCCAAAAATACTACATAGCAGAGCAATGACTGGCATTGGTCTCACAAAATAATGTTGAGCAAGATGCCAGGATATAGCCCAGCTGGGGTTGGCACCTCTCCCCATGGGCCTCGACACGGGGCTACTTGAGCATCCTCACAGCATGGTGCCTGACTTCCCTAGAGCCAGCAATCCAAAAGACTCAGCCAGAAGTTGCAATGCCTTTTGTGACCTAGCCTGGGAAGTCACAGCAACAGAATACACTGTGATTCCGTTAATGTGAATACAAAACCAAATAGGCAAAATTATACTATATAATATGTTTAGGGTTGTAGGCTTAGGTGGCAAAATTATAAAGTGAGTCAAGGAATTGACCGTCGTAATAACACCAGGATAGTGGATACGACTCAGGGTAAAGATGGGGGTAGGAGGTACTGGTAGGACCATGAGGGGAGTTGCTGGGTGGTGGCAATATTTTATTTTTGACCTCAGAGGTGATTACATGAGGTTCAATCAGGGATAAATCATTAAATCGTAAATCATCTTTTTTTAATGCACTTTTCTGCATACATGTTTTTGTTTTTTAGGAGACAAGGTCTCACTCTGTCACCCAGGCTGGAGTACAGTGGCGTGATCACAGCTCACTGAAGCCTCAACCTCCTAGGCTCAAGTGGTCCTCCCAAGTAGCCAGGACTACAGGTACAAGCCACCACAACCAGCTAATTTTTTTTTTTTTTTGAGACAGTCTCACTCTGTTGCCCAGGCTGGAGTGCAATGCTGTGATCTCGGCTCACTGCAGGCTCCGCCTTCTGGGTTCAAGCAATTCTCGTGACTCAGCCTCCCAAGCTGGGAATACAGGCGTGCACCACCACGCCCAGCTAATTTTTGTATTTTTCTTTTTTTGTTTTTTGTTTTGTTTTGTTTTGTTTGAAACGAAGTGTCACTCTGTTGCCCAAGCTGGAGTGCAGTGGTGCAATCTCGGCTCACTGCAACCTCCAACTCCCAGGTTCAAGCGATTCTCCTGCCTCAGCCTCCCAAGTAGCTGGGACTACAGGCATGCGCCACTGTGCCTGGCTAATTTTTGTATGTTTTTTTAGTAGAGACGGGGTTTCACTATATTGGCCAGGCTGGTCTTGAACTCCTGACCTCATGATCCGCCTGCCTCAGCCTCCCAAAGTGCTGGGATTACAGATGTGAGCCACTGCACCCAGCCAACAACCAGTTAATTTTTTTGTTTGTTTTTTAATATATATAGAGAGATGAGGTCTCACTATGTTGCCTAGGCTGATCTCAAACTCCTGGCATCAAGCGATCCTCCCACTTCAGCCTCCCAAAATGCGGGGATTGTATGTATAAGCCACCACAGCTGGCCAGTATACATAATTCATAATTTTAAAAGGTTTTTGTTTAAGAAAATACAAAATATTGTTCTGTTTTTGTTTTATACTTATCATTCTATCTTTCTCTCTTCTATCTTTCTAAGCACTGCTTTTTTCACTTGCCAATAAGTCTAATCCATTTGTCTCCTATAGATTTTATCATTTCATCCTTTTTAGTGGCTGCAGCACATTCTATAGAATGAATATTCCACAATTCATTTAGCCGTCCCCCTATTAATGAACATTTTGTTTGTTCTCATTTTTCTCTATTTTGAATGAGACTGCAATGAACATTCTTGTGCACATGCGTTCATCTTGTGCACATACAAACCCAGTTGAAATTGCTGGGGCAAGGGGTATGAACATTTATGGTTCTGATACACAGTGACAAATTGTTGTCCATTGTGGTCGGGCCAGTTCCTGTCCCACCAGCATTGTGTGAAGATTCCCACATCCCTACATCCTTACCAACTTGTCTATTGTCAAAGTGTTCCTCTTTCTTTGCCATCTTGGGGAAGGAAAACAATGCATCATTATTGTCCATTTCACAGGTGAAGAAACTGAGGCTCAGTGAGCTTAAGCAATTTGCCTAAGATCACATAGCAAGAAAGTGGCATGGTGATTCACATCTGTAATCCCAGCACTTTGGGAGACCAAGGTGGGAGGATCGCTTGAGCCAAGGAGTTCAAGACCAGCTTGGGCAACATGGCAAGACCCCACCTCTACAAAACAAAAAACAAAAAAATTAGCCAGGTGTGGGGGTGCTTGCCTGTAGTCCCAGCTACTCAGGAGGCTGAGGTAGGAGGATCGCTTGAGCCAAGGAGTTGGAGGGTGCAGTGAGCCGTGATCACACCACTGCACTCTAGCCTGGATGACAGAATGAGACCCTGTCTCAAAAAATAAAGAAAAGAAAAAAAGAAAAACAGTGGCAGCAAGAGGACTTGAATTCTGAACTTCTGCCTCCAAACCCAAGATCTTGCCAAGATACGAGGTTTTGCTCCTTAACCACCACGTGCTCCTGAGATGGGCCATAAATAACCCCTTCAATGGGGCTGAGGGCAACTCGATGCCCCCAGGGTTCACAACCAGGTGAGACACATGGAGCCCAGCTCTGGGGCTGGCAGAGATTCCGGGAGGCAAGTAGCCCACCACCTCCATGGAAATCATCAGGGAGGAAATTAGCTCGAAATGGAATCGACAAGGTGCTGCCGCCAACTCCGATTGTAAATTAGATAAACTTGCATCTGACATGATGCGTTTAGAGCAGGGCCACTGCCGGGTTCTCAGCTGCTCCCAAGCAACGAGCCACTGGGAGTGAAAAATAAAACAATCTAGGAAGCTACAAAATACAATAATGAAAGATAACAGGCCCCGGAACAGCGGGAGAGAATTGCTGGGAAATTAGCTAAGGAGCAAAGGGTGGCCTTCGCTGTTGAGGGCAAGAGAGGGTGAAATACAGCAGCAAGGGCAGAAGTCGCCCTCAGAGATGTCCAGTATGAAGTGCTCCTCCCACACTTGCCAGCCAGGTGACCTTAAACAAGTTTCTGAAGCTCTCAGAGATTCTGTTTTCTTGACTGTAAAATAGGAGTCCAAACAGAACACACCTCATAGTGCTATTGTGAGGATTAAATGAGATATTGACTAGAAAGGCCCAGGGCTGCCAATGACAGCTGTTCAGGTTGTGCGTGAAGGAGGGCACTTAGCTGAGGCTGAGCAGGGCTGCATCGAGCCCATCCTCCATGCCCAGAGGGGAAGGCTTTCTTACATTTACCAAAGTTCCCTGTGTGCTGCAGCAGCCCTCAAAGTGCCCAGCACATAATAGGTGCTCAATAAATGGGAGTGTTACCATCACAGCTGTCTGATTTATTTCCCACCCGGGGGCTCAGGCCATGCTGACTGCTGCTGTGATAGGAGCTCCTGTGCAGAACCAAGAGAAAGCCCCACTCCAAGGTTCTGAAAGCCAACCTTGCAGGACTGGGAGGGATGCATCATGGCTCAGCAGTAGCCTGCATGAGAAAGGCTGGGGCTCTGGGAAGAGCAGATGAACCAAGGGTTGCCATGTCCTGCACCTGCCCAGGAGATGTGCACTGCGAGCCATGTCACCAGGAGAGTGGGTGCAGGAAAGGGAGATGAGGGAGCCACTGGGCCTGGCCAGCAGCTAGGGCCAGGAGGCTCGGGGAGCCTTAAATCTCCCCAGATGGCAACTCTGGGCAGGGGCCATGCCACCTCATCTAAGGAAGAGCAGACATAAGGGGGACATGCACCCCACCTCCAAAAGGTTGTGCTCGAACCCTACATCCAGTTTTCGTGCCTTTCCTTGTGCTGTTCTTTCTGCCTAAAATGCTCACTGCTGGATCAATTTCACCATCCTCCCAAGCCCGGCTCAACCCTCCCTGGCTCCGCAGGCCCCCAACGCTGCTGGGCCCAGGCTAGAAGGGCTGACTGTATCTTAATCATCTCTGTCACCCCTGCCTGCCCCAGCAGCAAGACATAATTGGCTTTCAATGTATGTCAGATAAATTCACGAATAAATGAGCAAGAGAGAGCCGGGCCTTTGCCTGGGACCCTGTGAAAGAGCGGGGACCCCATCCCCTGCCTGTTCTTTTATAATTGGGACTGGCAAGGTCTGAAGTCAGAACAGTGTGTTGGGACAGAAGAGGGCTGACAGTTGGGCGTGATGCTCCTGTCATCCTGATGGCCCCAGGGACTGCAACAGAAGTGAAATGTGACCCAGAGCCCAGGCAGAGAAATGCCACAGCAGGCACAGGCTAGAGGATAATGGGCTTGGGGAAGACAGCTCCTTGCTACCAGGAGAATCTCCAGAATCCTTTGGCCTTGCCAGACAACCTGCATGGCTAGGATTGCACTTCTAGCCCAGGGTCATTTTTAAAGAAATTCGTCTGATCAACACGTGGCTCTGGGTCCAAGGCTGGCCGATATTCAGGAAGCCAAACGCCCAGCTAGTCCTCGGCCCGGGTTTGCCAGAGCCCTGGGCCTGCCGTGACTTCATTACCTGCTCACCCATGTCTCTCCCCACAGACTGGGGGCACCTTGAGGGCAGGAGCTGGGTCTCGCAAGATCTTGCAGGTCCAGCACCCGGTATATCACGGGAGCTCAGTCACTGTGTGTGACTGAATGAACAGCAGCAAGCTTAAGAGGAACCAGGAGAGGAGCCCCTTGAGAAATGTCACAAGTTCTTCTACTCCAGCCTGAGTTTGCTCTTCACTGGAGTCTGATTCTGCTGCGGATCTGCCACACATCAGCGAGGGACCTCAGCTGAAGCCCAAGGTGGACTAGAGCAGGAAGCAGGATGGGACTCGGGAAGAGGATCAGGGTGTGCACGAGTCGGCTTTCGCTGCCAGAACAGAGTCCTAACCTCTCAGTGGCCCTCCATACCAGGCATTTACTTCTCATTCTTGTCGCATGAGGGAAGCAGGCTGGACGCAGCTCAGCTGGGCTCTGCTGGGCTTGGCCGGTCTTGGTTACACTGGGCCCCGTCCCTTCGCATTCTGGGACCAGGCAGAAGGAACAGCCACTGTCTGAGGCATCCCATCCTCGTGACAGGGCAGAGCCTCGCTGTGCTCAGATACTGCGTGTGTCCCATCTGCTCACAGTCAATAATCAAAGCAAGGCACACGACCAAATTCAAAGTCATCAAGAGTGGGGCCAGGCATTGTGGCTCATGCCTGTAATCCCAACACTTTGGGAGGCTGAGGTGGATGGATCACTTGAGGCCAGGAGTTCGAGACCAGCCTGGCGAACATGGTGAAACTCCATCTCTACTAAAAATACAAAAATTAGCCGGGCATGGTGGTGCACACATGTAATTCCAGCTATTCGGGAGGCTGAGGCAGAAGAATTGCTTGAACCCGGGAGATGGAGGTTGCAGTGAGTCGAAATAGCACCACTGCACTCAGAAGTGGGACAGTACACGCCCCTTCAGGGACACACAGCAGTGGTGGAGGGGGGAATTAATAATTATAAACAAAGAATACCATCTATCACAGTATGTCATTTTTCACTCTCCATCCTCTTCTCTCCCCTATTCTGGAAACATATGCCATGTGCTCTGGGCAGGCCTAACCATCCCACCAATGAAGCAGGCACATGATCTAAGCCAGCCAATCAGAGTACTCCATTCACACGCTGCAGGCCATGGTGATTGGTTCAGGAATAGACATGTGATATAAATCAGGCCAATGAGAGCCTTCCCTGAGCCTTTTCTCCAGAGTTATGGGAAAGCAGCTCTCTTCCCTCTAGGGTTGCAAGGCAGGTGGGGTTTCAGTGCAGGGCTTATGAGGGGCCACGTTAATTTCCATAGTGAGCAGCACCATACAATCTGGTAGTGAAGATAGAAATGTTCTGCACCATCCAATGCAGTGGCCACTAGTCACATGTTAAATGTGACTGGTACAAATGAGGAACTGAATTTTAAATTTTAAATGGAATAGAGTCTAAGGAATCAAAGAGCATTTGGTGATATTTTTGGGCACCTGTGTTCAGGTGAAACTGACACCACCTAGACTTTGTAGTTCACAGGAGTAGATAATTTTCTTAGACTTGCTTAAACTAGTAGGGTTTCCATCATTAGAAGTAAGAGTCTTGGCCAGGCACCGTGGCTCAAGTCTGAATCCCAGCACTTTGGGAGGACAAGGTGGGAGCATCACTTGAGCCCAGGAGTTCAAGACCAGCCTGAGCAACATAATGAGACCCTGTCTCTACAAAAATAACAAAAATTGCCAGGCATAGTCCCAGCTACTTGGGGGGCTAAGGTGGAAGGATTTCTTGAGTCTGGAGGTCAAGGCTGCAGTGAGCTGTGATTGCGCCACTGCACTCCAGCCTCAGCAACAGAGCTGACACCTAAGGCCTCAGCAGCAGCATCACCTCTATTTATTTAACCAAACTATGTGCCAGGCATTTGGCTGGTCACGTACATGTGTCATTTCGTGAGTCTTTCCTAAGCCTATCACAAGCCCAAGAGTCAGACTGCCCTGGGCCCAAATCCCACCTTCACCTACAATTGGCTGTGGGACTTTGGGCAAGCTACTGAACTTCAAGATGCCTCAATTTCCTTATCTAGCCAGTGTAGTTGATGGGCCATGAAGGCCAAGGGAGTTATTACATGAGAAGTGCCTAGACCCGTGCCAGGCAGGTAGAAAATAATCCCTCATGTTGACTATTTTTATTATTTTCATCCCGATCTTGAAGATGAATAAACCAAGCCTTGAGGAGGTCAAGTCACTTGCAAATTGACAAAAGTAAGACTTGACAAAGCCGGGATTGGAACCTAGGCCTACGATTCCCGAGTGTAAACTGTTTACCACTGCCTCATTCTGCTTGTGGCTTTTAAACTCTGTCCACAGTAACAATATAACAATAAGAATAATATTAATAAGACTTAGCACTCATTGCATGGCCAACAGTTTAAATCCTGGGCAGTTCTGCTTCAGAGTCCCAGCTTTTAACTCTCAGAGAAAGGAAATTATTCCTTATTTAATGTTCCTCCTGTCCTTCCATTAATACCAAGGAGAAAGTCTCAGCTTGGTGCTGATATGTTGTTAATGCCTCTATAGCACTTGCTAATCTCTCTTTTGAACAAAGAGAGAGCCAGCCTCAGGCTCGGGGCAGATCATACTATCTAGAGGAGACATAATATGCCCCTTCCTTAAGCCTCCAGGCTTAGGCAGGAACTGCCTCTCTTCACAGTGCTGTGGTCCCCGGCAGCCAGAAAGGCAGTGGCTAGAGATGAGGAGGCCTGGGCTTCAGGGAGCTCTCAGACGCTGCAGCAGTGACCAATAGCCAGCTAGGCTCTCCCAGCCCAGGTTTGTTTTGGAGGGTGATGCATGGCAGGGCACCAGGCGACCCACATCAGCTGATGAACAGATCCTCAACCTACGGAAAGCACCTTGCCTAACACGGGATCAGGAGCTGTATCTGAGGCCTGTTTCTGAGTACCTTCTCCACTGTGGTCAAGGTAAGGGTCCTTGAGCTGTTCCCTGCCTTCTCTGGGCCTCAGTTTCCTCATCTGAGAAACAGAGATAAGAATACCTACCCCCAAAGAAGGGTCCTAAGAAACAAATGAGAAAGTGCTGTGTAAAGAACTGAATGAATGTGAACTGTTGCCATTTTCATTATGTGAGTAGAAGTGCGTTATTTATAAGTGGAATCAGCAGCATCAAGTAAACTGCTGACACCAGACTGAGATGGGATCGTTTGTATCATTCTGAATTATCTTTGTTTTTGTGTCTGTCTGTCTCACTATGTTTTGCTCTCCAGGGCAGGGATCTTCTAGTCCATCTGGCATAGCAAAGGCATCAGCAATATTTGTTAGATGGATGGATTATGAATGATGGAAAAATGGATGGCTGAATGTGTAGATATATGGGTGCATGAAGGGATGGATGGATGGATGGATGGATGGATGGATGCATGGGTGGATGGATGGATGCATGGGTGGATGGATGGATGCACAGGTGGATGAATGGATGGGTGGGTGGATCATGGGTAGATAGATGGATGGACTGTAGATGAATGAATGGATGAGTGGTCATGGACAGATGGAAGAATGATGGATTCATGGGTGATGGATGTATAATGGATGAATTAAAGATGGATGGATGATGGATGAGCAATGAAATCCAAATGCAGCTTAGGATGCAACTCTTGCTGAGTCAGGATTTTACTCTGGTACTGGATATCAACTACACAACACTCTCAAACTACAAGGATAGCGTGTGTGTGTGTGTGCATGCACGCACATGTGGGCCGTGTGTGTTCACGCACGCACATGTGGGCAGTGTGTACAGACATGACAGGCATGCCAGCTCGTGGGATGAAACATCACAGATGGAGGGAGCTCCAACAACCCTGAAGGAAGAGGAAGAATGAATTTTCCAGGAGGGCCAGAGAAGGGCCTCTTCAGAAGGGAACTGCTTGTAAAAGGCACAGAGGCATGAAGAAGCTTTTTGAAGAAAGATAGAGAGGATGTTCTGTGGTTCTGCCTGCCAGCATCCCTCCTCCCCTTGTCTAGTAGCAGAACTTTGATTCTCCTTCGGGGAACCAGCAGCTCAGTCCGTGAGTCTCTGTTGAGGCTAACTCCAACCCCAACTCCAGAGGTGAGCGGCTGACCCAAGCCTAGCCTATCAGAGCACCACATTCCTCACACCTCAGTGGCAAGCTTAGGGATGGACCCAAGCCCAACAAATGAGAGCCCTCTGGGGACTTTTACTGGTGCCAAACTGGGTGGATATAAACCTGGAGCTGCTGGGGCCACTACATGAAGAGGACTGCCAGAGAGTGAAACCAACAAAGGATGCAGACCTCTGAGAAATAGAAAGGGAAAAAAAGAGGAGACAGACAGAAGGACAATGGGAAGTTGAGAGAGATACTGAAACCAGTTGATGTTATATGAGCACCTGGATCCAGCTGAGACTGAAGCCCCGCTACCTTTTTCTTCACATAAGCCAGTAAAAATTTGTCTTTTTGCTTGTGCTGGTTTGAGCTGGATTTTGTCACTTGCAGCCAAATAAATTTCCCAATTCATTTTTGAATCCCAATGCCCAGACCAGGAACTCGGGACCATAGGGATAGGATGGGATAGGATGGGATGGGTTAGGATGGAATGGGATGGGATGGGATGGGATGGGATGGGATGGGATGGGATGAGATAAGTTGTATTGGGATGGGTTGAGATGGGGTGGAATGGGATGGGATTGGATAGACTGGGATGGGATGGGATGGGATGGGTTGGGATAGGATGGGTTGGGACAGGATGGAACAGGTTGGGATGGGATGGGATGAGTTGTATTGAGATGGGTTAAGATGGGATGGGATGGGTTGGGATGGGTTGCGATGGAATGGGATAAGATGGGATGGGAGGGATGGGATTGGATGGGATGGTATGGGATGAATGGGGTGGAATGGGATGGGATGGATTGGTATGGGCTGAGTTGGGATGGGATGGGTTGGAATAAGATGAATTGAGATAGGTTGGGATGGGATAGGATGGAATGGGATGGGATGGGTTGAGATGGGAATGGGATGGGATGGTTTGGGATGAAATGATGGGGTGGGATGAGATGGAATAGGATGGGATGGGATGGGATGGGGTGGGATAAGATGGAATGGGATGGGATGGGATGGGGTGGGATAAGATGGAATGGGATGGGATGAGATGGAATGGGATGGGATGGGATGAGATGGGATGGGATTGGATGAGATGGGATGGGGTGGGATGAGATGGGATGGGATGGGATGAGATGGGATAGGTTGGGATGGGATGATGGGATGGGTTGGCATGGGATGATGGGATGGGATGGGAATGGAATGGAATGGGATTCAGCCTGGCTCATAATGATAACCACACCCATGCCATGCTGAGACTAGGAACATTATTATTTGCACTCACCTATTAACTTTCCCAAAGCAGGGTGTCCAAGAGCTTGAGGCTCCCTGAGGTTATGAATGGATGCACCCATTTGTTCATTAATGAGAGGCTTGAACACAAAGGTGGCCTAGAATTTTCTGCCTACTTTAAGTTCTCAGATTCTCTGTGGCAAGCTGAGAGACAGGCTCAGTTCTGACCCCAGCACACGGATAACCCTCCATAAACATCTGTTAGCTACATTAGTTAATGCCGCCTTATATAAAAGTTAACATAAATACAAGATTCACTTTCTGAATGTGCGTAGAGCTGTTTCTGACAGACGAACCTCCATGCCAGGGGCCTGAGAGCAGCCACTCCACAGAGATCACGCATTTCCTAATTCCTTGCCTTGATGGCGGAGGGGAAAAACACATGCCCTGGGGCTCCAACAAGGAATTATAACCCCACTGGAAAGGAAAATAATCTGGAAGTGGAGAAAATTAGGGCTTATAATGAAAAAGCAACCAGAATTCATTACAGCAAGATCACAGGGGAACTGTATCTCTTGGGTATTCAGGAGACACGGAAGAGAAGAGACAGCTCCGGCTCTTTTACTGGAAGGTTCCTCTCCAGTGAGCACCTCTGACTTTCAGGGCAGAAATAGCTGGAGATGCACGAACATGATGGGAAACCCAGAAAGGCTCTTTTTCTTAATTTTGGTATCCGTCAGACTTGGATTCTCACCTTAGATTAGGTAAAGCCACTGAAACAAGTAAGAAAGCCTCTAGGATCCAAATACAAGCAGCTGCACAATTTCTTTCCATTCACTACAGGCCATGTTTGCTTTTGAAAATTAGAAAATTACAAAACGAATAACAAACACGAATGACAACATGCAGAGCTGGCGTAGTGAGAGTGAGACAAATAGATTCATACGTTGATGTATGCACGACGCGCTCTTCCAGGCGTCTCAGCCCATCCTGGGGCTGGCGGCTTCTCCGTTGATGTCTCCAGCCTGATCACACTTCTGGGCTCTGAGATGTATTTTGTTCTCTCCCTGTCTACTTGACATTGCCTCTGGGCTGTCACACAGACAGAACAAACATAACCCGGCCAGGTCTGAATTTAAGATCGCTTCCTTCCCACTAAATAAACAAACAAAAACCTCTTCCCACCTCAGTCTTCTCTATCTCAGTAATGGGCACAACCATCTCTTCAGGCCAAAAATCTAGGAGTTGTCCAAAATGCCTCTTCCCCTCTCACTCCACATCCAATTTGTCAGCAGATCCTATTGGCTCTTCCTTCAAACAATATCCTGAGTCCATCCAGTTCTCTCCATCTTCCCACAAGGCCGAGGCACCATCATCTCACCTGGCCCCCCACCTGTTAACCCTTCAATATCTGCCTGCCTTCATCCATTACTCCCCAGTCCTCAATCAGAATGCACTTTTGTTAAATGTAAGCCACGTCCTGTCACCTTCCTGCTTAAACGCCCTCAAAGGCACCCCAGTGTATTTAGAATAAAGTCCAAATTTTATACTGCAGCCAATGAGGTTCTGCACACCAGGGTCCCTCTCTAGCAATCTGACCTCTCTCCTTCTACAATGGCCCCATCAGCCTCCATGGAGTACTTCAAATCTGCCCACTGCATCCTACCCCAGGGCCTTTGCACCTGCCAATCCTTCTTGCTGGACCACTTCTTCCCTCTCTTACCGTCCTCTAGGTAACTCAAGTGTCACCTCCTTGGAGAAGCCTTCTCCGACCTCACTATCTGAAGGAGATCAGCTCCCCATCTACAACCGCCAGAGTAGAACAGTGGATAGAGTGTGATGTGATGCCATTTATTTTTTAAAAATGAAATATTAACAGATGAATTCTTTAAAATGCCACCAGCGGTTGCCCCTGGGAGGGAAGTGGGTGACTGGGAATGAGATTTTTTGTACTGCCTTTGAATTTTAAACCAAGGTTCATGTTATTATTCCAAAGAACATAATTAAATCAAATAAAAAAGAAAAAAGTAAGGTAGGAAGGGGAGGAGGAAAGGAGGGGAAAGGGAGAAAGAGAGAAAGGAAAGGAGAAAAGAAAGAGAGAAAAAATACTCTTGGGGAATTCTCCTAAAGAGGTCATGCAACAAATAAATTGTTCTGTTCAAGAAAATAATCATTGTGTATTAAACTGTAAGGAAACAAAAAATTAAAATAAAATAAATGTCCAACAACCCAAGAATTACTCAGGAAATAGTGCTCTGTGGTTAAGATGCAGTAGTATGAAGCCATTAATATTGATCATTATTATGACTATGGAAATTCAGAGAAATGTTTATGGGGATAATTAATGAAAAACAGACTACAAAAGAGTATATTAAGAAGAGAAAATCGCACAGTGGAAAGCGGAAAATTGTTGAAGAGAGAAGTTCCCTAGCTCCCATCCCCTCTTCAAGGGAGTCCACAGCGCACACACACATAAATGTTGGCAATATCTCAGCCCATCTTAGAGATCAGAGACCAGACTGAGGCTCACAGGGTTCCCATGCAGGACTTGAGACTTGGGACTCATCCCATCCCATCCCAACCTATTCCATCCTGTCCCAACCCATCCTATCCCAACCCATCCCAACACATCCCATCCCATCCCATCCCAGCCTATCCCATCCCATCCCGTTCCACCCCATCTCAACCCATCCCAATGCAACTCATCTCATCCCATCCCAACCCATCCCATCCCATCCCATCCCATCCCATCCCATCCCATCCCATCCCATCCCATCCCATCCCATTCCATCCCAACCCATCCCATCCTATCCCATCCTATCCCTATGGTCCCGAGTTCCTGGTCTGGGCATTGGGATTCAAAAATGAATTGGGAAATCTATTTGGCTGCAAGCGACAAAATCCAGCTCAAACCAGCACAAGCAAAAAGACAAATTTCTACTGGCTTATGTGAAGAAAAAGGTAGCGGGGCTTCAGTCTCAGCTGGATCCAGGTGCTCATATAACATCAACTGGTTTCAGTATCTCTCTCAACTTCCCATTGTTCTTCTATCTGTCTCCTCTTTTTTTCCCTTTCTATTTCTCAGAGGTCTGCATCCTTTGTTGGACTTGTCATCCCATGGGGTGACAACACAGGCAGGGGAGAGGCCAAGGTTAGGACTCAGGGAGCGCAGAGCTGATCTGGTTTCTCAGCCTCCACACTGTGGACATTCAGGGCTGGATCATTTCCTAGTTGTAGGAGAGCCATCCTGTGCACTGTGGGATATTTAGCGGCATCCAGGGCCTCTACCCATTGGCTGCCTATAACGCCCCCACTCCAGTCATGACAAACAAAAATGTCTCCAGATATTGACAAATGTCCCTGGGGTGGAGGTGCAGGGGAATTGCCCCCAGTTGAGAACCCCTATACTAGCAAATTACTTCTCTGACTGCCAGCTTGTCCATCTGTACAATGGAGAGAGGAGTGCCTAGCACACAGACAACATCTCTACCCACCCCATGTACTCACTAATTGCAGCTGTGTTTTATTATTATTGTTATTTATAGACAGTGTCTTACTCTGTCTCCCAGGCTGGAGTGCAGTGGCATGATCATTTAACCTCAAACTCCTGGGCTCAAGCAATCCTCCCACCTCAGCCTCTTGAGTAACTGGGACTATGGCCACGCACCAGCAAACCCAGCTAATGCTGTTTTTGTTTTTGTTTTTGTTTTTGTTTTAGCGGATGGGGTCTCACTATGTTGCTCAGGCTGGTCTCAAGCAATCCTCCCACCTCAGCCTCCCAAAGTGCTGGGATTCCAGGTGTGAGCCACCACGCCTATCCTCAGCTGTATTTTTTAAAGTATTTGTACTTTAAATGGCTTTTAGAGTGCCTTTTAAATTAAAATAAAATAGGTGAGGATCTTTCTTTCATGGGAATCCCCACTGCTAGCTTTTCAGTAGCATGACTTAGTGACAATTACTATTTACCATCTACTCATCTCCCTCACATAGACCCAACTGATTTTATAGCACACATGTACCCCATCACAAGAGCAGGCAGTGGGGGCTGTACCGGGACCATGTTTAATTAATAAAATATCGGGAAGCACTTTGCTACTGTAAGTACTCCATCATGATAATAGCCCCGACCTCCACACAAGGGTCTTTGTAGCTTAACAGCAGCTCAAGTCATAAATTGCTTTCAAGTCTTACTCAAAGTTTTCCAGAGGCTGCAAATGACAACTTAAGAATCAGAGATTTCCTCATACAACCCCTCATTGCCCAGATGGAAAGTCTGAGCTCCTACCACCCCAGGGAGAGTGACCCATCTGACGTTCCACAGCTCATAAAGGACAAAGCGGGGATGACAGTGGTTCTCCCAGCTTACGGGGCCACTTCACTGCTTCCAGACCCCAGTCCCTCAGGAAAACATCATTAATCCATGTGGGATTCATTTGGATCAGCAAACTGGGCCCTTCTGACCGAAAGCTGAGCCTTTGAGTGGGCCCCTTTATTTAGAATTAGCCCAAGAGTGAGGCAGGAGTGGGTGGTTTAGGAGGGGAAAAAACAGCTTGAAAAAAGTTATTCTTCCCCCACATCCACCCACACGCAAACTCCCCAAATCATCCGTGGGATGACAAGGCCTGGGATTACATCATCTCTCAAGTGGGCAACACGTACAAAATGGTTTAAAGATTCTCTGTCACCCAGAGTAGACTCGCCTGGCTCCCCACCACGTGGTCACGCAGGAAGGCACCGCTTATATAACCCTGTGTCAGGAAACTCACTACCACCTCCCGAAGCTGCCTGAGGCCCCCAGTGCTTGCCAGTCCCCTAAAGGCCACAGGTTCCTCACTGCAAGTTCCTACGACTCCCTCTGTCAGAGCTTTCTCATGCCCTGGTATGTGCCCACCCAGCACCAAGGGCCGACTGAAAGTTAATGATGCCTTCAACCAGTGGTAGATGGGAGTTAGTGGAGAAAGACTCCAGTTCCCCCCTGGTCTGGGGGACAACTCAGGCACGCTCCTCACGTCTCCCAGGGCCCTCCACTGGGATTCCAAGTTGCCCCAGGACACTGCTTCGGCTGCCTCTCCTTTCCCATCACTCTGTCCCCCCCTTCACCAGGACTTCCTGGAATCCCTTCCCAAATCAACTGCTCAAATGCAAATTCTCAAATCCTAGTTTTAGGGTCGTCTTCTGGGAGACCCAGCCAGGTAGCAGCCAAGCAGCCAGTTCTGCTTTGAGCTGAGCTTGTTTCTATAAGGGCCTCTCCATCACTGTCTCTCTCTGATGGTGACTCTGGGGTCACGTAGGAGAAATCAGGACGCTTTTCCCTACAGACGTCCTGATGCATTTCAACACAGCTCCCAGATGTCCCCAGGCTACTCCCACTCCCAGTCTCCTCTTTCCTTAAGCATTTCTTTAAAATGCTTCTTTCTGTAGCCGGAAACTACGTTTCCCACATGTGTGACAGTCACATGCCTGGTTTGTACTCCCCAGAAGAGTGTGCACTTCACAGGGACAACTTTATCTTTGGTTGTTGTTGTTGTTGTTGTTTTGGTTTTGGGGTTTTTTTGAGACAGAGTCTTGCCCTGTTCCCCAGGCTGGAGTGCAGTGGTGTGATCTCGGCTCACTGCAACCTCCGCCTCCCAGGTTCAAGCCATTCTTGTGCCTGGGCCTCTGAATAGCTGGGATTACAGGCATGTGCCGCCATGCCTGGCTAATTTTTCTATTTTTAGCAGAGATGGGGTTTCACCATGTGGGCCAGGCTGGTTTTGAACTCCTGGCCTCAAGTGATCCACCCGCCTCGGCCCCCCAAAGTGCTGGGATCACAGGCGTGAGCCACCACGCCCAGCCTTGCAAATTTATCTTTGTATCTTTCTTAATTCTTAGAACCACAAGCCATTAGTGGATGAAGAAAACACAGCCTCAGTTTCCTCGTGGAGAAACTTCTTCCCCTCCAGAAGACCCACTCCAGTTCATCAATGTCCCTCTTAATGGAAGCCACCCAGAATCAAACACAAATGCTTCAGGTGGTCCCCTACTAGGGCAGAGAAGAGACAGACCATCACCTCCCTCATGCTATATATAATATTTCTATTGATGTAACTCTAGGTCATGCTCTGGTTTGGGGAAACCACTTTTCACTGTTGATACAAAATAACAATAACAACAATAGCAGCAGCAACAATGTAATAATAATAATATAAAAACCCACATGTATCTTTACTATGAGCCAATCCTTATTCTTCTATCAAATTGCAATGGACCAAAGTCCCATGGAGTCTCTCACATGTTGCTGGACTCACCCATTAGATCCTGTTTGTTCCCTCTTTGGACCTGAGTATCACGAGGTACATTTTTCCATCTAATATTTCCCCTCTTGGGATGCAGCCACCTCCAGCCTCTCCCCACCTCTCTGAACCCTAAGCCCTCCCATGACTGCCTGGTATCTACACGTTGGATCCAAGGGCCCCAATCCCTCCTGTAGGTCATGGATTAAATGTAATCTCATCAGCACCAAGAAGAGCTACTCACCATGGGCTTCAGATCTCTCTGCCGTAGGTACAATTATTATCCCACCTTACAGATGAGGAGCTAAGGCACGGAGCAGTTAAACAATTTGCAGTTCCACATCCAGAGAATTCCTCACTGCTGATAAATTTTGTTTTGTTGTTGTGTTTTGTTTTAGAGACAGGATCTTGCTCTGTTGCCCAGGATGGTCTGTAACTCCTGGGCTCAAGTGATCCTCCCACCTCAGCCTCCCAAGTAGCTGGAACCACATGCATACACTACTACATCCAGCCTAGAATTTGATCCCCCCCCAAATAACCCTGCTGGGGAAAAAGTATTTTAAGTTCATTTTACAGATTAAGAAACTGAGGCTCCCAGAGGCTATGTGACATTCCAGGATCATGCTCAGGAAGCGGAAGAGGCAGGATCTGAACCCACAACCCCAGAGTCCAGCGGCCTTGAGGCTGCCCCTCTGGAGGGTCTCCCCTGAATCCTCCCTCCTTTCCAGGTGAGAAGGAGCTGGGGTGGAGGGAAGTGGGGACGTGCATGTGCAGTGTGTACATATGCACAGGAGTGTGGAATTGGTACTACGGGCGGTGGGGGGAGTCTGTCTCCATGGTTACCCTGAGCCCGAACAAAACATCACACACAGATTACCGTAACCTCAAGCATCGCCATCCGTCCTCCTGGCGATACCCAGAGAGAGCAGACTGCAGGGCCTTCCAACCTGCCCGCCCGCTTCTGAGAGCCTGCCTTTTTCATTATGCCATGATTAAACCTGGCACGTTATACCAGCTAAATGTTTTCTAATTATTTACAGATTCACCTTCATGGCATCCCTTGAGATAATGATCCCGCTGCACATTTCTGTAACATTCTGCCCACCTTCAAAAACTCAAATTGAGTTATCGAGATTATCTCATTGATCCTCCCACTTAAGGCTCTATCAGATCCACAGAGAGCAATTCAGGTTGTTTTCATTTACATATAGGGATACTGAGGCACAGATGTGCAAAGGTTGCTGTCTAGGATTTGACTGCAAATTGGTGTGGGGGCTGCAGAGATCATCCTGGGATCTTTTTCTAACCTTAGAAAAGAGAGAATAAGTGGGTTTCATCTAAATGCCAATCCTAGTTATTGATAATGGCTCCTGGTCACCTGTGTTAGGAAGGATTCTGAGGGAGCATCTGAGATTTGTAGAAAAAACAATGTGATCAGTTAAGGATGTCGACCATGGGGAAGGAAGGGGGCAGTGCTGGCACCCATGCTGTGTATTTTCCATTCCACCCTATGACGTGGGAAATGCCCCTATGAAGGTTTCATGTTAGTTCCCAACCAGGAGCAATTTTGCCTCCCAAGAGATATTTGGCAATGGCTGGAGAGATTCATGGGTGCCACTGGCATCTAGTTGGTAGGAGCCATGGAGACTTCTAAAAACTCTACGATGCACAGGATTGGCCCCCCACCCCCACAGCAAAGAATGATCTGGTACCAAATGTTAACAGGGCCAAAGTTGAGAATCCCTCAGCAGAACACATCCACACATACTCATTCACACACACACTCACAGGCATGCACACATATGTGCACACACGCGCACACATGCACATACCCACACTTGCACACACACACACAAGCAGACATGTACGTGCGTGCACACACATGCACACTCACACGCACATGCACACACGTATGCACACATGCACGCGCACTACACATGCCTGTGCACACACATGCACATCCCCACACATGCACACACACTCACACATACACATTCACATACACACACAGATAGATACACATGCACACATACGCACACAGGCACATGCACACGCACACATATAAACACACACACACAACAGTTTGGGCTTCTTTCCTTGGTCAACAGCAGATCAGAAGTCAACATGAGTATTTATACCTTCATATGTCCAAAAACAAAATTCCTGATTTTCTCCCTCAACCTGTCCCCGCGCCCCTCCCTCGTTTTTCTCCATCTCAGTAAATGGCATCACCCACCAGCTTCTGGAGCCAAAACCCTAAGGGAGACCCCTGACTCCTCTCCTTCCCCTGCTGGCCTCATCATAGTCCTGTCCTTTCTTCCTGCAAAACAATGGCTGAGCCCGTCACCCTTCTCCACACCCATCACCATGGCCCTAGCTGCCATCGTCTCCTTCATGGACCGCTGCAGTCGCCTCCTAACTGGACTCCAGCCATTCACGCCTCCCTTCAGGTCCCTCTCCCACCCGAGGGCCTTTTCACTTGCGATTGCCTCCGTCTGAGGCTCTTTCTCCAGATCTCCACAGGGAGGCTCCTTTTTGACATTCCATTCTCAAGAGAAATGTCACCTCCCCAGAGGCCTCCCTCTTCTCAATCACTCTCCATCCCATCACTTCTCTTTTCTTTCACTGTAATTCTCATGCTCTAAAACCATCTTATTTGCTTATCTGTTGCCTCACCACATACTCCCCCAGAATTAATTACGAATTCGGAAGAGTAGAGACCCCATCTTGTTCACCACTGTATTCTCAACATCAATAATAATAATAATAGAAAAAAATGGTGCCTGGCATACAGTATGCACTCAAAAAAAGTCTAATAAATGAACGAATGAATGAAATGTCAAGGACGGATGCCCTTCCAGCAACCTAAGAAGAGACCCGCAGGACATGAAGATGCTCTCAGAGCCCCCAGGCCTGAGAGCCTTCCCTCCACTGGGCTCTGGCCCCTCTGGGCTTGCAGGCAGGTGGGGGAACTTGCAGGTGGCTCTGGAGCCCCACATGCCCGCCCCAGGCAGGGTAGTGCTGACTGGCCGCCAGGGCATCTCCTAGAATCAGTTCAGGTTCAGCCAGACACTCCTTTTCCATCCAGTATCCCCATCCCAGACCATCTCTCTGCGTTCCGAGGGCCTTATTCAGACCCCACAGCAGCAAATGTGTGCTGTGCACTGAGCCTGTGCCAAGTGCTAGGGTGAGGACTGCACCTCCGTGTCCTCTCAATCTCACATCAACCCCTAAGATGTTTGGTTTTTATGTCCATTTCATTGATGGGTAAAATGAAGCACTGTTAGATTGAACCATTTTCTTAAGGTCACACGGAGGTAGCAATGGAAGAATTCCTCGCAGGACAAAGACCCAGTGTATCCTCTTTGATCCCTGATAGCTATCAGGATAAAGATACTGTATCAGAGTCTGGGTGTGCTGGCTCACACCTGTAATCCTAGCACTTTGGGAGGCTGAGGTAGGTGGATCCCTGGTGCTCAGGAGTTTGAGACCAGCCTGGGCAACAGAGTGAAACCCCTTCTCTACAAAAAATACAAACATTAGCTGGGTGTGTTGGTGCATGCCTGTAGTCCCCAGCTACTTGAAGGGCTGAGGAAGGAGGATTGCTTGAGCCCAGGAGATCAAGGTTGCAGTGAGCTGCGATCACACCACTGCACTCCAGCCTGGGTGACAAAGTGAGACCCTCTCTCAAAAAGAAAAAAAAAAGATACTATATCCGGATGGAGTGCCTGATATAATTCTAATGTACATCCAGAGCTTAGTAGTAGTCGTGGAATGAATGAGGGAATGAATGAGTAAATGAATGAATAAGTGGACCACAACTCTACTCACAACTTTTTGATAGTAAGTCAGTGAAGAGGTCTACCACACTCTTCCCTCTTATTTATCCAAACCTAACAGATCTCCCCAGGCCTGGCATTTACTCAAAAATAGAGCAGGTGGGTTACCTGAATCGTCTCACTTTTCACAAGGTTGCTGTTAGATTCTTCCTCTCATAGCACCAGCGTCACTGCTGGTTGGCATTTACGTCACTAGACTCTTTGCAACTCAAGATGCAAAGCACATTCACTTACCCTCTCAGCCTCGTGCCCTCGCTGGGCATCGCAGATGTTGAATGGCTGGAAGTTTCTGAGAGAATCGCTCCAGGATCGCTCATCCCCCTGGCTTCCATCCACTCAACATCTTGAGCTGCAAAGTAAAACTGGGCAAAGACGTGGAGAAACGTGGGAATAGTGCATGGAGGGAATTGTGGTTTTACATTCGCCATTTCTGTTATGAAAGGAACTACAAGCATCCTTCAAATAACATGCAGGTCTTGCTTTTCTTTCCATGATCACATCACCAGGAGGTGAGAGGGAGATCCTATCTCCAGCTAGTAAAGTCATAAAATGGGCTGGGCGCAGTGGTTCGTGCCTGTAATCCTAGCACTTTGGGAGGCCAATGCAGGTGGATCACTTGAGGTCAGGAGTTCAAGACCACCCTAGCCAACATGGTGAAACCCTGTCTCTACTAAAAGTACAAAAATTAGTCGGGCGTGGTGGTGCACGCCTATAATCCCAGCTACTCAGGAGGCTGAGAAAGAAGAATTGCTTGAACCCGGGGGGCGGAGGTTGCAGTGAACTGAGATCACTCCACTGCACTCCAGCCTGGGCAACAGAGCGAAACTCCATCTCAAAAAAAAAAAAAAAAAGTCATAAAATGTAAGTAAATCCCAACAACAGAGAAATCCATTTAGTAATGTTCATGCTAACCAGCAGTACCATTGGAGATATGTCAGGAAGATTCCATTGCAACCAGGTGAAAGGCGAGAAGTATCAAAGAGAACCCACTCACTCTATTTATGAGCAAAGGGTAGGCCTAAAGAGATCTTTCCATACAGAAAAGAAAGGGGGAAATCATTGCAAATAAGACACTGGGGACAATTCTACCACCTGAAAAAGAGGAAGGATATACTCAAGGTAGACAATAAAAGCAGGTCCTTGAGACGTGCTTGTTAGAGGAAACACACAATCATTCACGAAAGCATGTGTTTGCGTCCCTAAGAAAATATAAACTCTATCACGAAGACTTGGCAGATCGGAAGATCAGACAACAGATTTAGCCAAGGAGAGCTGCCAGGAAGGCAGGCTAGGTGAAGTGGAAGCCAAATGGGGAAAGCACGGGCTGAAAAGGAGCTAAAAATGCAAACGCAGAGCGAAAATACACATTTGAAGCCACAAGGAGCAGACTCAATCCTACGGAAAATTGAATCAACAATGTAGAGTGTTAGTGGCACCGAGCTCCAGAAAGTTAATTCCCTGCCAAAGACGAGGTATTTTGATATGAGTCATGGACATAATTAGGTACAACACTAGGGGCAGAGAGAATGTTTCTTTCTTTTCTGTGTCTTTTCTGAGATGGAACTGGAACTAGGGCCTAGAGCCTTCTCTGGCTTTGGTGAAAGTGCCTCCTTTGCCATCCTTTAGAAGACGAAACAGAAGCCAGGCTGGAACCCAGAGGGTGGAAAGCAAGGACGAGATCTCTCAGGCCAGGCAAAGGCATCCTCAAAGCTGGTCTAGCAGAGCTTTGATCACGAGCATAGAAAACTATAAAGGATTTGAGGCTCGGAGTCCTCTCTCAAACATTCAGAGGTACCAACAGCTGGAGGACGAACTTTCTAAACTATTTTGGAATACAAAAGAAGGAGTCAAAAGGAACATTAAAATTATGACAGAGAAAACGAGAGACATAGAGGTCAGAGGACAGAAAGCAATTCCATAAATAAGTGGTGTCCCTGAAGATGGGTAGCCTGCATGGATAGCCTGGATGGATGGTATGAAATAGTAGGAACTGGAATAGGAGAAAAGTACACTTAAAATGTAAAAGTGTACCCAGAACACTGACAACATCAAATGCTGGCAAGCATGTGGAGCAACAGGAGCTCCCACTCAGTGCCGGAGGAATGAAAAATGGTACAGCCACTTTGAAAGACGGTTTGGGCCGGGTGTGGTGGCACACGCCTGTAATCCCAGCACTTTGGGAGGCCAAAACAGGAGGATTGCCTGAGCCCAGGAGTTCGAGACCAGCCTGGGCAACATGGTGAGACCCCATCTCTGTAAAAAATACATAAATTAGCAGGGCATGGTGGCACATGCCTGTAGTCCCAGCTACTCAGGAGGCTGAGATGGGAGGATCGCTTGAGCCCAGGAAGTCAAGGCTGCAGTGAGCCATGATTGTGCCATTGCACTCCAGCCTGGGCAAGAGAGTAAGATCCTGTCTGAAAAAAACAAACAAAAAAAAACTGTATTAAATAACAAAAATGATGATAATACAATCAAGTCTTCCTAAGCTGACCTCAACAGATACCAGGCCAATTAAAAACCCAACATTTTTGGGAGGTCGAGGCAGGTGGACTGCCTGAGCTCAGGAGTTCCAGACCAGCCTGGACAATATGGTACAACCCCATCTCTACTAAAGTCACACAAATTAGCCAGGCATGGTGGCACACGCCTGTAATCCCAGCACTTTGGGAGGCCAAAGCAGGAGGATGGGAAAGAGAGAAAGAGAGAAAGAAGGAAAGAAGGAAAGAAGGAAGGAAGACATTTTGGCAGCTTCTTACAAAACTAAATATACCCTTACCAAACTATCCAAAAATTGTGTTCCTTGGTAGTTAGTTGGCGTTAAAAACTTACACCCAAATAAAAAGCTGCACATACATGTTTATAGCAGCTTGATTCATAATTGCCAAAACTTGGAAGCAACCAAGATGCTCTTGAGTAGGTGAGTAGATAAACTACAGCACACCCAGACGATGGCATGTATTATCAGCACTACAAAGAAACAAGCTATCAAGCCATGAAAAGACATGCAGGCAACGAATGCTTTTTTTTTTTTTTTTTTGAGGCAGAGTCTCCCTCTGTCACTCAGGCTGAAGTGCAGTGGCACGATCTCGGTTTACTGCAACCTCCGCCTCTGAGGTTCAAGTGATTCTCCTGCCTCAGCCTCCCAAGTAGCCAGGATTAGAGGCGTGTGCCACCATGCCTGGCTAATTTTTTGTATTTTTAGTAGGGATGGGGTTTTGCCATGTTGGCCAGGCTGGTCTTGAACTCCTGACCTCAGGTGATCTGCCTGCCTCAGCCTCCCAAAGTGCCAGGATTACAGGCGTGAGCTACCGCGTCCGGCCATGAATGCACATTGCTAAATGAAAAAGCTAGTCTGAAAAGGCTACATCCTGTGTGATTCCAACTCTATGACAGTTTTTGGAAAAGGCAAAACCATAGAGACAGTAAAAGGATCAATGGTTGCCAGGAGTTTGGGGGAAAGAAAGGACAAAAAGGCAGAGCATCGGGGATTTTTTGGGGGTAGTGAAACGACTCTGTCTGATACTACAATGGTGGGTCCATGTCATTACACATTTGTCCAAGCCCACAGAAAGTGCAACGCTATGAGTGAACCCTAATGTAAACCGTGGACTTTGGGTGATAGTGACATGCCAGTGAAGGCCCATCAGTTGTTACCAATGTACCACTCTGGTGGGAGATGTTGATAATGGGAGAGGCTATGCATATGTGAAGAAAGGGGGGATATGGGATGTGTCGATACTCCATGCTCAATTTTGCTGTGAAACTAAAACTGCTTTAAAAAAGTGTATTGGCCAGAAGCGGTGGCTCACGCCTGTAATTCCAGCACTGTGGGAGGCCAAGGCAGGAAGATCACTTGAGGCCAGGAGTTCAAGACCAGCCTGGCAACATGGTGAAACCCTGTCTCTACAAAAAATACAAAAATTAGCTGGGCATGGTGGTGCGCTTCTGTAGTCTCAGCTACTTGGGGGGCTGTGGCAGGAGAATTACTTGAGCCTAGGAGCCAGAGAAGTTGCAGTGAGCCGAGACCACACCATTGCACCCCAGCCTGAGCAACAAGAACGAAACTCCATCTCAAATAATAATAATACAATCAAGTCTTCCTAAGCTGACCTCAACAAGTACCAGGCCAATTAAAAACCCAACAGTTTTGGGAAGTTGAGGCAGGTGGATTGCCTGAGCTCAGGAGTTTGAGACCAGCCTGGGCAACATGGTGAAACTCCACCTCTACTCAAAACACAAAAATTAGACAGGCATGGTGGCAGGTGCCTGTAATCCCAGTTACTCAGGAGTCTGAAGCAGGAGAATCATTTGAACCCGAGAGGCAGAGGTTGCAGTGAGCTGAGATCACACCATTGCACTCCAGCCTGGGTGACAGAGCAAGACTCTTTCTCCAGAAAAATAAAAATTAAATAAAAATTAAAGACCCAACATTTATATATTCCATCATGAAATTCTCTATTTTGAAGATGAATGGGAAAAATCATGTAGGATTTCAGGAAAAATATTAATAATGTTGTCCATAAAGGAACAAAAATTGGGGCTGACCTCAGACATCACTTCCTCATCACCAGATGCCAAAAAACATGGACAGCTGCCCTCAGGATATTGAGGGGAAAGGTTTAAACCTGTGGAGTCTGTGCCCAGCCACGAGGCCATACACATCCGCAGGCCGTTAGCTATTGCTAGGAAAACAAGCACTGGGGAGTGTGCCACATGCATTGAGGAGGAAGTCCACTCTTTTTTTTTTTTTTTTTTTTTTTTTTTTCTGAGACGGAGTCTAGTTCTGTCACCCAGGCTGGAGTGCAGTAGTGTGATCTCAGCTCACTGCAAGCTCCGCCTCCCGGGTTCAAGCGATTCTCCTGCCTCAGCCTCCCGAATAGCTCGGACGACAGGCGCCCGCCACCATGCCTGGCTAATTTTTTGTATTTTTAGTAGAGACGGGGGTTTCACCGTGTTAGCCAGGATGGTCTCGATCTCCTGACCTCATGATCCGCCTGCCTTGGCCTCCCAAAGTGCTGGGATTACAGGCTTGAGCCACCAAGCCCGGCCCGAAATCCAGTCTTCGTGGCCGTCTCTGCTTCCACTCCCGCATCACCGCTCCCTGGCTCCCAGGCTCACTGCACTCTGGCGCATCAGCCTTGTCCCTGTTCCTCAAAGTCGCCCTGCTCTATCCCTGCACAAAGCCTGCGCAAAGCCTTTGCACGTGCCATGTCCTCTGCCTGGACACGGTTTCCTCTGATCACCTGTGGCCGACTTCCTCTCAGTCTTCAAGTCTCACTCAGATGCCACCTGCTCAGAGAGGGAAAAGTTTGCTTCTTTGTGTATCATGCACACGCATGCACACACATGCACATGAGCACAAACACACAACTGGAAGTTCCATGAGGACAGGAACCTAGTCATCCTCTTCACTGAATCCAGCTTCCATCATGGGACCCAGCACGTGGACAGTGACCAGCCCATAGACCATCATATCTTGCGTTCAAAGCCAACCAGCACCCATATGAATAAAAACGGGGAAAGTTTACGAAAGGGACTTGCAATTAGCCATGAAACCAGTTAAGCATGGAATTAAGTTGCAACGATTATGACACGTATGAATAAAAAACAGAATTCAAGAGCAACTAATTTTCTCATCCTACCAGGAAATATGCAATATATGCTGTTTTGTTCTTCATAATTATAACAAAAATGGAAGTCCAAGTATTAAAAACAGAATTAATATCAGTATGCATGCTTTTTAAAACATTAGTAAAGAAAAAAAGAAGCAAAACCTAATCTATATAGTAAAAGATTAAAAAAAAACTAAAAATTGGGAACATTCAACAAAAAGAAAGAAGTGAAAGAAGTGAGGCCAAGTGTATTTGTTATAGAAATAAATAGTATTTGTTTAAGACTCTCGGATTGTACCAAAAAATAAGTAAATAAAGCTAACTCTATGTTCTTACCAGATATTCACCTAACAAAAAGACATGGAGAAGTTAAAATAAAAAGTCTAGTAAGAGATATATCAAGGGAATACAAACGAAAGAAAGCAGGGATAGCAATATTAAAATATGAAAAAAATAGGATGCAAAGTAAAAAGCATTCACTGGGGGAAAATAGCCATTTTATCTTGACAAAAGATAAAATCCACAATTCCGCAATGAAAATATAACTGTCAAGAATCTTCTTGTGATGAACAACATAGACTCAAACTTTTTTATGAAAACAAAAACTATCAGAAATTCAAGTAAAAATGGGAAGAATCCTATTGAAGAGAAAGAGATTAACCTACCTCATCCAGCTTTTGGCAGATAAAGGGAGTAAAGATAAATAAATGACAATTTAGAGGCTGGGTGCAGTGGTTCACGCTTGTAATCCTAGCACTTTGGGAGGCTGAGGCAGGAAGATTGCTTGAGGCCAATAGTTTGAGACCAGCCTGGGCAACATAGTAACACCTCATCTTTACAAAAAAAAAAAAAAAAAATTTTAATTAGCCAGGCATGGTGGCATGCACCTTTAGTCCCACTACTCAGGAGGCTGAGATGGAAGGATCACTTGAACCCAGGAAGTTGAAGCTGCAGTGAGCCATGATGTTGTCACTGCACTCCAGCCTGGACGACAGAGCAAGACTCTGCCTCAAAAATATATATATAACAATATAAAGCCCTTAAATAATACTATCTATAAAACTGCTTTAAACTGCACACAGGGAATGTACCTGCTTTTTCAAATAAAACATTTACGAAAAAAAAATATAAGGCAGAAATTGCATAGGCTACTTTCTCTATCATTCATTAAATTATAAATTAATGACAAAAAATTAAGCAAATAAGACAAGGCACTGGGATTTTTTTAATAGACAGAGTCTCACTATGTTGCCCAGTCTGGTCTCTAACTCCTGGTTTCAAGTGATCTTCCCACCTCAGCCTCCCAAAGTGCTGGGATTACAGGCATAAGCCACTGCACCTGGCCTATACTGGGAAATTTTTAACGTTCTACTAAATTATTCTTGGATCAATGAAGTAACAAAATCAAAATTTCTGAAGTTTTAGAAACAAAATTGTCATTGCATAATTTTTAGAAAATCATCTGAAAGAAAGCACCACATTTTAAAGCACTGCACTCATAGGATATGGCTAAAGTGGTGCTCAGAGGCAAACTCATAGCATTAAATGCATTCATAATTTTTTAACTATGAAAAAACAAAGTTTTCAATGTAAAAACTTGCAAACATTAACAAACCTCAGAAAAGTCAGACTAAAGAAAACTAGGATGTATCAGAAAATTAAAAAAACAGAATCAATAAATACAAGAGTAATGAGGCTTTTTTAAAAAAGATGGAGGAGGGGGCAATAAAACAGCTAAGCTGGCAAGACCTGGGCTGGAGAAAAAAAGGGAGAAGGGTAGAACAAATCAGGCCTGGGGCCTGAGGATGCGCAGTCTCAGTACAGATCCTGTGTAAAGGTTTCAAGCCTGTCGGCTCTCTCTGGAGGTCTGGAAAGCAATTTTTACAGGGCCCATATCACCACTGGTAGACTTGAGCAAGACAAAGCCATTAGAAAGAGAAGAAAAACCACAACATACACAGGAGCAGGAATGAGAAAAGGAAACTCATCAAAGAGAGGCTTTTTCTTTAAATCCTTTTAAATTCCTTTTAAAATTCCTTTTAATTCCTTTTAAAAGGAATACTATGCTAAATAGCTAAAATACTATGCTAAATTTTATGCAAATACATTTGCAACTCTTGATGAAGAAATTATTTTCTGAGAAAAGACAACTCACTAAAAATTGACTTAAGAAGTAGAAAACTGGACTGTGTGGTAGCTCATGCCTGTAAGCCCAACACTTTGGGAGGCCAAGGCAGGAGGATCACTTGAGCCCCGAAGTTCAAGACCAGCCTGAGCAACATAGCAAGACCCCACCTCTAAAAAAAAAAAAAAATTAAAAATTAGGTGGGCATGGTGACACATGCCTGTAGTCCCAGCTACTCGGAAGGCTGAGATGGGAGGATCACCTAAGCCTGAAAGGTCAAGACTTCAGTGAGCTGTGATTGCACCACTGCACTCCAGCCTGGGCAACACAGTGAGACCCTGTCTCAAAAAAAAAAAAAAAGAAGAAGAAGTGGAAGACTAAAGTGATCAATCAGCAAGGACTAACTTATTCTGCTTAGAATCCTCCCCTGTACTCCCCCAAGAACTCCATGGCTGCCCTCTTACAGTCGTTCAGGACTCAGTTCAGATGTCACCTTGTCAAAGAAGTCTCCCCAACACCGTATGCAAAACTCCACCTGCAAGAGCTACCTCATGACTCTGTTTCATGGAATTCAAGCACTACATCTCTATATGAAATTATTGATTTATCTACGGTTTAACTTACTCATTTTCTCTCTCTCCACTGGAAGGAAGCTCCTTGAGGGCAGGAACCTTATATATGAAGTTCACCTAGTAAACCTGGTGCCTAGAAGAAGACCTGGGACAGAATAGGTGTTTAATAGATGTGATGAATGAATGAATGAATGAATGAATACCAAAGGAGACAAGACAATTTCCAAAAACTCCTTCCAAATGACCTCTTATTACAAAGGAGAGCAAATCTTTTTTTTTTTTAAGAGTCAAGGTCTTACTCTGCCACCCAGCCTGGAGTGCAGTGGTGCAATCACAATTCACTGCAGCCAAGAAACTCCTGGGCTCAAGGGATCCTCCCATCTCAGCCTCCTCAGTAGCTAGGACTACAGGTGCACACCACCACGTCTGGCTAATGTTTTTTGTAGAGATGGGGTCTTGCTATGTTGGTCTTGAACTCCTCACCTCAAGCAATCCTCCTGTCTCAGCCTCCAGAAGGGCTGGGATTGGAGGCGTGAGCCACTGCACCCAGGTAGGAGGACAGATCCTTAAAGAAGGGCTGGAATTGGAGGCATGAGCCACTGCACCCAGCTAGGAGGACAGATCTTTAAAGATAGAAATAGGTATCTTGGAAAATACTTCAAGGGTTGGAACAACTCGGCCAGCAGGTAAGGGTTTGGTGCCTTTTGGAAAGATGACCTTGGGTCTCAAAATTCTACTCCATCACCGTTAGAGAAAAAATGTAAAGCAGGCTTCAAAAGTCACAAAGAGGTTATGGCTTATGCTGTCAAGAGCCTATTAGCCTTCACCAACTCAGAGGAGCCCAACTGCTTCCTGATCCCCTGAGTTCCAGGGGTCATTTCTGATCTGCAACTGGTGACATATAAGCCACCATCACCAATGTATCTGTTCTCATTGTCTGTCCCCTCCAGAATGCAAGCTCCATAAGACAAGGACTGTCCGCTTTGTCCCCCACTGAATCCACAAGTAAGGGCTTAATAAATTTAGGTTACATGCGCAAATGAAGAAACCACCTCCTGTCGTCTGTCTTCCTCCTTTGGAATGGAAGCTCCATGAAACTAAAACCCTCATTCGTCTTGTTTCCTGCTACAGTCCCCTGCACCTAGACAAAGCCTAGCACATAGTAGGTGTTCATGAAAATGAATGAAAGAAGGGATGAGAATTTGTAGACTCTCCTTCTGAGTCAACCCAAGTGTTCATTACCTACCAGTCCCAGGAAATTTGGCTTTTGGTTGGAGTGGGCATTTTTTGAATAACAGCTATTCTGACCAACAGGGCATAAGTCAGAAAACTGAAGGTCAAGGTCTAGCAGAACCTTAAGGGATAGACAAAGATCAGCAACTAGAAAGCAGGGCTCCAGGTTCTGGTGCCAGTTCTGCCGGTGACTAGGGGATGGTTTGGAAAAGGGTCTCTCCCTGCAGAGACTTGCATTTCCTTGTTCATAAAACAAAGTGTTGATTTTCAGACAGTGATTTGCAAAAGCGTGGGTTGCACATCACTGAGGCATTGAGGTAGATCGAGCAATTGGCAGCATGTCAGGTAGGGGGAAGTGTTACGAAAAAAAAAAAAAAACAAGCTGCGTAGTGGAATAAGGTGGGGAGGTGACTGCGACTTTAAATAGGGTGGCCAAGGAAGACCTCATTCACAAGGAACGTTTGAGGGAAGTGATGGTGTGGAAATCTGGAGAAAGAGTTTCAGGCTAAGGGAGCTGCACGTGCAAAGGCCCTGGGGCAGGAGCATGCCTGGAGGTGTGTGTGCAAGAGGACAGTGGGGCTGCAGCATAGACAACGAGGAAGAGCATCATGGGAGATGGGGCAGAGAGTAACGGGGCAGGTGATGGCAGGTCTTGTAGCTACCAGGAGGACATTGGCTTTACCAGGAATGACATGGGAGCCATTGGAGGGTCTGAGCAGAGGGACTCCAGCAGTATGCAGTAGGATTGCTCAGCACGGTGGGGGATAAACAGAAGCAGGATGACCAGTGAGTGGGATGCTGGAGTCATCCAGGCCAGAGACGGTGCAGGCTCAGACCAGGGGGGCGGAGGAGACGGGGAGAAATGGTGAGACTCTGGATGTGTTTGGGAAAAGAGTCAGCAGGATTTGCCAATAGATTAAATGAGCTGTGTGAGGATGAGTGTGTGTTTGTGTCTGTGGGGAGAGAGAGAAAGGAGTCAAAGATGACTCCAAGGTCTTTTGCCTGAGAAATTGGAAAGATGGAGCTGTCTTTTGTTGAGATGGGGCTAAGAGAGGGGCAGGAGTGGGGTGTGGAGGAGTCATCTGTGCCACCAATGTTCAACCTGTTATCAGTGTTCCCTGGTTTCTACTTTCTTTTTTTTATTATTATTAAAAAATATTTTTTTAGAGATTGGGTCTCGCTATGTTGCCCAGGCTGGTCTCAAACTCCTGGCCTCAACAAATCCTCCCACCTCAGCCTCCCAAAGTGCTTGGATTACAGATGTGTGCCACCCTGCTGGCCCCAGGTCTCTGCTCTCTAAGCACATAGTAGGACTGAAATTCTCCAGTCCTTGAAAAGGTAGACATGGCCATGTGATTTGCTTTGACCAATGAGATGCAAGCAGGATGGTCCGTGCCACTTCTAGGCAAGGACTCATACCCTTTCCTGCCTTGACAGCCATGGAAAATCAGAGATGGAGCATCCTTTATCCAGGTCCCCAGTGAGGTCACCATGAAGTAGAGCCCCCCACTGACCTGCTATGGACATGTCACGGGAGTAAGAAGTCAACTAGGGTTGTCTGCAACCTCCCACATCTGCAGATTGCTGCAGATAGCTGCAACAGCATAGCCCAGGCTGCCCTGGCTGAGGAGGGCAGAAAACAGATGATTAGGTAGGGACATGTTAATCTGAGATGCCTGTGAGATCCCCATGTGGAGAGATCCACCAAGCGGAGACAGTGACTCGTGTCCAAGTCTTCTGCCTCTCCGCCCCGCCCAACTGTGTTCTGGAGAGGGTTTTCCTCCTCTATGCCCCTTCCAGGACCACCCAGAAAGTCTCCCTCAAGGTGGGGCCCGGGCCAAGTGGAGCTGCCTGGGACAAGGCTGGCAGAGGGGGGCAGAGAGTGTGGCCAGTGGTGTCCAAGGGGCTGGAGGAGTGGGGCTTTCAGCCTCCCATGCCCTCTTCCAGAAAAGGATCCCCTGTAGAGAAACCAGGGTGGAGAGAGGCCCAGAGAGAAGGGGGTGGCATGCAGACATAGACAAAGGGGAGCAGAAGCCCCACAAATGTGTCCAGAGGGGACAGAGGCAATCAAGTTGACTTAGGGAGAAGCTGCTTCCCACATGCCACGTTTGCTTAGAGTGTGAATGACTAATAAAAATAGCACTGTTTTCCTAAGATGTTTGTATTCTTCTAGTCACACTTTACAGAAGACTTCTTTTTGTTGTTATTATTAGCGTATTATTATTATTATTTGGGCAACATGAAGAGGGGTCAGTGATGAAACGAAGCCCCCATCCTCCAAACACTGCACCCACCCACTGCTGCCAACTGGGAGGACAGAGGGGGACTGGAGGGCAGAGTCAGATGAGGGAGGGTCTGGTCTTCTTCATCCGTCTGGATGGGGCGCAGCCACTCCCCCGGGGCTGAGGCCTCAAGGAGTCACTTCCCCTGTAGGGGCCTCCTGGAAAAGAGCAAGGCGAGGCGGGAAGGGCCACGTGTGCTGCTACCGCCTCCCCTGGGCTATTTCGGGCTCCCCTCGCTCGCCTCTCTCCTCTCCAGCTTCTCGGGCACCCTCCTCCCTGTGTGTGAGTGCACGTGCACATGTGTGTGTCTGTGCATGCATGCGTGTGTGCACACACGTGTGTCTCTTTCTCTGCCCACATATTTCTCCCTTTCTCCATCTCTGTCTGTTTCTGTCTCATTGCTGCTCTCTGCATCTCTGTCCGGGTGTGCACCCAATGCGGTGCACGTGCCTCGATCTCCCTTTGCGTCTTCTCATCTCTCTCTGGGTCTCTGTGTCTCTGTCTCTCTCCTCGCTCGCTCCCTCTGTATGTGTCTGCCTTTCTCTCTGTTGGTCACTCCTTCTGTGGTCCCCTCGGTCCCCCTCGCAGCCTCCCTCTGCATCCTTCTCAGATTCTGTGTGTGCCACCCGCCCTGCGTCTGTCACTCCCCACTCCTCACAATGTCTGTGTCTCCTGCCCTCCTCCTCCCCTCCTCCCCCGTGGCTATCTCTGATGCACACTCTGGGAGGCCAGGACATGGGACAAGGCTGCCACGGCCACTGTCCTCGCCAAGCTCCAGCCCAAATACCCACCCCAGCTCTGCTTCCAGAAGCACCGACCCTCCTCTACCTCCATCACCTCCCATCCCCAGTCCCCACCATCGGGGAAGAAGGACGGCCCCTGAGAAGGGACCCTGCCCCCTCCAGGCAAGCTTGGGGCCAAGTCCTCTTCCATATCTCACCCACATCACCCACACTTTGGGAGGCTGAGGCAGATGGATCACCTGAGGTCAGGAATTGGAGACCAGCCTGGCCAACATGGTGAAACTCCGTCTCTACTAAAAATACAAAAATTAGCCCAGTGTAGTGGCAGCCACCTGTAATCCCAGCTACTCAGGAGGCTGAGGCAGGAGAATCGCTTAAACCCAGGAGACGGAGGTTACAGTAAGCCAAGATTGCACCACTGCACTCCAGCCTCGGCAACACATTGAGACTCCATCTCAAAAAATAATAATAATAAAATAAAATAATAAAATATTATTATTACAAATATTTTTACATAAAAAGAAAAACAACTGGGGGCTGGGAACTCAATCCTGTCAAGAGCAAAACTCTGGCCTAGAAGTTGCAAATTGACGGGACAAGGGTCTACCCACCCCTCGAAAGTGTTTTATTTTGGCCTGCAGATCAGATGTCTTTAAAAAAAAATGGATTTGCTGCCAAATGTGAACAATCAACAGATGTCATATAAAAACTGGGAGTTTTGAACAAAAATGGACCACTAGGCACTCCACGAGCCACCCCCTCCTGCAGTGAGAAAGCTTCTGGAACTACACAGCGGTTGCCCAGCCCCCGCAGGCCCCCTACTCCTTCCTCACGTCACTCTCGTAGGTTTCCAGGCTGGCCTCTGTGGGATTTTAGTTGGTGGCTCTGGACCCGAGGGAAGGTCCAGCCTCCAGGAGCCCAGTGGCCCTGGCTCTGGCCTCTGAGGGGTGGTGATTTCACCTTTGCTGCAGCATTATTCTATTTTTATTTTTATTTATTTTTGAGACAGGGTCTCCCTCTGTTGCCCGGGCTGGAGCACAGTGACACGATGACAGCTCACTGCAGCCTCAAACTCCTGGGCTCAAGCGATCCTCCCACCTCAGCCTCCTGAGTAGCTGGGACTTACAGGCACACACCACCACACTTATCTAATTTTTAATTTTTTTGTAGAGATGGGGGTCTTGCTATGTTGCCCAGGCTTGTCTTGAATTCCCCAAGGGATCCCAAAGTGCTGGGATTACAGGCGTGAGCCATTGTGCCGAGCTAGCATTGTTCTAATAAACTCCCCCTTTTATTATTTTTTTTAATTTTTTTTTTTAAGACGGAGTCTTGCTCTGTCCCCCAGGCTAGAGTGCAGTGGCACGATCTCAGCTCACTGCAACCTCTGCCTTCCGGGTTCAAGCAATTCTCCTGCCTCAGCCTCCCAAGTAGCTGGGACTACAGCTGCCTGCCACCACCCGGCTAATTTTTATATTTTTAGTAGAGATGGGATTTCGCCATGTTGGCCAGGCTGGTCTTGAACTCCAGACCTCAGGTGATCCGCCCACCTCGGCCTCCCAAAGTGCTGGGATTACAGGCATGAGCCACCACGCCCGGCCCATTCCCCTTTTATTCTTATCTGGGGTCGAGTTTGTTTCCATCACTTGAGACCAAAAGAGCTTAACCTGCACCGTCCTGAAGGCAGCAGAGGCCCGAGGTTGCAGCATCCTCACAAGACAGCTCTGAGTCTGGCACCCCAGAATTTAAACACGGGGGAGTGACGTGAGCTCCCCACAGGATCCCACTAAACACCTCTCCTTGGAAATAAACCAAGAGAGGGAGCAGGGAAGAAAGAAGAACATCTGACAAGTCCACGGGAATGACAGGCACGGAGTAGAGAGCCCCGGCCTCTCGCTGCCCACAGAAGCCCTGAGAAGTCCCCAGAGCCCCAGTACATTCCACAAGTGTTCCCTGAGTCCCTCCTGAAAACTTAGTCCCTGCTGTAAAGACACATGCACAGGCGTGTTTATTGCAGCACTACTCACAATAGCAAAGACTTGGAACCAACTCAAATGTCCAACAATGATAGATTGAATTAAGAAAATGTGGCACATATACGCCATGGAATACTATGCAGCCATAAAAAAATGATGAGTTCATGTCTTTTGTAGGGACATGGATGAAGCTGGAAACCATCATTCTCAGCAAACTATCGCAAGGACAAAAAACCAAACACCACATGTTCTCACTTATAGGTGGGAATTGAACAATGAGAACACATGGACACAGGAAGGGGAACATCACACCGGGGCCTGCTGTTGGGTGGGGGGAGGGGGGAGGGATAGCATTAGGAGATATGCCTAAGGTAAATGACGAGTTAATGGGTGCAGCACACCAATATGGCACATGTATACATATGTAACAAACCTGCACATTGTGCACATGTACCCTAGAACTTAAAGTATAATAAAAAATATATATTAAAAAAAAAAATCTTGGTCCCTGTCACACGGTGCTGCCTCCGAGAGCCTGGATGAGCTGCCATGCTGAGTCCTACGGCATTGAAGTGTCAGCTCATCTAGGCTCTGGGGGCAGCACGATGTGACCGGGACAAGGCTTGTCCTCAGGGAGCCAGCGTCCCAGCAGGGAGATGGATGATAGAGAGAAGACAGTGTGATACGCAGTGGGTATGACCTCGATCAGAGCAGTGGGGACATCAGGGGTGCAGGGGAGTGCCGGCGGGCAGCAAGGCGGCTAATTTCAGTGGGGTGGTCCAGGAAGGCCTCACAAACTGGAGGACATTTGAGCAGAGACTTGTACGGGGTTGTCTTATGGAAGAGTTCCTGGAGGCAAGGAACAGCAAGTACAAAAGCCTCGGCCTGTCAAAGAGCCGGTAAGGAGGCCGGTGTGGCTGAAGAAGAGTGACTGTGGGGGCAGAGAGGAGTGGGGAAGGGCAGGAGGCAGCAGAGAAGACTGCAGACTTCCTGGCAGTCCTTGGAAGGCATTCGACTGTGACTGAGTGAGGAAGGGTCCGGAGTGGGGAACGGGGGTGATCCGCCTCAGATGGAACAGGGAACCCTCCAGCCACCGGGTGGAGAAACGGACCATGAAGTCAAAGCCAGGAGCAGGGGGAGCTGCGGGGCAAGGTGGGACGCACTGGGTTCTGATTGACCGGCTGGCAGGTTGGACCAATGGACTAGGCATCCAAACTGAGGTTTGGAGGCCTGAGCTCCTAGAAGGGAAGGGCGGCAATTCGTGTAAACTGAGGGCAGAACTGGTTGGTGGGGGGGCACCGTGGATTCCCCCAAGGGGCAGCTCCACTCACTCCCATTGGGAGTACAGACTCCATCTGCCAAGTTTTCAAGAAAAGCCATAAATCCAGATGTTTCTATGAAGTGGCTCCATATTCAAATGTTGGCAACTTATTCAAAGACACTGGGAACACTGCAGGGCCAAACAAAACAGATACACGGTTCAGATGTGATGCACGGGCCACCTGTCTGCAGCCTCGGGTCAGATGGCAGCAAGTCCCATTTACCAAGTGCTGGCTGTGGCCAGTGGAGTGCTGGGACCACGTTATCTGGATCAACCCCAACGATGCTATCATGGGGCAGATAGGATCATCCTCATGCCCCAGCCAAGGAAACTGAGGCCCAGAGAGGGCAGACTCCTACCCAAGGCCACACAGCAGCTGGCAGTAGTATGAGGACTAGAATCTGGACCATCTGGGCCCAAACCCTGTGATGGGTCATGGGACAGGGCTCTGTCACCTCCATCATCCACACAAAACACTCAACAAAACCTCCATTTTACACACAAGGAAAGAAAAGGCCAGAAAGAGAGGGAGTGTGATTTCTCTGAAGCCACTCAGTAAGTTGGCATCAAAGCCTGGAGCCAAACCCGGGGCTCGTGACTCCAGATGCAGTGCTCCGCCCAACGAGCCTGGTTGGAGGAACAAAGGGAGCCTGAGTGAGCTGGGCTGGGGAGACTGAGGAGCAGCACAGCACAGCAGGCAAGAGCCAGGCTCCGGAGCCTCCCGCCTGGGTGCACATCCAGCTTTGCCACTTACTAGCTGTGTGACCTTGGGCAACTCACTTCACCTCTCTGTGCCTCTGTTTACTCACCTAGGAAATGAGAGCAACCACGGCACCCACCTCGTAGGGCTATTATGCAGACAAAGGAAGTTATACTTGTCAGGCCAGCCACAGTGGCTCACGCCTGTAATCCCAGCACTTTGGGAGGCCGAGGCAAGCGGATCGCTTGAGGCCAGGAATTTGAGACCATCCTGAGCAACATAGTGAAACCTCGTCTCTACAAAAAATACAAAAATTAGCCAGGTATGGTGGTGTACACCTGTGGTCCCAGCTACTCGGGAGGCTAAGGCGGGAGGATGCCTGAGCCCAGGAGGTGGAAGCTGTAGTAAGCTGTGCTCACAACACTGTACTCCAGCCTGAGCCACAGAACAAGACCAAAAAAAAAAAAAAAACAAACAAACCATGTCGAGGAGTTAGAGCAATGCCTTCCATCATGCAAATCTTTGCCCAACAGATGCTCCCAACATGAAACACATCGAATATGACACTAACATACTCCCAAGCACCAAAAACCTCCCGGTTGGGGACATCACAGGGGTCCTCATACTTGTGACACTGTAGCAGCATAATTTAGGGGACTGGGCAGAAGAGCTGGGGTTCTCTGTTCAAAATAAAGGAAGACAAGACAGGTACAGGGAAGGCTAGCTGGAGACTTGACTCTGAATGACAGGAGGGCAGTCAGAGGTGCTGTGCCCCACATCTAACGATGACTCGGATGCTGGGTGCAGGATGAACTGGGGAGTGGGGGTGATGGCAGAGGCGGAGAGATGGCTGCAGAAGTCCATGGGAGACACGGGTGGCTGTGGGTGGCTCAGCCCAGGGTGGCGGCAACACCGAGGTGGTGCTCCCCACTCCCTGCCCTACGTCACCAAATCCTTGCATCTCCGGCGGGTGCTAGCTGCTCTGATCCCCACCTACACAGTAGCCCTGGGAGTTTCCTGCCTGAAACCACGCTGCTAGTAAGAGGCTGAGCCCAGCCTTGAACTTCCACCAGTTCTACAGGGGAGAGAGTTTTTGAGTTTGAAGGAAACATGCTCCTTCCTACCCCAACGTCTCTGGGACTGTGGGAGGGGCCACCGCGGTGTGGGGTGTGTTGGCTCCCCGCCTGGGTCCTGCATGGGTCTTCTGGCTTCACACCCACCCCGTCACCACCCAGCCCTGGGACTGGTCTCTCTCTTCTCTCTCCAGTCTCACCTCCCTCCTGCCAGCCTGGCAAGTCCCCCAAGACCCCTCCACCTCCCCCCAATCTTCCCAAGCCACCCCTTTCCTGCGGCTCAAAAGCATACAGGATGAAGTCCAACGCATGTGGACGTCACCTGTGCTCCCAGCTGGCACAAGCTCCCACCTGCCCCACCATCGCCCCTAACCCAGACCTTCATTCTCCCCTCCTCCAGGCCTCTCCTCAGCCACCCCCACCACACTGACTAGAACGATGCTTGCTTCTGCTCCCCACCAAACCCCTCCCCAGCGTCTCAACCAGAAGAGAAATCCAATTTGTGTGAAGGGCTTGGGGTGACTCTGTGTCGAGGCCACGCTTCCCTTTCTGTTTGTGGAAGGACGCGGGTGCTCTTCTTGGAGCAAGGAGAAAAGGTTTCTTTGTGCAGGGTCTGGTGAAAGTGTGTCTGTTTAGGGCAGGCTGCAGTTTTCTTTGTGAACACTGTAGATTTTTAGTGTGGGAAAAAGGGCTTATTACATTTCCCTGTGGCTGCCCGAGTGGGGAGAGGTTTTTCTGAGCCTAGAAAGGAATGGCCGAACAGGCAAACAGGCGTTGGAGAGGAGGGAACATTTAGCAGCTCCTTCTCACGGAGCGGTGAGGATCTCCTGGTTGGTGTTCGCATTTGGATGCACGTGAAACACACAGAAGGAAAGAAAGCTTTGCTGTAGTTTGATGGAAGGGAGGGAAGTTTAGCCTTGATGTATAGGGGTGGGGGAGGCGAGATTTTGTTCAGGGGGCTATTGGGATGTTTTTTTCCTCTTCGAGTAAAAAAATAAAATAGTCACAGAACCCAGAGGAAAGGTTGTCATGGCAACAAAAGTTTGAGGCCAGGTACTTGCTATCACCCTTTCAGGACCACCGTGGTGGAGAAGGCAGGATTTTGGCACTGTAGGATCAGCTGCAGAAACCACCCCAGCTGGCTCCGATTCCCAAATTTCTCACCAGCACTGACAAGCTGATAACTATTTTCCAAGCTCTCAGAGAGGAAAATTGTGATTTTGGGGGAGGGATGATCTCCAGCCCACAGTGGCCAAGAGGAAACTGGGGGTTTCTTTTATTTATGCAACAAACTAACCATCCGCATTTCTAACTGAGTTTTGGGAGTGAGGGTCTTAACTGAGTCCCCCAAAATGCCAACTTCCCTGACCCCTCAACTGTACTATTCTCTTCCGCGATCCCTTCACTCTGATTTCTTTCTGTTCCCGAGAAGGTAATTCCAGCTCCCTTGCCAGAATCCCCTGTGAGCCTAAGTTCCTCATCTGAAAAAGCAAGTACCCTAGAAGTGTCTGCCTCAAAGGTGGCGGCCAGGATTCAACAAGATTCAGGAGATGAGAAGTTTCAGCAGGACCTGGTGAACGTTAAAGGCTCAATAAATGTTAGCCAACATTGTTTTTTAAATAATTTTCAATTAATAATTTTTTAAAATACTTAAATATCCCAAGTCAAGCCCTGAAAGAACTACAGGGAAATAATTGTAGCAAGTACTGGGACCGTGACCTTCAGGGAGCAGCCAACAGAGACTCCAAACAATTAAGAGGCTCAGCTGAGCAGCTTGGACCAGGACACTCCACAGAGGTAGAGACAGGACCACTCCGGTGCCAGAGATGCCTCATTGTATTTTCAGGTGTGTGCACAGAGGAAGGGAGGCAGAGGTGGTATCTCCCCAGGGCTGGGTCTCCTGAGCCTTGGAAACACCTTCTTGAACTTGGAGAAAGATGTACAGTAGCAAGATGTCTACCTCCAAGGACGAAGATGTTCCTGACAACAAGGTGTTACGAGGCCTCCGTGTGAGAGATTAGGGTTGGGCTGTGCGGAAGGCAGGGAATTTTGGCCAAGATGCCTTTTGAAGTTAATAATTTTAATTGCATCCCACAGTAAACATTTGAGTGTTGAGTGTAAACCAGAAGTGGGTCTGATGGGATGAAACCAATCAGGGGCAGGTCCATATTCAAACACCATGTATCTCTGACAAACGGCCAGCCTGGCTCAAGTCACAGAAAAGTTTGGTCAGCCACCCCCAGAAGAGAGACAGAGGAGGCAGCACCGCAGGAAGCCTCCGGTTCATCATCCCAACCCCATCCAGTATGCACCCGGCAAATGTTTATTGAAGACCTACTATGCGCTAGACATTACTGGGAGGCAGCAGTGAACAAGACCAACCGGGCTGGCCCTCACAGAGTGACATCCTATGGGGAGTGGGGACTATAAGCTAGTGACCAAAAACAGGCCCCAGAAAATGTCAGGGAGTGCCAAGTGTGGCAGGGAGATAAACGCAGTGGTGAGATCCAAAGATGGAGACCCTCCCTCCAACGGGGAGCTCACAAGGTTGTCCCTCCTCAGTATCCTGACATGGAAGGCAGGTGGGAGAGTCCCAGTGAAAGGAGCCCCTGAAGAAGGAGGTGGGGCGGGGAAGGGCATTCCAGACAGAGGATGCAGCCTGTGCAGAGGCCTGGAGCTTTTCACTGGGTTCGCTTCACAGCTTCCTCCCTCTGCCCTCTAAACCACTTAGGCCACTGGCTTATTTAGGGCAAACTAAGGGTGGAGGTCTGCTGTAACCCACCCTTGAGCACACACATATGTGTGGTGTCCACACTGAGGAGCTAGGCATGCAGGGAGGAGTTTTAACCTTGGAGAAAGAGGTCAATTCACTCAGGAGGGTGTCCATGCCTGGACACCCGCTCAGAGATACCACGTCTTTCGGGCCAGCTCTACCTGCTGTGTGGCACAACCAGCTGTCCGGCAGCTGTCCCCTGGGCCCTGCCACAGCCCGGCTGTCTGCCTCCAAAACACGCACTCCAGCCCAGGCTGCCTCTGGAGGGTAGAGGAGGGGGTCCAGGCAAAGGGGACAGTCTGATCTGCCTTCTGAAAAGTCAGTCCCCCACCGAACCTAATAGGAGCCTTGTGCTAAGCTAAGCCCTCCTGGACTCCTCGACCCGGAGTTTGCCCAGCTGTCCCCAGTTCCCTAGCCTGCCTCTCCCAGGAGGGGGCCAGGATACAGAGGGCTCCCTGGCGTCTGGCAATAGGGGTGCCTCTGGGCGGGTGCGGCTTTCCGGGAGCCCGCGGGACTCCCCCACTCCCCACTCCCGTCTGGGAGGTTCGGCGTGGGTTGGCGATGGGGGTGGAAGGCTCCCGGGTCTGTGGATCTGCGGCAGGAGGGGCGGCTGGTAGCAGGAGTCCCTGCATCACCCCCACCCCCAGGGGCGTTCCGGGGTGGGTGGGGGCATCTAGTGCCCCGCGAAAGGAAGAGGAGGAGGGGGCGAGCGTGGAGATGAGTTCAGGAGCGGAAAGCAGCGCGCGCCCCTCCGACCGGCAGCGGGGGTGGGCGCCTTCCCGGGGCGCGGGAGCGTCCCCAAAGCCGCGGGGCGTCCGCAGCGGGTAGGAGCTCTGCCTTGCACCTCTCCACGGCGGGGCGTCCCGCACGTCCCCCCATGCTGGTCCCCGGCCCCGGAACGGCGCGCGCCCCCTGCCCCGGAACGTCGCCCCTAGCCAGGCGGAGCGCTGGGAGCTGGGCCCAGGCGGCGGGAGGAGGGCGAACGGGTCCGGGGCTCGGGCCTCGATGGCCGCGCCGCCCCGGGGGAGCCGGAGCCGAGCTGGCCGCCGCCCGCGCGCACTCACCAAGCCCGCTGAGCTCCTCCTCGCACGAGTACCAGATGCCGGTGTGGAAATTCCTGAAGAGGAAGCGGTCGTCGCCGGTCTCCCAGCTGTAGAGCGCGCCGCCAGGGGGGCCGTTCCCCGAGGCGGTGGCGGCGGCGGCGGCGGCGGCGGGGGCGGCGGTGCCGTTGGCCGTGGCGTTGGCGCCCGAGTTGGGGCAGTTGGCGCGCCCGCCCTGGCCGCAGCCCGGCTTGGGGACCCGCTGCGTGCCCTGGCACCAGTGCGTGGTGAGGAAAGCGGTGGTGGCGAACAGCAGCGCCAGCAGGTTCAGGGCCACGGCCAGGAGCGCTCGGCCGCGGCGGCTAGTCTTCATGCCGCCCGCGCCGCCGGGACGGGACTGCACCGCCGGGGAGCTCCGCGCGCGAAGTTGGCAGCTGGCGCCCCGCGTCAGCGGCCGCTGCCCGCCGCGCCCCGGGGCTCGGGTGCCTGAGATCGGCGGCGGCGGACGCGGCGCGGGCCCATGCCCCCCCCAACCCCGGGGTGGGGGCGCGGCGCGGGGGGCGTGCGGGGCGGGCTGGCGGGGCGGGCGGCGGTGGAGGAGCGGCTACGGCGCGCCCGGAGCCCGGAGCGCGAGTGCACCTCGGCTAGGAGCCGCTGGCGCCTGGCAGCGGCCACGGCGCAGGGACGCGCGCCCCTCCGTGGGGAGACACCTGCAGGCGGCCGGCGACACTGTTCCGGAGCCCGCCCGCACGGGGAGAGGGGGCCGCCACGCCGGGCGCGGGCGGGGGCCTGGGAGTGGAGGGACGCCCCCGAAAGAAATCCGAGCCAGGGTGAGGGTCTGAGACGCAAGGAGAATCCCAGGCAAGGCGCTCCTGAGAAAAGATCCCCACGGCGGACGTGGGGCAACAAAACCCGCCGGGAGCGGGCATCTCATGAGACCCAGAGAGGCCCTGCCCCAGGAGACAAGGGCAGAGCCTGCTGGGGCTCCCCAAGAGGGACACGGACCAGCAGGACCCTGTCCCAGAAGGGGATCCCCAAAAGGACCCCCGCACCAGACCCTGAGAAAGGAGTTTTTCCAAAGGTTCTAAACAGCAGAGCCTGCAGGGCTTCCCACAGCCAGGGAGCTGCAAGACCCCCTGGATAAGACAACCCATGCTGGACTTGGAGTGGCAGAATCTGTCAGGAGGCGCCCCTCCTGGAGTATTGGGTTATAGGGTTTGAAACGTTTTTCTGTCTCCTGGGTGTCACCTCCAGCATCTGGGAAGAGCTCCCCTCCAAGGATGAAACTGTCATCTGGGCTCCCAACCATGGCATGCAACTGCAGGAAGAGTGGCAACAGGGTACCCCAGACAGCCCACTGCACCCACCTGAGATCCCAAACAGCAGAACCCTAGGAGGGCCCATGCCGGCCACAAAGTTATTGCAGCTACCAGGCAGTGGTGCCCTACAGGGGCTGCCAACCCTGCTCACATGCACACCATGTGAATGTGGGTAGAATCTTCAAGATTCGGGTGGGGGCAGGGTGGCCAAACATACTGACTTTGGGATCAAGCATATCTAGGGCTTGACCAGCTGTGTGGCTTTGAACAGGTCACTTACCCTCTCTGAGCCTCAATTTCCATAACTATAAAAAAGGGAGGACCCCCCCCCCTTCAAGGTATATCACAGTGGGCTGCTGTAATGAGATCATGGCTGCAAAAAGCATTTGGCACACAGTAGACTCAATTAATAATTCACTGTTACTGACATCTGAACCAAGATCAGTTGACCAAACTCAGACAAACCTCTTCAGGCTCTCCTGTGCAACGTGGAAACTGTGTGCAACCCCGTCCCCACCTCTGCTCTAAGATGACCACGCTCCCTGAACTCCCTTCGCGCTGCACAGCACTTACTGCCCAGATGCTCAGGGCGTGCAACAATTAATTGCATGTTGATTATAAGAGCTCATTTGAATTCTGCCCAAGCTGAGAACTGCTCCGACAACCCCCGGCTTGCCGAGTGGCAGGCCTTGCAGAATTCAAGGTTAACCGATTATGAATTGCCTTACTCCTGTGGGTGAGCCGGCACCCACTGTCAGCTGCTGCTAATCTGCCGGGGGGTAGGTGAGAGGAAAACGTTGTGGGCAACGTCCCTGGTAAGAGCAGGCACGAAGGATGGCCAAGGGTCTCCAAACTTGCTTTTAGAGCCCTTTTCTGGCACTGTGCAAGAGATTCTCAACTATTTTGAAAGAGAGGACCTCCATGTGATAATGGTGGCATTGAGAGTATTGGTTGACAGAGAAAATACATCATCGCCAAACAGCTGTAAAGAATCCAGTAGCATCTTTTTTTTTTTTTTTTTTTTGAGATGGAGTCTCACTCTGTCGCCCAGGCTGGAGTGCAGTGGTGCAATCTCAGCTCACTGCAACCTCCGCCTTCTGGGTTCAAGCGATTCTCATACTTCAGCCTCCCGAGTAGCTGGTATTACAGGCGCTTGCCACCACGCCTGGCTATTTTTCATATTTTTAGCAGAGACGGGGTTTCACCGTGTTGGTCAGGCTTGTCTCGAACTCCTGACCTCAAGTGATCTGCCCGCCTCGGCCTCCCAAAGTGCTGGGATTACAGGCATGAGCCACCGCACCCAGCCTCCAGTAGCACTTTTAAACTGGCATGCAGTATTCATCATGAGTGTCTGTGTACCAATGAAAACCAGCCCCTCGATGTGTGCTAAACAGGGTACTTCTTTGGACTCGAGGCTGTGGTTGGTGTGCATGTGAGCAGGGCTCGGTGACCTACAGCTGGGAACCCTGTCCTGCATGTTCAAAGCCAGGAGAGCCCAGGTGAGATATGTCTCAGGGACCACACTCTCTCAAGAAACACCTGAGGATGCACAGAGGGATTTGGAATTTCCATCTAAGATGCTCCTCCACTCACTGAGCCACCCACTGAATGCTCAGCACTGGGAAGAAAAGAGAACGTGAACAAAGTTCGTAAGAAAGAACATCACTCAGAACTTTGAGAGGCCGAGGCGGGCAGATCACCTGAGGTCAAGAGTTCAAGACCAGCCTGGCCAACATGGCGAAACCCTGTCTCTACTAAAAATACAAAAATTAGCCTGGTGTGGTGGCGCACAACTGTAATTCCAGCTACTCAGGAGGCTGAGGCAGGAGAATCCCTTGAACCCCGGGGGCAGAGGTTGCAGTGAGCTGAGATCGTGCCACTGCACTCCAGCCTGAGCGAGAGAGCGAGACTTTGTCTCAAAAAGAAAAAAAGAAAGAACACTGCAGAGTATGCAGGGGTGAAAGCCAGGGAGAGCAATTCAGCAGGGAGGGATCAAAGTGGGGATGGCTTCAAGGAGGGCCTCACTGAGAAGGGGACATTGGAGCAAGGATTTGAAGGAGATGTAGGGGCAAGCCATGAAGACATCCGGGGGAATGGAAGTTCCAGGCAGAGGGATGGCCAGTGCAAAAGCCTCGAGGCAGGAGCCTGTCTGGCCCTTTGGGGAAAAACTGAGAGCACAGTGTGGCTGCAGCTGAGTGAGCAAAGGGCAGAGGAGGAAAAAAAGGGGGCGGGAGGTGCTAGAGGAGGGGACAGATCACACAGGAATGCAGAGACCACACAAGGACTCAGGTATTCACTCTGAGCAAGATATTCATGCCGGCGGAGGGTCTGGGCAGAGGGGACCCATGTCTGGTTTCGTGTCTAACAGGACCGCACGTGCTGCTATGGGAAGAAGGGTGGAAGCAGAGAGACCAGACAGGCTGGTGTGTGGATTCCAGTGCATGAGGCCAGGGACTCAGACCAGTGTGGGGACAGGCATGGTGGAGGTTCTGGGTCAGCTTTAAAGGCAGCTCCAGGCCAGGTGCGGTGGCTCACGCCTTTCATCTCAGCACTTTGGGAAGCCGAGGAGGAAGGGTCACTTGAGTCCAGGAGTTCAAGAGCAGCCTGGGCAACAGAGTGAGACCCTATCTCTACAAAAGAAAATTAAAAATGAGTTGGATGTGGAGGTGTGTGCCTGTAGTCTCAGCTACTTGGGAGGCTGAGGCAGGAGGATCGCTTGAGCCGGGCAGGTTCAAGGCTGCAAGGAGCTATGATCGAACCACAGCACTCCAGCCCGGGTGACAGAGTGAGACCCTGTCTCTAAAAAAAAGAAAGTGAAATAAAGGCAGATCCAGCAGGATTTGCCCACGATAGAACACGGGGAAGTATGACTCCGATGTGTTCGGCAGGAGTTCCCGCAGGGATGGAGTTGCTATTGGCTGAGTCAGAAGCAGACCTGTGGGGCACAGGGAAAATCCAAAATTCTGGCTGAGTTTGTACTGGGCCTTTCCCATGAGCTGAAGACAGTGGATGGAGATTACACCCTTGGAGGGACCACTTCAGATGTCTACACAACCTTCGAAGTGAATCCAAACTCATCAGCAAAACCCTTGGATCACCACAGGGATTTTTATCCCAAATAGTGATATAGTTGGAATTACCTTGGGCGTAGAGGGAAGCGGTTGCAGGGAGAGGTAATGGGATTTGTTTAGGAGGCCAGAAATGTGAGCCTAAGTCCCTGGCTCCCTCCTCTCTGGCTCACTGCCACAGGCCAAGGCCTCACTGCAGCCTCCTGTCTCCATGCTGTCCCTCAGCCACCCCAACCCTGCACCTGCCTCCAGAGAGACCAGCCCCACACACCTCCGCCAAACCCCCCCCAAATGCTCCCACCGCCTGCCCTGCAGGACAAAAAGGCTCAATGACTGAGTTCGCTCTTCCAGGTCCTAGTGACTAGCTCCTGTCCACGTCTCCAGCCCCTTTGCCGCCCCTGCACTGCCACAGCTGCACCAAACCACCGTGCGGCGTCAGACCACCTGGTGCTCAAACTGAACCCAGGCCTTCACACACATTCCTTCCTCTCCATGGAAAATCCTTGCTCTCCTTCCTCTGTGCGTCTTTCAGGGTGCTGTTGTAAGCCTCATGCCGCCGTAGAATCCTCCCTGACCCCTATCCCACGTCCTGGCAGCCAGTCATCCCTCCTCTGATCTTCAATATCATGAATCACTCTGAACCATGATGTCTGTTTTCACACCTGTCTCCCCCACGTGCCTGGGAGCCCCTCCAGCTCACCCCACATGGCACCTGCAGACCAAATCTGGCCCTTAAGCTTATTTTGTTTGGCCTGGATGGAACTGGCCTCTACAGAGTGTTAAATTTTTATCAGTTGCCAACATTCCAGAATCATGAGAGTTCACATAAGAATCTAGACTCCCAGGCCAGGCGAGATGGCTCCCACCTATAATACCAGGACTTTAGGAAGCTGAGGCAGAAGGATTGCTTGAGGCCAGGAATTGGAGACCAGCAGGGCAAAAAAATTAAATCCTATCTCTATAAAAATTTTTAAATTAGCCAGGTGTGGTGGTGTGCCCCTGGCTCGTGTTTTTATACTCAACAAAATTTACCAGAAAAACTGTTGCTATTAATAATGAAATTCATACTTTTCAGGAAACATGAATCTGCCTTGAAGGGATGTGTCCCCAATGCATTTCATGTTTCCTTGGAGTCCGTGGCTACGGTCATTTGTTAGCTTCTGGGCTTCCTAAGTCACTTCCTGGTTTCTACACCTTCAAAACAGAGCTTGGGAAAACAGAACATCCCCAGCCTCCAGCCTCTCCTAATTATAGCAAGAGATTAGCCAATTTCCAATTATCAGGGAAGTTTTTTAAACATCGACTCCCAAGGTATGCAAGCCTAATGCCCACTTCACTCCCCTGGTTAACCCGTCACTCCGGGTTTCTGGGGAAAGCCAGCCTCACAGTGCTGGTATGCTTACCAGGCTGTTCGTGGTTCAGGGCCACTGTTCCCAGGGAAGGGAAGGCCCTCAAGCTCTGTGCAATCAAAGACATCCCAGGGGGTAGATTCTCCGGAGGTGAAAGGAACCAGCTTCATTAGAAAGTGATCAGCTGGGGCTACCTGTGTGTTCTTGGAAACTGTTGTAGCCCTTGTCTATTCAGGAAGTGTTTATCAGCCTCCTGCTCTGTGCTGGGCATTCAGTGAACAAGACAGGCCAGGTCTATGCCTTCATGGGGCTTACCTTCTAGAAGGGGAGACAACAATAAACAAGGGGCTGGGCGTGGTGGCTCACACCTGTCATCCTGACAATTTAGGCGGCCAAGACAGGTGGATGGCTTGAGCCCAGGAGTTCAAGATCATCGAGCAACACAGTGAGACCCCCGTCTCTACAAAATATACAAAAAAAGTTAGCCGGTTATGGTGGCACGTGCCTGTCATCCCAGCTACTCGGGAGGCTGAGGTGGAAGGCTCACTTGAGCCTGGGAGGTGGAGGTTGCAGTGAGCTATGATTGAGCCACTGCACTCCAGCTTGGATGACAAGGCGAGACCTTGTCTTTAATGATAATAATAATAAACAGGGAAGTGGGTGATAAATTCCCCAAATGCATAGATGGTAATCTGTGCAGGAGAACAAAGAAAAGATCTACTGGGGGACCCTCACTGATGAGGGATTGTTATATAATATATGCATGGACACTGAAACATTACACTGCACCCCAGAAATATGTAGCAATTATTATGTGTCAATTATAAAATTAAAAAGTAATTAATTTTTAGAGATAACTGGGAAGGTCTGAGTGTTAATCCTGGCTCTGCTGCATCTGGGCTGCGTGTTTTTGGATCTGTTCCCAATCTCTCGCTCAGAGCCTCAGTTTCCTCGTCTGTGAAATGAGGGCGGGAAAAGGACACCAATATGTGTGGAGTGTCTCAGCACAGGAACGCATTTCCACACATGGTCGCCCATCTCTCGTCATTCTCAATCCTCAAGGGGTTAGTCGTGTCCATTTTATAGATGAGGAAACTGACGCTGCTCAGAGAGGCTCCATCAATTGCACCAAGCCTACGTGACAGAAGCGTGGGGCACGTAGACAGAAGTGTCTTGGAGGGCTGACGGTTGGGGGGCACTCCTATCCCAGGGCCTTCAAGACCGGCCCAGGAGCTTTGATCTCACTCCGCCAGCCATGAGGATCCAGCGACGGCTGGAGCAGGCGCACGACGCTGCGTTTCTGGAAGGCGGCTCTGGGGACCCGCGGTCGGTTGGATGGGAGGTGAGGCATCGTGGGGATGTGTTAGGAGGCTCACGCATAGTCCATGCCAAGTACTGAAGTCTGCTCTGAGCCATGAGAAGGAACCTCACACTTGTTCCCCAGCTGCGTTCTCGAAGAATCAAGCCAAAACCCGCCACACAAGAGCTTTAGTACATCTGCCAGAAAATGCTCTCAGAGGCAGGGACACAGCAGCCCGCAAACTGGCCCTGACTCCAACACCCAGGACAGAAAGGAAATGCGTGACAGGTCACAGATAGGTTTGGGTGGGATAGAGCAGTAACAAATGAGATGAGGAAGAGTTACTCCTCAGGTCAGAGACTGCACACATTGATTTGGCACCGACTGTATACCATGCGCTTTAGCCAAAGGGATACAATTAAATCGACCCTTATGGAATTCTTACTAGATCTCAGCTGGAGAAACAGCTCAAGAAGTAGCAGGACAGTGGCCAGAGTCCAGGACCACCCGGGGTCCCCTCTACCTGTCGTGGGCCAGCTCTGTGTCATCTTCGGATAAATGCAGTGTTCAGGTTAAAGCCCCACCGCTCAAAATGAGCCTTGGGGGTCAGTGACTCCCTTCCGTATTCCCCACGCTCAATGGGATTTTTCTCGGTCCTCAGGGGCTGCAGATGGTTTATTTTACTCCATTCCTGAGGAGGGAGAACGAGGAAGGTTGGGGAGAAAGGAGACATTATAAGGTGTCTCCTGCACCAGCCCTTATGGGGCTGTTTTCCTAGAGTAGGTTTCAAAGCTGTTGTTTTGCTTCCCTCTGCTGCCTCCTAGGGGCCAAGAGTGGGACCGCCAGTCTTGATCCCCTGGACCAGTAAGAGCGTCCCCTCCACACTCATCCATCCACCACCAAGACACGAAAACTGCCCAGGTGAGGGACTTGGGATTTAATGAAACGACTAAGAGCAGAGATCTCCAACTGGGCAGGAACATTTATGAATTACACAATGATGCACTAACATATTACGAGCTGTACATAAAGCATAAAATATCCCTTATTCCAAAGAGCTTGGGACCAGATGTGTGTCAGATTTTGGACTTTTTCCGATTTCTAACTTCTTCAGATTTTGGAATATCCACTTTGTACTTACCAGTTAAGCATCCCAAATCCGGAAATCTGAAATATGTTGTTGTTGTTGTTGTTGTTTTGTTGTTGTTATTGTTTTGAGACAGAGTCTCACTCTGTCACCCAGGCTGGAGTGCAGTGGCTCAATCTCAGCTCACTGCAACCTCCGACCCCTGAGTTCAAGCGATTCTCCTGCCTCAGCCTCCCGAGTAGCTGGGACTATAGGCGAGTGCCACCATGCCTAGCTAATCTTTGTATTTTTGGCAGAGACGGGGTTTCACCATGTTGGCCAGGCTGGTGACAACTCCTGACCTCAAGGGATCTGCCCACCTCGGCCTCAAAATGCTCCAGTGAGCATTTCTGTTGAACATCATATCAGCACTCAAAATGTTTTGGATTTTGGAGCATTTTAGGTTTTGGCTTTTCAAATTTTGGATGCTCAACCTGTATAAAAACTAGGAATTCTTAACGGAGGACATGAAGATTAAATAAACACTACTTTGAAATATTTTTATTTTACTTGCTAACAGTAAAATTCACCTTTTGGCTTTCATTTGAGCATTCCAAATGTTCTTTTCCTGATAGCAATGCAATTGAATCTTTTTTATTTTTTGGAAAGCTTAGGTTTGGAAAGCACGGTACGTGCTGTGGTGACATGAGAATCTCGTTCTGTGGAGAGTGATGTCCATACTTGGTTTGAGTGGCTATTAGAGCTGCAAACGATACCTCACAAAGATTTGTAAATTCAAATGGAAGAAGTGCCATATGCTGTGCTTTCTAAATATTAATATCAATACTCGTATTTTAATCCCATTCACCAAATAGGGAACTATTTTTTGGTGAAATTGACTAGTACTGTATACATCCATCTTCCTGGATAGCCCTCATTTCATCTTGAAAAGAATTCAGAAAATTGGTATTTGCAGATTTGTAATAAATGGATTCAAAACTTCCTAAAAGTTTTCTTTTGAAAGATTTTGAAATTGGCTAGAATTTTCTGTTTCCCAGTTCTTCAAGTGTGCAGACGTGGGGAGGTTTTAAAAGGAAACACACTTTCTTTGCTTTTTGGCAATAAAAGCTGATAACAATGGAAACATTTCCAAACATCTGCTTTCAAAATGCTCTTTCCAAAACGTGAGTATCTCTCAAAAAGCACTCACATTCTCATTCATTGTTTAAAAATCACCTTCTCCTTGAAGGGGCGGATCCTGTGCTTTCTTTGGAGGGGGACAAGTAGCTGACAGTCACATGTCACCCGAAGAAGACATCAGTAAATGAAAGCATTTGTCTTATCATAAAAGAAAATAATGAAACTCATCTTCAGGCTCAACAGCTGTTTTGAGTCACCCTCATGGTCACCCCCCATCTCAAAACAAAGTGTCATTGAAGAATCTTCTAGGAAAGTCATATTTTTAGGAGTAATTTATAAATAATAATAATAAACAACAATAGAAAGTCCTGATTCTGGACCAGGCACAGTGACTCACGCCTGTAATCCCATCACTTTGGGAGGCCGAGGTGGGTGGATCACTTGAGGTCAGGAGCTCAAGACCAGACTGGGCAATATGGACAAACCCCATCTTCACAAAAAGTACAAAAAAAAGTTAGACAGGCATGGTGGTGCATGGTGGTCCCAGCTACTCAGGAGGCTGAGCTGAGAGAATCGCTGGAGCCCTGGAGGAGGAGGTTGCAGTGAGACGAGATTGTGCCACTGCACTCTAGCCTGGGCGATAGAGCCAGACCTTGTCTCAAAAGAAAAAAAAAATCCTGATTATGTGTTGGGCACTGTTGTAAGCAGACTCACGCACATTAACTCATTACATCTACAAGCAACCCTGTGAGGCAGGTATGATTCCAGTCTTCTTTGACAGATGAGGAAACAGAGGCACAGACACGGCGGAACTGGTAAAGTGTTTTCAGGACCTTATTGTGACTGTGACAGATGATACTGTCAAAGGGGAGACTGCTGATGGGACAGAGGGTACAGCATGGTGTATTAATCTGTTCTCACACGGCTAATAAAGACATACCCGAGACTGGGTAATTATATGGGAAAGAGGTTTAATGGACTCACAGTTCCACATGGCTGGGGAGGCCTCACAATCATGGTGGAAGGCAATGGAGGAGCAAAGTCACATCTTACATGGCAGCAGGCAAGAGGGTGTGTGCAGGGGAACTCCCCTTTATAAAACCATCAGCTCTCATGAGACTTATTCACCACCATGAGAACAGTATGAGGAAACCGCCTCCAGGACTCAATTATCTCCACCTGGCCCCGCCCTTGAAATGTGGGGATTATTACAATTCAAGGTGAGATTTGGGTGGGGACACAGCAAAACCATATCGCATGGGGACCCTAAAACTTGGGAACCAGAGCTTTCCCTACCCCCAGAAGACACTGTGAGTTCTCGCAAATTTGGGTCCAGGACTGTGGTTGTGGCACAGGCCACAAAAGATACACCCAAGTCCCGGGCTATCACAGAAGGTGAGGGGCCCAGAGCTCAGTGGAAAAGGGTGAATTCTTGCTTTCACTGAGCACAGCCTTATCTTCCCTGGGTTTATGATGAAGACTTATCTTCTGAGAACCTTGTCCTTACCACACAGATGATCTGTTAACCAGCATCGGTGTTCACACACACACACACAAACACATGTGCACGCACCTGCCTGACACTTCTTTTATTGATTCAAACTCCTAAGTAAAGCAAAGAGAAAGACAACGTATTCAACATCAAGTGCCATAGTGTACTCAGTGCCTTACACACGTAACTTCATTTAGTCTTTGCAACTGCCCTGTAAGGCAGGTGCTCTTCTGTCCCCATTTTATAGATGAGAAAACTGAGGCTGAAAGAGAAACAACCTGCCCAAGGTCTAGCGGTCAACCCCAGGTGTGGCCCACCAATCTCAGGAGTCCAGAAAGCCTTAACTGAGCAGCGATCACCTCCAGAAGGGGCCTCCCCAGAAGCCCCCTTGAGCGGTCACACCCATTCTGTGTACTGGGAGGTTTTCATGGTTTTTTGTTTGTTTGTTGTTTTTTGTTTTGAGACGTAGTCTCGCTCTGTCACCCAGGCTGGAGTGCAGTGGCATGATCTTGGCTCACTGCAACCTCCACCTCCCAGTTTCAAGCTATTCTCCTGCCGCAGCCTCCCAAGTAGCTGGGACTACAGTCACGCCCCACCATGCCTGGCTAATTTTTGTATTTTTAGCAGAGTCGGGGTTTCACCATGTTGGCCAGGCTAGTCTTGAACTCCTGACCTCGTGATCTGCCTGCCTCAGCCTTCCAAAGTGCTGGGATTACAGGTGTAAGCCACCGCACCCAGCTTGGTTTAGTTTTTTGAGACAGGGTCTTGCTCTGTCACTCAGGCTGGAGGGCAGTGGTGCAATCATAGATCACTGCAGCCTCCAGTTCCTAGGCTCATGTAATCCTCCCACCTCAGCCTCTGGAGTAGTTGGGACTACAGGTGTACACCACCGCACTAGGCTACTTTTTAAATATTTCTTGTAGAGACAGGGTCTCACTATGTTGCCCAGGCTGGTCTCAAACTCCTGGCCTCAAGCGATCCTCTCACCTCGGTCTCCCAAAGTGCTGGGATGACAGGCATGAGCCACTGCGCCCAGCCTGTACTGCAAGTTTTTGACCACAAAAGAAATTTATTACATTAGAAGAGTTTTGTTAAAAGAGGCGAAGTCAGGGAAGCATGGAGACAAAGAAACAGGAGGAGGAGGAGGCAGCCCACTCCTGTCTCCCCGAGAGTGAGGCAAGCCCAGCCACCAGCTGAGGCACAGCCCAGTGCAAGGGGGGATCCTCCCTGCGCTAAGGATATCAGAAGAACGCCCGTCTCCTGAGCAGCACTCTGGAGGGAGCTGACCTAGGAAGGGGCTTGGCTGGGGCTTGCACAGGACAGGGCGGATCTGAGCAGGAAATCAAAAGGATTGTACTATGTCTCCAAGCTCAGGAGAGTCCTGGATGCGACCAGCTCATTGCACCTCACTCTAAAACGGTCAGAATCGATGAGGTGAGGCACTGGGTGGTTGTGACTCAGGGAGGCCTCTTCTGTCTACCTGGGAGTGTGGCTGTGCAGTGGGGAGACCTCAGCCCTGGGAGGAGGAGGAACGTGTCTTCCTGGAGGCTTTGGAGAAGTCAGTGGGGTTTTCTAGCTTTGTTTTTGTTTGTTTTTTTTTTTTTGAGATAGGGTCTTTCTCTGTTACCCAGGCTGCAGTGCAGTGACATGATTATAGCTCACTGCAGCCTCCACCTCCTGGACTCAAGTGATCCTCCCGCCTCGGCCTCCCAAGTAGCTGGGACCATTTACCCCACTGACTCTGTGGTCTTTCCACCTCAGCTGTTTGTTCCAGCTCCAATGCTCCCAGGGTGGTTGGGAGAGAGATTGGGCACCACCACTGAGATGCATGGTTACTCCCAGTCACGTCGCTGGCCCCAGGTCTGTGTCCCTTCCTGTGTCTGGCTGCCCTTTGCCAAGTGATTTTGCAAGAGCCCTTCCACGGTGAGCAGGGCCTGGGTCCCTGCCTCTGCACTCCAGCCATTGCCATGTGACTTGCTTTGCCAATCATATGAGGCTGCTGGGCCATAAGAACACACCTCGGCCATCCCACTAGCCCCAGGACAAGGATGACCTTGATGAATTCCTTCCCACCTGACCCCTAGTCACATGGCTGAGCCCAGCCAAGACCAGCAGAGCTTCCCTGCCAAGTCCAGCCCAGGTCAGTCAACCAATCAACCCACTATGAGAATAAATGAGTGTCGCTTTAGGGTGACGTGTGGGGTCATTTGTTAGGAAGCATTTCTGTAGCAAAAGCTAACTGATACAGTGGGCATCTGTGTTCCAGTTATTTCTCTCACGAGCCCTCTCCCTGCCCACCTGTGCACGGCACAGTCCTAATGGGGGTAAGAAGCAGGTGGGGATTACGGTGGACCCAGGCATCCAGCTCAGCCAGGCCAGGATGCCAGCAAGATGGGAAGAAGTGAGCTGGAGACATCTCCCATTAGAACCCCCAAAGCTTCTCTGAAAACAAAGTGTATGGGATCAAGAGAGCTGAAAAGGAATGAGGAGCTGAAATGTGCCAGGCGCAGTGGCTCATCCCTGTAATCCCAGCACTGTGGGAGGCCGAGGCAGGAAGATCGCTTGAGCCCAGGAGTTCGAGACCAGCCTGGGCAACACAGCAAGACACCATCTCTTAAAAAAAAAAAAAAAAAAAAAAAAGAAGACAAAACAAAAGGAGCAGAAGTGGCCAAATGTGTCCACTGTGTTAAAGAGACTTTAACAAAAGATACGCTATGTGATGGGGAAGGGGGAAGAAAGAGCTGAGGCTCACAGAAACATCTGGCTGCACTGTGAGCTTGGGAACTTCTTCGGTAAATAGCATCACAGAGCCGGGTGTGGTGGCACGAGCCCGTAGTCCCAGCTACTCAGGAGGCTGACATGGAAGGATCACTTGAGCCCAGGAGTTCCAGGCCAGCCTGGACAATGTAGCAAAACCCCATCTCTACAAAAGTAAAAATAAAAATAGCCAGGCGTGGTGGCACACGACTGTAGTCCCAGCTGCTTGGGAGGCTAAGGTAGGAGGATCACTTAAGTCTGGGAGGTCGAGGCTGAAGTGAGCTATGATGGGGCCACCGCACTCCAGCCTAGATGACAGAGCAAGACCCTGTCACAAAAAAAAAGAAAGAAAGAAAATGAAAATCTATAAATACATTCCTGCATATGCTCATGCCACACCTTGGAGAGAGATGTGTCGTTCAGGGCTGGCTGAAGCCACCTAAAGGGCAGTCATTTGTTTATGTAACTGAAAAGCTCAGGGAGAGATCTTGCTGGAGGTATGGCTGAATCTAGCATCTCAAAGCTGTCAAAGACCTGGGTCCTCTCTGGCCTCCTGGTTTACTTTCTTCAGTGTTAACTTCATCCCTTTGTCCTCTGGCTCCACATGGAGGTCCCACGCGGCACAAAACAGCCGCCTGGATTCCTGACCTCACATCCTCACAGCACCTCATCTCTTTCTCAGATGGTGGAGAAGCAAACGGTTCCTGGCGTCTCGCTGTGGACAGGGAGAATGAGGTGCTCTGACCACACAACAGTGACATCCATTTCTTTACACCAGTCAGGACCCACGCCTGGAGCTGGGTGAGGGGTCATTCCCACCCAAATGTCACAGCTAAGAATGCAAAAGAGATGGCTATAACAATTGTCCATTGCTACATAACAAACTTCTAAAACCTAGGGGCTTAAAGCGACCATTACGATTCCTCCTGCTTCTTCTGTGGGCTGGAATGTAAGCAGTCCTGCTCCTCTGTCCTGGGGTCATTCACGTGCTGCAGTCTCCCCATGCTCGGCTGGGGCTGTGGGGTGACAATGATGACCTCACCTGTGGATCTGGCAACTGGTACCAGCCGCTGGTCAGGGTGCCTCAGTTCTCCCCACAGAAGCCCTCGCCCTCCAGTAAGTTGGGCAGGGCTTCTTTTTTGTTCATTTGTTTGTTTTGTTTTTGTTTCTGAGATGGAGTCTCACTCTGTTGCCCAGGCTGGAGTGCAATGGCACGATCTCGGTTTACTGCAACCTGCACCTACCAGGTTCAAGCAATTCTCCTGCCTCAGCCTCCCAAATAGCTGGGATTACAGGCACCCACCATCATGCCCGGCTAATTTTTGTATTTTTAGTAGAGACGGGGTTTCACCATATTGGCCAGGCTGCTCTTGAACTCCTGACCTCAGGTGATCCACCTGCCTCGGCCTCCCAAAGTACTGGGATTACAGGCATGAGCCACCGCGCACAGCCTAAGGGCTTCCTTTTTGCGCAGCAGTGCTGGGGTCTAAGGAGGCAAAAGTGGAGCCTGGTGCAGTGCCTCACGCCTGTAATCCCAGCATTTTGGGAGGCTGAGGTGGGAGAATCGCTTAAGCCCGGGAGGTCAGAACCAGCCTGGGCAACCTAAGGAGACCCTGTCTCAGCAACAATAACAACAACAACAACAAAATTAGCCAGGCATGGTGGCGAGCGCCTGTAGTCCCAGCTACTTGAAAGGCTGAGGTGGGAGGATTGCTTGAGCCTGGGAAGTAGAGGCTGCAGTGAGCCGTGATCACACCGCTGCACTCAGCCTAGGCAACAGAGCGAGACTCTGTCTCAATCAATCAATCAATCAATAAAAATAAGGAGGCAAAAGTGGAAGCTGCAAGGCCTCCCCAGCTGCCTCATGGGCACTCACATGCAATCACATCCGCCACACTCTACTGGGCAGAGCCAATTAGGCCAGATTTAGGAGAGGAGAAAATAGACCCCACCTCTTGATGAGACAAGCATTTGCAAAGGGCTGGTGAGATGGGAGGGAGAGCTGTGGTTGACTCTGCAAACAACCTGCTACCGTGGATGACCAGGGCAGAGCTGAACAGCCAGAATGACCAGTGACCACCAGAAGAGAGCAGGAGGAGGCAGCAGCGGGAGGCCTTCCCCGAGGGGGCACCTTCTGCCCACAGACCCCCTGGCAAATCTCAGCCAGCGATGCCCCCAGACAGCGTTTGTGTCAAACCCAGGAGTGCCCCTGGGACCAATACTCCGAGGCAATCTTTGATTTCAGGGCAGGAGGGGCTGGGATTATGTACCTCCCGTGCTAAATTGAGTCATGAAACTTTTATTAAGGGATATAGTTTGTCAACGCCAAGAAAACAAGGCAATTCTGGGCAGGCTCATTAAGAGCAAACCCTTCTTCACCAGCACGGCCGCCGATTCTGATGGAATTGTGAAATGAGAGGGGCAGACAGAGGGATTTGCAGAGTGGGCTGGCTGGGCCACTGCGTGCATGCAGAGTGCTTTCCAAGGCCCTTAAGAATGCAGGCATGGGCGGGGTGCGGTGGCTCACACCTGTAATCCCAGCACTTTGGGAGGCCGAGGCGAGCGGATCACTTGAGGTCAGGAGTCCGAGGCCAGCCTGGCCAATAAGGCAAAACCCTGTCTCTACTAAAAATACAAAAATTAGCTGGGCGTGGTGGTGGGCGCCTGTAATCCCAGCTACTCAGGAGGCTGACGCAGGGGAATTGCTTGAATCCAGGAGGCAGAGGTTGTAGTGACTTGAGATGGCGCCACTGCACTCCAGCCTGGGCAACAGAGGGAGACTCTGGCTCAAAAAAAAAAAAAAAAAGAATGCAGGCATGGCAGCAACATCACTTCCCAAAGTTTCTTCACAAAAAAAGCCACATTTTTCGAAAACACGAGTGACAGCCACTTCCATCAGACATGGGTGTATGCACCCACCCACTTCTCTATCAACCAAGAAGGAAGGTCCCGCATGGCTTTGTCCCTCCAAGAACCTGGATATGCCCTTCCTAGCACCCCTGTGACTGAAGGTGACAGGGAACACCAGCCCTTTGTGCTGGTAGCCAGCAAGGTCTACCAGACGGCATGGCTTGGCTGGGCAGGGCTGGACCAGATGGTTGGGTAAGTGGGGGTGGAGTAGCGGTGGGGTGGGAGAGACATGGTCTAGCAGCCAGATGGTTAAAACCAATTTATTTCCTGGGTGCAGGGTGTGGGGTGTTGGATATGGAAGGGAGTCCTGAGGTGTATAGTAGTGATCAAATCACAACCATAATCGTAACAATCATAATATTGCCACTGTTCTCAAATAAAGGAGCAAGTTGTAATGTTAATATCTTCTTCAGGCCGGGCACGGTGGCTCACACCTGTAATCCCAGCACTTTGGGAGGCCGAGGTGGGTGGATCACTTGAGGTCAAGCATTTGAGATCAGCCTGGCCAACATGGCGAAACCTTGTCTCTACTAAAAATACAAAAATTAGCTGGGTGTGGTGGCACGCGCCTGTAATCCCAGCTACTCCAGAGGCTGAAGCTCAAGAATCACTTGAACCCGGGAGTAGGAGGTTGCAGTGAGCCAAGATCGCGCCATTGCACTCCAGCCTGGGAGACAGAGTAAGACTCCATCTCAAAAAAAAAAAAAAACTTATTTAGTAGTACTACGCCATACGAATTATAATATGGTGACCATATCCATTTTCTGAACACCACAGTTTTCAAAAAAGCTAGCGAGTAGTAGTTTTGTTTTTTTATAAAGACAGGGTCTCACTCTTACAAAGCCCAGCCCAAGCTAGAGTGCAGTGGTGTAATCACAGCTCACTGCAGCCTCAACCTCCCGGGATCAAGTGATCCTCCCGAGCCTCAGTCTCCCAAGTAGCTGGGACTACAGGCGTCCACCACCAAGCCCAGCTAATTTTTTTATGTTTTGCAGAGACAAGGTCCCGCTATGTTTCCCTGGCTGGTCTCAAACTCCTGGGCTCAAGTGATCCTTCCACCTCGGCCTCCCAAAGTGCTGGGATTATAGGCATGAGTCCCCAAGCCTGGCTGATAGTAGCAGTTTCTGAATCTTGTCTGGGGCCCAAATCTGGCTGAAGAGAGACCCTCTGATCCTCTCCCCCTTCACTCAGTGAATGAGGTCACAAAGAGCCACCACCTGGAAGGCAGCTGTGAGGTCACCCACACCCAGTTTGGCATCTCTGAGCTGTGTGCTGTTGGTAAGGTAACCTAGCCTCTCGGAGCTCTCTGTAAGAAGGCATTCCAATATCCACTCAACATGCAGAAAACTCCTGGCATGACTTTGTATTATTATTATTTGAGCCAAGATTTTAAATCAGGAGATTTCATACAAACAACTGAATTCTGCAGCTTCTCAAGAACAATCTAGAAATCTGCTGGCATGGAGCCTGCATTCCCACCTGGCAGGATTGGCTGAAACTGAATAATTGCCTTTTTTTTTTTTTTTTTTAGACAGCATCCTGCTCTTTCACCAAGGCTGGAGTCCAGTGGTGTCATCACAGCTCACTGCAGCCTCAACCTCCTGGGCTCAAGCGATCCTCCTGCCTCAGCCTCCCGAGTGGCTGGAATGGCAGATACTTGTTACTGTGCCCAGCTAATTAAAAAAATAATTTTTATTTTATTTACTTTTTTTTTTTTAAGAAATGGGGTCTCACTACATCACCCAAGCTGGTCTTGAACTCCTGGCTTAATGATCCTCCCACTTCAGCCTCCCAAAATGCTGGGATAACCAGCATGGGCCACAGTGCCAAGACTGAGTAACTGCTTTAAATAGGAGGCGGTCTCCCCTCTTTGCCAGAGCCCCCATCATGCCCTGTTGTCTTACATCAGACCTCCTTTGCTTATCTGCATTCCTGGCCTAATCCTAGAAGTCACTGGAGTTTTCCAGCCCTGGGTTAGGGTTTCAGCTCCAATGTGCTCTAGATCTCCACCCAGACCCCAATCCCAGGACCCATCCTCACTGAGCCTACAGCTGAACACATGCAGTGTGGTCAGGAAGTGGCCAGTGCCTTCCCGTGTCTCCTCTGTCACTTCAGCACCATGGCGTCGACCAGCACTGAAGGCCTGGGAACAACCTCCCCAGCCAGGCACCTGGGTGACCTCTTGGCCCTGCCCTCTGTCGCTGAAGATCTTGGGGTGAGACAGCTGCCTCCAGCAGTTTACACCAACCCTACTTTAATTCTCAGGGATTTTTGTTGCAAGGGGCTTCATCACAGTCTCTGGGCTACTTGACCGGAGCATCCAGCTGTCACCTCTAATGTCCCTTCAATCCTTCAACAAATACGGAGCATCTGCTAGACCAGGCAGCAAACTATAGCCCCCGGGCCAAACCCCACCACCACCTGCCTTTGTCTGACCTACACGCTAAGAATGAGTTTTACATTTTTAAATGGTTGAAAAAAGTCAAAATAAGAATCACATTGGCCGGGTGAGGTGGCTCACGCCTGTAATCCCAGCACTTTGGAAGGCCAAGGTGGGCAGATCACTTGAGGTCAGGAGTTCAAGACCAGCCTGGCCAACATGGTGAAACTCCGTCTCTACAAAAAAAATACCAAAATTAGCAAGGCATGGTGGAGCCCCACCCTGTAGTCTCAGCTACTCAGGAGGCTGAGGCAGGAGAATCCCTTGAACCCAGGAGGCAAAGGTTGCAGTGAGCGGAGATCACCCCACTGCACTTTAGCCTGGGGGACAGAGCGAAACTGTCTCAAAAAAATAAATAAATCAAAAGAATCATATGTATTGACACATGAAAATTATATGAAATTGAAATTTTGGTGTCCATAAATAAAGTTTTTGTTTTGTTTTGTTTTGTTTTTTGAGACGCAGTCTGGTTGTGTCGCCCAGGCTGTAGTGCAGTGGCTCGATCTCGGCTCACTGCAAGCTCTGCCTCCTGGGTTCACGCCATTCTTCTGCCTCAGCCTACCGAGTAGCTGGGACTACAGGCACCTGCCACCACGCCCGGCTAATATTTTGTATTTTTAATAGAGACGGAGTTTCGCCGTGTTAGCAAGGATGGTGGTCTCCATCTCCTGACCTCGTGATCCACCCGCCTCGGCCTCCCAAAGTGCTGGGATTACAGGCATGAGCCACCGCGCCCGGCCCATAAATAAGGTTTTATCGGAACACAGCCACACCCATTTGTTAGTGTTCTCCGTGGCTGCAGTTCATGCTCCGGTGGCAGAGTTGAGCATTCGAGACAGAGACAACGGCCTGCAAAGCCTCAGATATTTTCTATCTGTCTCTTTTCAGAGAATGTTCGCTGCTGCCGGCTCTGCTACATTCCAGTCCCTGCCTGGGTGTTGGCCACACAGGGGTGGATTAGTTTCCTAGGCCTGCCGAAACAGATTACCGTAAGCACAGTGACTTAGAACAAGAGTTCATCTGCTCACAGTTCTGAAGGCCTGAAGTCAGAAACCAAGGGGCTGCCAGGGCCACCTCCCTCCGGAGGCTCCAGGCAAGAATCTGTCCCTGCGTCTCCCAGCTCTGGGGGCCAAGGGCATCCCTCCTGGCGGCATCCTCCAGTCCCTGCCTCGCCTCCTCCTCGAGGTGCCTCTCCTCTGTGTGTCCCTTAGGACACTTGTCACAGGATTTAGGGCCCAATGGATAGGACACTTTTTCAAAATAAGGTCACATCCACAGGTTCTGGGATGTGGATGTATCTTTTGGGGCAGGGCACTCTGTAAAGTGGTTTCTTGCCTTCTAGAAGCTTCTTTTGTAATCTTTTATTTATTTTGAGATTTATTTATTTTTGAGACAGGATCTTGCTCTGTCACCCAGGCTGGAGTGCAGCAGTGCAATCCTAGCTCTCTGCAGCCTCAAACTCCTGGGCTCAAGTGATCCTCCCACCTCAGCCTCCCAGGGAGGTGGGACTACAGTTACACACCACCACTTCCCGGCTAATTTTTAATTTTTTTTTTTTTTTTGAGACGGAGTTTCACTCTTGTCTCTCAGGCTGGAGTGCAGTGGTGTGATCTTGGCTCACTGCAACCTCCGTCTCCCAGGTTCAAGCGATTCACCTGCCTCAGCCTCCCAAGTAGCTCGGATTACAGGTACCCACCACCACACCCAACTAGTTTTTTGTATTTTTTTTTTTTTAAGTAGAGACAGGGTTTCGCCATGTTGGGCAGGCTGGTCTCGAACTCCTGACCTCATGGCAGGCTGGTCTCGAACTCCTGACCTCAAGTGGTCTGCCCACCTCTGCCCCCCTAAGTGCTGAGATTCCAGGCGTGAGCCACCGAGCCCAGCCACTTCCAATCTTTTGAAGGGATACTTATGATAACCCCTCCAATCAAAAAAATACATAGCAAGTCCAGTGTTGATAAGCATCATGAAGAAAATCAGAGCTGCGCCAGGAGAATGGAGAAGGGAAAGGGGGGCTGCTGTGTGCATTTTATTTTGTGGACACCCAAGGGAGGTGAGGCTGTGAGCCCTGCAGGGGAATGAGGGAGCCATGGGACATTAGGGGAGGCGGCAGCAGGTGCAGAGACCCCAGGTGGAAGAGTGTGTTCCCGTATGAGGAGCAGCAAAGAGACCCGGGTGGCTGGAGGCGGGTGAGCGAGAGGGAGAAGTTATGGGTGCCATAGGTTAAAGGGCTCTTGGGTGCTGTAGGTTAAAGGGCTAGGATTCCAAGTCAGTCACCACATAAGAAGAAGCGCCGATTCTTACTAGGGTTTTGTTTTTTGTTTTTTTAATGTACCCATTAAATTAAATGAGTCGTTAATGTCAAGTGGACAATCTCATTTAATTCCTTCAACAATTCTAACTTGAGGGACCAGGCGTGGTGGCTCACACCTGTAATCCCAACACTTTGGGAGACCAAGGCAGACGGATTGCTTGAGGCCGGGAGTTCCAGACCAGCCTGGGCAACATAGCGAGACCCCATCTCTACAAAAAGGAAATTAGCCAGGCCTGGTGGTGCACACCTATAGTCCCAGCTGCTCAGGAGGCTGAGGCAGGAGGATCACCTGAGCTTAGGAGGTTGAGGCTGCAGTGAGCTATAATCTCGCCACTGCACTCCAGCCTGAGCAACAGTGTGAGATTCTATCTCTAGAAAAAAGAGAAAAGAACCCTAACTTGAAACTGCTATGATTAACTTCCTTTAGAAAAAGGAGGTATGGGATATTGTAAGAGATCTTTCTTATTGTGATATAAAATAAGAAATACATAGTCTCTGCTGTGGGTTCTTAAGTAAAACCCTTGTAGACAGGGGGTTAAGGGGACTCTTTTGTTCTAATATTTGGGGGGTTTTTTGTTGATTGGTTTCGAGACAGCGTCTTGCTCTGTCACTCAGGCTGGGATGCAGTGGTGTGAACATGGCTCACTGCAGCCTCAAACTCCTGGGCTCAAGTGATCCTCCCGCCTCAGCCTCTCGAGTAGCTGGGACTACAGGCACATGCACAACTATGCCTGGCTTATTTTATTAAAGACGGGGTTTTGCTAAGTTGCCCAGGCTGGTCTGAAACTCCTGGGTTCAAGCGATTCTCCCATCTCGGCCTCCCAAGTAGCTGGGATTACAGGCGTGAGCCACTGCGCCCAGCCTAATATTCAGTCTTTGACCCTGGTTTTTGACCCAGAACTCCTAAATCCCTTGGAATGCGTCAGCAATAGGAGCACCTTTTGTTATAACGAGGGGACTCGGACTCTTTGTGGGTCCCCAGATAGCCTCAGGATGGAGGGCTGGTTGCCAGGAGAACCAACCACATGATTAGAGAGTTGGACCTCCGGGGAGGGGAGAGGGGCTGAAGGTGAGGTTGATGACCCATGTCCAGTGATGTAACCAATCATACCTATGTAATGAAGTCTCCACAAAAACCCAAAAGGTCAGGGTTTGGAAGGGCTTCCTGGTTGCTGAACACGTGGAGGTTCCCAGAGGTAGGCGTCCCCGGAGAGCGCATGGCATGCGCTCCCACTGGCATGCCCAGCCCTGCACACCCCCTTCCACCTGGCTGTTCACCTACAGCCTTTGTCATATCCCTTAAAACAAATGGCTAAAGTGTCTCCCTGAGTTCTGTGAGCTGCTCTAGATCTATGAAATCTGAGGAGGGAGTTGTGGGAACCTGTTGATTTACAGCCCATTGGTCAGAAGTGCAGGTAAAACAACCTGGGGTTGCAATTGGCATCGGAAGTCGGGGGCAGTCTCATAGGACTGAGCCCTCATTCTGTGGGATCTGATGCTAACTTCGGGTAGACAGTGTCAGAATTGAATTGAACTAGAGGATGCCCAGCGTGTCCACTGGAGAACTGCTTGCTGATAAGGAGAAATCCCCACACATTTTAGACACATTCTGTGTTGAGTGTGAGAGAGAAAAACGTTTGGTTTTTCCTTCAGAAGGTTATTTATGGCCAGACAAGGTGGCTCACGCCTGTAATCTCAGCACTTTGGGAGGCTGAGGCAGAAGGATCGCTTGAGGCCAGGAGTTTGAGACCAGCCTGGGCAACATAGCAAGACCCCATCTCTACAAAAAATTAGCCAGGCATGATGGTACACATGTGTAGCTCCAGTTACTTTGGGGGGCTAAGCGAGGAGGACTGCCTGAGCCCAGGAGGTTGAGACTGCAGTGAGCTACAATTGTGCCACTGCACTCCAGCCTGGGCAACAGAGTCAGACTCTGTCTAAAAACAAAAACAAAACAAAACAAAAAAGGAGGTTCTTTATAACTACTATTTTCATAAAAATATCAAAATACTTACCATGATTTTGATTAGGACACTGAGATGACTTGCACTGGGTCACTTAGGGAGTAGGGCACAGTGCCGGGATCCCAGCCCAGGGCCCCCACCCTCACTGCCTCTACCCAGAGCTTGCAGAAGGGGCTTTCTTGAAACAGAAAGAAGAAAAAGGGAGGACAGTTGGGAGGAACAGAAACGCAGCCTAGTCCAGATGGAATAGCAAGTGACGTTTCTGCAACAGCAGAAGGCTTTGGAGGAGCTCGGAGGGACCGGCGGATGGTCCTGTTTTCACATTCAAGGAGGGTCATTGATCCCACAAAACAGTCTCCACCACCAGAGGTGCCATGGAAGATGGGTAGATCTGCTGTGTACGACCCACAGCCGGCCGGCCGCATTGGCACATAGCCTCTGAGCCACTGCCCGTGTGCTGTTCCCTGCGTGGCCCAGAGGGGCTGGCAGGCACTTAGGCCACCTGAGTCTGGAGGAGAGGCATGGAAGCCCCAGCGTGTGCTGCTGCAGGGAAGGGCGGAGTCCCCTTCCAAACAGGGGAGGCCGGGCAGCTGGGCCGCACCAGGGGGCTGGGGAGGACAGCTTTGTACTGCTGTTGTTTTCAATTATCACTTAAAATTCATATCAAAATAATCCACACAGATATTTAAATAATGAAATAGGTTGGCTCTTTCCGGCCTATTTCCAAGATGACTCCCATTTTACAGATGAGGAAACCGAGGTTCAGAGATGGTCACTGACCATGGCCGTAGGTCATAAGTCATGAGTTCAAGATGTGTCCGGCGTCAGACTTTTTTTTTTTTTTTTGAGAGATGGGGTCTCACTGTGTTACCCAGGCTGGTCTTGAACTCCTGACCTCAAGTGATCCTTCTGCCTCAGCCTCCCTAAGTGCTGGGATTACAGGTGTGAGCCACTGCACCTGGCTGCTACTCTCTTTTCAAAGGCCATAGCCTCCCCAGAGTTATCTGGAAGGGCAGCAGGAGCTGGGCCCCCAGGGGGTGGTTGTGGGTGGAAAGAAAAGCCCCGCAAGCCCCCAGTGGGAGGATGGGAGGGAGGCGCTGAGATTTGCCCAGGCCAGGGCAGCAGGGGCAAGGTCACCTGGCAAGGGGACAAAGTCTGGTTCCAGAAAGCTGAGGCTGAGAGCCCTGGGACACCCAGGCCTGCCCCAGGCAACAGAGCACACAGGCAGGGGGTGGGCGCAGCAGGTGGCTACAGCCGCAGCCTGGTCCCTCGGCCCACTCAGCCCAGACTGGGAGGACTGGGAAGGCAGGGGCTGCCCTGCTCAGCCCCTCCCTGACAAAGCTGCCCCACACCAACCAGGTGCCTCCAATCCCAGCCCCCAGGCAGCCTTGGGTGCCTGCACTCTGGGGTCGACCGCAGAGGGGCACCAGGAGTCAGCAGACCCCTCAAAGCACTCCCTAAACCCAGGACGCCTTTGCAGGCCTTGCCTTCCACGGCACCAGCAGCCTCAAGGCCAAAGGCCACGCACTCTAACTTCCTACCCTGCCAACAGGGAAGGTGGGGGCTTCAGGCGCCAATGACAGCTTTCATTCATATTTCACCCTATATGATGTCCTGATGGTGTCCTGATGAGAGCTGCAAAGACCAGGTGTCACAGAGGCTGGGGGTGTGGCCTGCAGACATGCTTGGCCTCAGATGCAGGATGAGGGCCACGTTGGATATTCAGTCCTGGGGAAGCCAGGCCCATCTGAGAGTGGCCTTCGGATCTGAGGACTAAAGTCCAAAACAAGGGCTGGAGATCCCTCCCCCAACCCCACAGACACATAAGCTGCCTCCTCTGAAGCCCCCTTGGAAAAAGGAGAAGGGATGCGGGGGAAGGGAGACCTCTTGAGATGAGACAGTTTCCTTGGAGAGCTTGACTAAGCCACCATGGACAGCTACACAGGTTGTTCACTGTTCAAGGAGGCCTGGCTGAGAAGGGCGAGGGCACCTGAAATCTTGACCCCCACCTGGTGCAGAGCTGCCCTGGCTGCCTAGAGGAAGAGGCACCTTTTGAAATTTGCACAGAGCCTGTCTGAAGTTTGAACTTTAACTGAATATTTTATCCAGAGACGCTGTCTTAAATCTGGAGAGAATAAGTTCTACTTAGCCAGCAAATTTCTTTTTAAATTTATTTTTCCTGCCATCAGTTTTCCAGAGCAAAATGAGATGAGTTATAGAAACAGGCCGGGCGCGGTGGCTCATGCCTGTAATCCCAGCACTTTGGGAGGCCGAGGTGGGCGATCACCTGAGGTCAGGAGTTTGAGACCAGCCTGGCCAACATGGGGAAACTCCCTCTCTACTAAAAATACAAAAGTTAGCTGGGCATGGTGGCAGGTGCCTGTAATCCCAGCTACTCAGGAGGCTGAGGCAGGAGAATCATTTGAACCCGGGAGGCGGAGGTTGGAGTAGGCCGAGATCGTGCCACTGCACTCCAGCCTGGGCAACAGAGCGAGACTCCATCTCAAAAAAAAAAAAAAAAAGGAAGAAAGAAAAAGAAAAAAGAAACATGCATTTTGCGTGCATCTGAGTCAGGTGAGAGCATAGAGTGCATTTCATCAATCACCTTACACACCCCACACACACACACTCACACACACACCACACACCCCCACACACAACCCCCCCACACACACATACACACCACACACACACCCCACACCCCGCACACACACACCACACACCCCCACACACACCCCACACACACACCACACACACACCACACACACCCCACACCCCCCACACACCCCCACACACACCCCACACCCCACACACTACACACACCCCACACACACCCCCACACACACCCCACACACACCCCACACACCCCACACCCCCACACCCCCCCACACACCCCCCACACACCACACACACACCACACACACTACACACCCCACACACACCCCCACACACACCCCACACACACACACCACACAACCACACACAAACCACACACCCCCACATACACACCACACACCCCACACACACCACACACCCACACACCCCCACACACATACACACACCACACACCCCCCACACACATACACCACACACCCACACACCACACACACCCCCACACACACCACACCACACAACCACACATACACTACACACACCACACACACCCCACACACACACCACACCCCTCACACCACACCCACACACATACACCACACACCCCCACACATACCACACACACACACCCCACACACATACACCACACACACCCCTCACACATACACACACCCCACACACATACACACCACACACCCCACATACACATACACCACACACACACCCATACACACCACACTCCCACACATACACACCACACACACGCCACACACACCACACACATACACACCAGACATCCACACACACACCACACATCACACACCACATATACACACTACACACACCCCACATACACCACACACACCCCTCACACCACACACCCATACACCACACACCCCCGCACACACACACCACACACACACCCCACATACACACCCCACATACACCCCTCACACACACACACAAACACACACACGCCCCACACACATGCCCCCCACACACCACACACATGCCCCACACACATACACACCACACACACACCCCACACACACCACACACCCCTCACACCACATACCACACCACACACCCCTCACACCATACACACACATATACACACACCCCACAAACACCCCACACCACACACACTACACACTCATGCACACACACATACACATGTGCACATACCCACATGCATGCACATGCATACAAACCACATACACACACACACACACACACACGAATTATATTCAAGTAAAAAGCACCTGGCCCTAGCTGATCCTCCCTTTCCTTCCTAAAAGGCAGAACCGTGCCTCATGCCTAGTTCTGGATCCGGTACCTGTCACACCTCTGGATACGTCTGGTGATGACTGAAAGAACGAGTGACGCACAAGAGATGTGTCCCAGAGCTAAGGGTGGGAGTTGAGGGTGGGAGTGTGAAGTCAGATGCTTTGCCATCTCCAAAGGGAAGCTGTAATCACTCCAGCAATCTTTTATTTTTCTCTTAAACAGACAGGGTCTTTCTCTGTCACCCAGGCTAGAGTGCAGTGGCACAAGCATAGCTCACTGTGGCCTCGAATTCCCAGGCTCAAGAGATCCTCCTGCCTCAGCCTCGAGTAGCTGGGACTACAGGCCCACACCATGCTCAGCTAATTTTTCTACTTTTGGTTGAGATGAGGTCTCACTATGTTGCCTAGGCTGGTCTCAAACTCCTTGCTTCCAGCGATTCTGCCTCCCGGGCCTCCCAAAGTGTTGAGATTACAGGCGTGAGCCACCATGCAGGTCAAGTCATTCTTAAACAAAAGCCTTATGATTCTAAAGTTGGAGCAATGGGGATGCCAGGGTATCTAATGCTAGGTGGCTTTTGTGGCTTTTGGTTACAAAGTGCAGCCTGATCCATGCTTAATTCTATTTCTGCCCAGAACCTGGCATGTAATTCTTGTTAACCCCTCGAGGACAGTTCAAAGCCACAGCCTCCAGCCAGACAGAAACCCAGGGACCTTGCACTCCAAAACGGAGCAGAGTTTCCAAGTGCAGCCCCACCTAGGTCACCTGCAAGCTGGATTCTGCAAGCAGCTCTCAAGGCCACGGGGAAAGCCGACCCAGGTGGTCACGGAGTCGTGCTGTGTTCCAGGAAGCCAGTGACTCTTCTGTGCATTGGCCCCTCCATGCCCTGAGACAAGACATGACCCAGGAAGGGGAAGGAACTGGGCAGACGTGGGGAATCTGGGGCCCAAAGAGACTCAGACTCCACGTTCTCAGCTTCCGCTCAGCCCGCAGCCAGGCCCAGGCTCTGGCGCTCCACCAGCAGCACCGCAAGGAGCCTGACAGCGCCCCCCGCAGGCCTTTCACTAGGCAGTAAAATGGACAGAGCAGCCACGGCGCCCCTGGCTGGAAACAGAGAAAAAGGCAGCATTTGGAATGCTATGGACCTGGTTTAAACTCCTGCCCAGCCACCTTCCAGCTCTGTGACCCCAGGTGAGTCATGCTTTGGGCCTCCATCTCCTTGTGACTCAATGGGAACAGTGACCGGGATGCTGTCTCCTTCCGCCATCAGAATGTGCCGTTTAGGAGTAACTGACATGAGCTCAGGGAATTCCCAGGCCCCTAAATCCTGAGGAGCACATAGCAGCCTTGGTGTCCCCAGAGCAGCTGAGAGGAGGTAGAGCTGAGCCAGCGCTGGCTCTGGAGCCAGGCCTCCAGCTGGACCCCAGCTTTGCTGAAGACTCGCTGTGTGGCCTTGGGTGGGTCACTAAACCTCTGTGTGCCTCAATTTCCTCATAGGTAAGCATTTGCTCTGAAGGCAGGGAACCCTAAGGGGGTGGGTGTGTGTCTCTAGAAGGCAGGCCCCCGCTGGTCTCTTGTGGCAGGGGAGGGACAAACCAGTTTTGGAAATGCCTCCGTACATAAAAGCCTCCCGAGGTGTAGCCCTCCCCAGGCAGGCTCTGTGAGGGGAGATTGAGATGCTACGCACGTCCTTCCCCAGAGTCTCAATCAGTCTTCCTCGAGTGCCCTTCAGAGGCTGGAAGCAAGGTCGCCGAGACACGGGGAGCTCAGGAATCAGCTCCAGTGTGGCACCCAGGGACGGTGCTGGGGAAGGCAGGCATGGGTAGGCTGCAGCCTCTGCTAATTGGGGATCACCATCCTCAGGTACTACCCCGACAACAGGCTCTGTCTCTGGCCTCAGCCACCAATAATAGTGCCGGACACCCATGTAGGTCAGAGGGTCCCCAGACTACCTCCCACGACCCTCCACAGAGGCCACTTCTACCTGACTGGCCCCAGTCCAGGGCTTAGGTTCAAACTGCCACAGACAGCTGGGGTCTCTAGGGTCCGTGAGAACCACCAAAAAGAGTGTGTGCCTCAGGGGGCAGAACCCTGCCAGGCAGTAATATGATTTATTCCCACTGAAAGTCAGAGGTGTACAGCTGGGCCAATGCACACAAATGCAAGGAAAGGGCTGAAAGCCACCCACTGAAATGTTATATGGTTTAGGCGAGTCTTTTTATCTGCAAATAATAATCTGTAATAAAGAGGAGGGAGGGGCGGGGCCCGTTGGCTCACACCTCTAATCCCAGCACTTTGGGAGGCCGAGGCAGGAGGATTGCCTGAGCCCAGGAGATGGAGGTTGCAGTGAGCTATGACTACTCCACTGCACTGCAGCTTGCACAACAGAGCAAGACTTTGTCTCAAAAAAAAAAAAAAATTAAAAAGAGAGAAGGGGAAAAAATTAAAAACCTGAGTGTCTTTTTTTTTTTTTTTTTTTTTTTTTTGAGATAGAGTCTCCCTCTGTTGCCCAGGCTGGAGTGGTTCAATCTCAGCTCATTGCAACCTCTGCCTCCCAGGTTCAAGTGATTCTCCTGTCTCAGCCTCCCAAGTAGCTGGGATTACAGGTGCCCACGCCACCACGCCCAGCTAATTTTTGTATTTTTAGTAGAGACGGGGTTTCATCATACTGGCCAGGCTGGTTTCGAACTCCTGACGTCAGGTGATCCACCCGCCTCCGCCTCCCAAAGTGCTGGGATTACAGGCGTGAACCACTGTGCCCAACCAAAACCTGAGTGTCTTTAAAAAAAAAATCTACCTGTTGCCAAAATGCCTGCCGCCTACGTCAGGTCTGTGGATCTCTGGGACGTTTCATTGAAATACTTAACTTTCCAACCCACCCCTTGGTACCTGACTGACCCAGGGAAAGCTTCTGCCACCCTTCAGAGGCCCCTGGGGGCTCTGAGTCAGGCTCTGACCAGCACCACGGAGCTCTCTCTGCCCACCCCAGGAGGCCGCATAACCCGGCCTGCTCTCAATGCCTGCCCCCACTCAGCACCTCCAAGCCCTGAGGCAATTAATTAACAAGGCTTTTAAAAGATGTTTTCAAATGATACAAACAGGGAAGGGCGGAAAAGGGAGTCCTTGAGCTACAGAAATTCTTCACTGAAGAGCCTTTCACGTAAGTGCTTTTCCCTAAGGAGCCCAGCAAGGTAAGGCCACGGTGTTCTGAGCAGACACCAAGGACACGGTTTCATTATGTTGAAAATTAGTTAGAAGATGCCTCAGCGGGGCTCTAGACCTCTTCCTTGAAGAAAAACCCATTTGGATAAATCTGAAAAATCCTCCTGCACATAAGAATTTTTTGGTGCCTGCTCTGAGCCAAGCCCTACGCTGCCTGCTAGGGACAGAGAGCCCCCCACTGCCTGCAGGTTCTCATGGTGGTAGGGGTGACACCACGGTTCCTGGGACAAGAGGGGACACAGGTGCTGCGGGGCAGCGAGGAGGAAGGGGCGCTTGGCAGGGCCTCACAGAGGAGGGCTTCACAGAGATTGGAGGAGGAGGCTTTGGAGGGGTGAGGGAGAAGGAGGGGGATTGATGGGGCAGCCAGAGTCATTTCAGGGGAGCACCTCAGCTTTTCCCAAGGGCTGGTCTCAGAGATGAGCCACAGTGATCAAACCACAGTCACCAAAATCCTCCGTGCACACAACACAAGGCCCATCTCGGAGCTGACTCCACCTAAGGAGGAACCAGCTACTGCATGTGCAGTGAAAAGGAGTCCTTCGCCTGCAGCCGGGCACCAGGCTTGTAGAATTCAGCAAATAATAGTTATTAATAAATGGCCAACAATCATGGCTCTTCTGCCCAGGCCCAAGGAGCCAGCTAGAACTGTCAGCAACCTTCCTCTCCTGGTCTCAGCTCCTCTGCAGAGGTCTCACGCTGGAGAGGGACACTGGGACAAGGATGTGGCTCAGAAGTGGGCAGGCCTGGTTAGGCCACTAACCAATTAGAGTTCTGAATCTCCAAGACCCACAAAACCAGGGGCTGATTTGGTCAAATCTGTGATATTTTTCCTCCTTCAGAATAGAAACCAGTCCCCAGAAATATCCATAAAAGCCTCAGACACATCTGACCCAGCAATTTCACATGCAGGAATCCAACCTATGGAAACAATCAAACACACAGATTTACACACAAGGATGATCACTGCATCGTCAGTGACAGCCTTAGATATTTGTAGAATATCAGTGATAGCCTTAGATATTTGTAGAATATCAGGCTGGGCGCAGTGGCTCACGCCTGTAATCCCAGCACTTTGGGAGGCCCAGGCAGGCGGATCACTCGAAGTCAGGAGTTCAAGCCTGGGCAATGTGGCAAAACCCCGTCTCTACTAAAAATACAAAAATTAGCCAGGCATGGTGGCAGGCACCTGTAATCCCAGCTACTCGGGAGGCTGAGGCAGGAGAATCACTTAAACCCAGGAGGCGGAGGTTGCAGTGAGCCGAGATCATGCCACTGCACTCCGGCCTTGGCAAAAAAGTAAGACTCCATCTCAAAAAAAAAACATCTAATAATATGAGAAAATGGTCACAACATATTAAATAAAAAGGAGGCCATAAAACAGCAGGATCTCGGCCAGGTGCAGTGGCTCACACCTGTAATCCCAGCACTTTGGGAGGCTGAGGCTGGAAGATCACTTGAGCCTAGGAATTCAAAACCAGCCTGGGAAACACAGCGAGACCTTGTCTCTGTTTTTTTAAAAAATCTTTTTTAAAAAATAAAAATAAAATAGAACGGCAGGAGCTCAATTTTACAAAAAAAAAAAAAGGAAAAAAGAAAACCATACATATTTACACACATACAGGGTAATCTCAAAAGGAAATACACCAAAATATTAACAGTGTTTTTCTCTGGGCAGTAGGATAACTTTTTTTTTTTTTGCTTCAAAGTTTTCTGCATATTTCACATATTCTACAACAAACATTTTATAGTCAGGAGAAAAATACATGCTGTTAAAAAAAAAAAAAAAAACATTCAACCCTCCATCACATGAGGCCAATGATGGGCAGTGGAGGAAAATGCTGGAAATTGGGAAGATGAAGGTTTCATCTGATCTCGTCCCAAAGCCAGTGGCTGCACTCTTGGCAGATGTAAATGACACAAGTCAGAAGAAAAGCAGGCCATGGGCGCCCAAATGGAGACAGAAGAGCCGCCTCACATTCAAAGGCGGCAGGAAAAACAGCCGTCTTGAGAGCCCCCTGCCATTATCCGCCCCAACCCAAGACTGACACAAAGCCCCACTCTTTTTTTCTTTTCTTAAATTATTATTATTATTATTATTATTATTATTATTATTATTATTATTATGGCAGAGATGAAGTTTCACCATGTTGCCCAGGCTGGTCTCAAACTCCTGGACTAAAGCGATCCTCTCGCCTCGGCCTCCCAAAGTGCTGCGATTACAGCTGTGAGCCACTGTGCCCGGCCCAAAAGGCCCACTCTTGTCCAGCTCTATCCTTTCCCCATCCCCTTCCTCAGAATGGGGAGACACACTTTCTGGATATGTCTAGGACCTGAGAACTCACTCAATTCTACCCGTGCTTCTTAAGCCTGCTTCATGCCAGGCCCTATGTGAGGCACTGCAGGTAAGAATCAAATCAAAGAGCCAGGTGTGGTGGCTCACGTCTGTAATCCCAGCACTTGGGGAGGCCAAGGCAGGTGGCTCACTTGAGGTCAGGAGTTCAAGACCAGCCTGGCCAACATGGTGAAACCCCATCTCTACTAAAAATACAAAAATTAGCTGGGTGTGGGAGCATGCACCTGTGTAATCCCAGCTACTTGGGAGGCTGAGGCAGGAGAATCACTTGAACCCAGGAGGCGGAGGTTGCAGTGAGCCAAGATGGCACGACTGCACTCCAGCCTGGGCCACAGGCCAAGACTCTGTCCCAAAAAAATAAACAAATAAATAAAAACTTTAAGAATTAGGTCAGGTCAAAGACCAGCTCGCACACCTCTAAGAATTAGGGCTCACTACAACCCACACCCCTGGGCCATGCTATCAGTCCTGGAAAGAACATCCTCCATTTGACCAGCCATGGCGTCTCAAAAGCCTGTAGTCTCAGCACTTTGGATCGCTTGAGCCCAGGAGTTTGAGACCAGCCTGGGCAACACAGTGAGATCCCATCTCTACAAAAAATAAACAGAACTAGCCAGGCATGGTGATGCACATCTGTAGTCCCAGCTACTCGAGAGGCTGAGGTGGGAGGATCACTAAAAGCTGTAAGTCAAGACTGCAGTGAGCCATGACTGCATCACTGCACTCCAGCCTGGGTGACAGAGTGAGACCTTGTCTCTTAAAAAAAAAAAAAAAAAAGGCCAGGTGCGGTGGCTCACATCTGTAATCCCAGCACTTTGGGAGGCCGAGGCAGGTGGATCACGAGGTCCGTCTGGGAGACATCTACGGTGGAAGGTAGAGATTCAGACCATCCTGGCCAACATGGTGAAATCCCATCTCTACTAAAAATACAAAAATTAGCTGGGCGTGATGGCGCATGCCTGTAACTACTCGGGAGGCTGAGGTGGGAAAATCACTTGAACCCGGGAGGTGGAGGTTGCAGCGCCACCGCGCTCCAGCCTGGCGACAGAGCGAGACTCTGTCTCAAAAAAAAAAAAAAAAACTCCATCCCAGCCCAGCTTACTCCCCATTGGCCTTTCCTCTGCGCTCCTAAGTCCTACCTGTGTTCTTCTGTCCAAGGGTGGGGTTCACAGGCAACAAATCCTATCCCTTCAACCCCTCCATCTCCAAAGGAAAAAGCCCTTTCACAGTCTCAGGCACAGACAGCACTCCTGGCCTTCCCTAGCAGGCAGGTGAGGTGGTATATATAGCCCAGGCATAATTGGATGCTAATTCCTTTCTGCAGAAGAGCCATCGGCATTTCTATTCTCTCCTTTCTGAACTCTGGAGCAGAGCTCGCTGCAGTCGGGAGGCTGTGACTGACATGGACGAGGGCCTGCCACACAAGCACACATCATGCACGCCCTGCTCACCCCGGCCCAGCCCCTGCCCAGGTGATTCCTATGGAAGTCTCAGAAACAGACATCAACCCACAGCTCCCCACTTCCCCAGGCCTGGCAACAAGCCAGTCAACGCCTGCCCTCACGTCCAGGTGAGCCAATCTCTCCCTGCCAGGCGCTGTAGTCCACATCAGCAACCACCCCATTTGGGCCTGCCCAGTCATCATGATACTTAGCGCAGGAGGAGGTGCTGGTTCCTGATTCTGGACAATTTGATGACAAATGCCGCTTCCACACATGAACGTCTGGGCAAAGCCCCAGCTCTCAGACACATCATAGAGCCCCAAGTCCCACCCATCCCCACCCTCACAGAGTCACACCCTCCCTCCCTCTCCAACCTCTATTCTCACCCAGCCAATCCATCATGAGACCCCACCTCCCTGTCCTCCAGCGAGACTTCAGGCCACGGAGGGCCAGGTCCTGCTGCACATCGTGGGAAGGAATCTATTCCCTAGCAGGTGGGGGAGGTGGAGCCCACACTTCCCACCCTGGGGGGCAGGGGGAGTGGGTGCCACAGGGGCCACAGGAGTCAGGCAGCCTGGACTCCAGCCTCCCTCCACCACCAGGCCAACCATCAGCAACACCCCCTCCCAGCCTCCAGCCTCCACCAGTACCAGGCCAACCATCAGTGAGACCCCCTCCCAGACTGCAGCCTCCCTCCATCATCTGGCCAACTGTCAGTGAGACCCCCTCCCCTCGCTGAGTAAGAGCAGTCAGGGAGATGCCATTAGAAGGTGGGAGACGCCAGGAGCCAGCCCACTCCAAGCCGCACTGCCCACATTCCCATCAGGATGCACCTTGCTGGGAACCCGGCCTCAAGGAGGCTGTGAGTAGCAAGCAGCTCCCCAGCCAGGGTTTCTAGAACAACAACATAGGCATTTTATTTCTTTTCATTAAGCTTCTTAGTTTCTTAGTATCACAATGGAATGATGAGAAAACAACAAAAACGTGAGTCTTTGCAAATCTCTGACAAAGAGCAGAGATCTCAAGGCAATTGGGGCGGGGGAGGCTTGACAGAAGTGCCAGAGCAGTTCCAACGTCACATCTCTCCTTGGCTGGAATGGTGAGAAGGTGGCACTGTCGTGAGCTGTCCTTGGCAATTCTGCCCCATGAGCCACGTGCGCCTGGTCTGCATGGGCCACCCCGCGGGATTTCCTGGTGCCTCCTAGTACCTGGCCACACACCCCTCCGCCTGCTCCAACGCCCTGGGAGCACCGTCCAGTGCTCAGGTGGACCCAGAAGCCAGCTCTGCTGGGCAGCGGCAAGATGTGGAGGAGCGGCAGAGGCAGGCAGCGTTGCTTGCGGTGGGAGAAGCCAAGGAGTGTGACCAAGGCCCATCTGGGAGACATCTGTGGTGGAAGGTAGGGCTGGCGCAGGTGGCAGCAGCAGAAGTCCGTGTCCCCAGGCAGTAGCAGGCCTAGAGCTTCACAGTGCCAGGGGGCAGGCTGTCGTTGCAGAGTCTGTAGTAGCGCAGGTCGTTGACCAGCCTGTGCACATTCTGGGTGAATGAGGGCAGGTCCTGGAAGGCAGGGGCATAGCTGCAGCCAACAACACACCAGGTCACCCACCCACCAGACCCCAACAGCTACTTCCATCCCAGAGTGTGCACTGAAGATAGGGGAGCACTTTCTAAAACTCAAAACTTCTATTCACTGTTGCACTGCGTGTCACAGAGACTCTGTGCCAGGCGCTGTGGGAGAAAAAGAACAAGAGGAATACGTCCCTAGGGCCTCTCGGGTGCCAGACACTGCTGCAATCAACATACAGACATCAACTCACTGAGTCCTCACCACAAGGCTGCCACCAAGCCCTACCAGAACCACTAGTCTAAGGACAGAAAGACCAAAGCGCTGCACCATGAAGAAGCTGGCCCCAGCTCACACTGAAGAGACCAGCACACTTGCTCCTGAGTCCGGCCCCTCAAACGCAGACATGGCTGTGGTGACAGCCCTCTTCTTCACCATGGCCCCTTGAGGTGACGCGCACACCGAGCAATGTCTGCAGAACCTTTACCCACGGGGCTCCAGGCCGCCCCTGCCCCTCGAGAGCCACCCGAGCAGCAGCAAACACAGTCCCAAGGCCTGTCCCACTGGGCGCAGCGTGGGCCATGGAAGGCCCTGGGCCAGAAGTGAGGCCCTGACCTCCGCCATCATGCACACGGTGAGACCCTGCTTTTTTTTTCAGTGTAGGTCCCGGTGAGGACTCAAACAGGCCCAGCAAGCCCCAGCAGAGCCATGAGCAGGACCAAGTTCATTTTCCTGCCCAACCACTATTCCTCTTCCAGAACTCCATTCAAAGCCTGCCTCTTCCCAAAGTCTGCACAGATGCCTCCTATTTCCTGGCCCCAGCAGCCAGCTCAGCGCCTCTGTCCTGAGCAATCTGCTTCTGGGGAGTGTGTGCAGGCTCTGGGGCCAGAACACCCAGGTCTGCCTCCTGCTTCGCAGCTCTACCACTTCCAAGTTCTGTGAACTGCTCACCTTCTGAGCCCCCACCATCTGTGAAATGGGGGAGTAACAGGACCCACACTTCAGAGGCTTGTTAGAAGGCTTACTCGAGCCAAGACATGTCACATGCTTGGCACTATGTGGTCCACAGAGGGTGCTGTATTGGCCTGTCTACCATGAAAGACTTGGTGAAGGCTGGGACTGGTGCCCCAGTTCCTGGCCCGGGGCTTGAGAAGCAGCTGGCTTCAAACACACAGTGCGTGACTGAATGGAAGGTGGTGATTCTTTTATTTTACCCTCAAAAAACCAACTAAGGGATGTCTTTTAAATCAGTGGCTCCCAAATGCCAAACCAGAATTTCCTGGGTAGAACACAGAAGTCTGTTTCTCCATTTTTAATAAGTACCCCAGGTGCTTCTGATATAACTAGATTTTTTTTTTTGAGACAAAGTCCCACTCTGCCGCCCAGGCTGGAGTGCAGTGGCACAACCTCCGCTCACTGCAACCTCTGCCTCCCGGGTTCAAGAGATTCTTGTGCCTCAGCCTCCCAAGCAGCTGGGATTACAGGCGTGTGCCACCACACCTGACTAATTTTTTTTATTTTTAGTAGAGACAGGGTTTCGCCATGTTGGCCAGGCTGGTCTCAAACCCCCTAACCTCAAGTGATCCGCCCGCCTTGGCCTCCCAAAGTGCTGAGATTACAGGTGTGAGACACCGCGCCTGGCCTATAACTAGATTTTGAAACCACAGCTTTAAATCAAAAAGTTGACTGATATTGATGTCGTTAGAAGCTGATCATTAAGTATTAGGATCTGGCCTCTAGAAAAAGGAAAAAACATATCCAGGGGCTGAAGTGAACTGGAAGAGGCTTAGGAGAGAACAAGTCCCAAGAAAAGGAAGACCCCAAGACAAAGGAGAACAGGATGAGTCTAAGCAAAAGCTTCCCTGCCACACGTGGCAAATGAGGAAAGCAGGCGGCCAGGTTTGCACCAGTGAGAGCAGTGTGTGCATCTGAGCACTACGGTGGAGCCGTGGACAAGCTGCTTCACAGAGGACTCAGGTCAAGAACCCCAAGAGGACCAGGGAGAAAGCGATTTCTTTTCCTAATTTCATCAAGTATAAAACGGTACAAGGAAAAGTTCCCAGAAGTTCCTATCAGGCAAGAGAGAGGCCTGGTCACCTGACACAGGAAGAAGAGAACAGGTGAGCCCCATGGGGAAGGAGGTCCCAGGCACTGTCAGGCTCCAACAAGATGGCCTCATGGACACCAAGAGCCAGCAGCACCCAGCTCCCACCGAGGTGCTGCACGGGTGGGGACAGCCCACCTGACAGTCCCTGCACAGGTGGCAGCAGTGGGACAAGAGGGTGAGTACTAGGAGGGCTCCTCCCAGGACCTGGCAGCAACTCAGCCCAAGCTGAGCTGGGGCTGGTCTGGAAAGAGCCCAAGACAGCCGGGGAACCTGGGTCCCACCTCTAACCCTGGGGACCCAGAAGTGCAGCTCCCAAGCACCAACCATCTCAGCCTGAATGCAAGCCTGGGCACACTCCAATGCTGGCCCCACCGGGGCTCATCACCCAGGAGGGAGAACGGCAGGGTCCTGGGTATGAACAAAGATGCCAAGACAAATGGAGGGGCTGCAGAGCCAGGAACTCGGGACCTCCATGGCTGAGACTAAGAACATACGTGCTACAGACACCAAGACTGGGGAAAAGGCTGTGCCCCTCAATCAGGCTACAGCACCAGGTCAGCAGGCATCTCGTGAGCTGCCGCCAAGCTGCAGGGTGGGCACAGACCACGCCCAGAGGCCTCAATGTGCCCCCTCCTTGCTGCACAGGTGCCAGGCTTGCGTGCCCACTCTGCCCTCCTCTTAGCCCGGCCTCTTTCTCTCCTCACCCGATCCATCTTGAAATTCCGCCCCAGCACACTTTTCTGGTTGGCATCCACACCATCACAGCTGGTCAGGAACTCTGGGAGGAAGGCGGCAAAGAAGCCATCAAAGTCGACTGAGGCCATGTTGTAGATGGCGATGCCAATCTCCTCCTGCAGAAGATCATGGGACTTGTGGACCAGGACCTGGAGCAGCACGTTCACAAACTGGAACAGCATGGCAGTCCGGAAGATCTTCTGCAGGCAGAGAGACCAGGTGAGCAGCAGCCAGCCCCCAGGGGCCTGTCCCGGGTCCCATCCACTTTCTGTCACACTCTCCAGTGAGTAACCTGAGGGTGGGACACAGGCCACAATGCCCCTGATGGAAGAATATTTCCAAGAGCTGGGGCACTTACCTTGTGGTACAGCTTCTGCTTGGTGTTGAGAGTCTCCAAGTAGAAGAGATTTTGTTTAAAAAGGTGGATGTCGGGCTGGAGAAAGGACTGTCCGAAAGCCTAGGAAATGAGACCACCATTTTATAAACTGCAAGACCAAGCACTTCTGGAGCATCTACCCCATGTCAGAAGAACAAGTGCCAGGGCCAGGGTACCCATTGTCTTGATGCTTCTGGCCCACCAGCTCAGACCTCTACGACGCTCCTCCTAAGTCTCAGAGTTCATGTTTTCCCCACCGGGCCTTGCTTCTTATTATGGTCTCATATATACCTTTTTTAACAAACCTCTAGAAACCCATCACAGGACCTGGCTTTGAAGCAAGAAGCTCACACCTCTAGTCAAATCCCTCAGCAATCCTGGCAGACAGACACCAAAGCCTGCCTGCCTGCTCCTGCTCAAGCCAAGCAATCCCCTCCCTTGCCCTCCTTCTTGCATCCCCCGTCTCAAAAGCCACAAGCCCTACAGGCTCCTTCATGGAGCCTCCACCTGGAGGTTAAGCCTCTGCCTGGGGGCTAAGCAAAGTATTTTTAAACTGCTTTGGAATTCCTGGGTGTAAAAGTTACTAGTTCAGTCCAGGCACAGAAGCTCAGTCCTGTAATCCCAGCACTTTGGGAAGCCGAGGTGGGCGGATCACTGAAGGGTGGGAGTTCAAGACCAGCCTGGCCAACACGGTAAAACCCCATCTCTACTAAAAATACAAAAATTAGCCAGGCGTGGTGGCGGACGCCTGTAATCACAGCTACTCGGGAGGCTGAGGCAGGAGAATCACTTCAATCCAGGAGGCAGAGATTGCAGTAAGCTGAGATCCTACCACTCACTGCACTCCAGCCTAGGCAACAGAGCAAGACTTATCTCAAAAAAAGAAAAAAGAAAAAAATTACTAGTTCAGGGGCAAAAAGAAACACCCCGCACACCAACACAAAGTGCCCTGCTCCAACAGAAAGAATAGAAAGTGACCATGGGGGCAGTCGGGGAGGCCGGTGGTCTGCAGGACCCCCCTACAAAACAAGTGGTGACTGCTTTGTCATTCTGTCCCTGGGCCCCTAAGCTACCAGAGGAGGATCTTGTAATCCCTGCAGCAGGGATGAGATCTCCATGATGACCAATAGTTTCCACTTATTTACTGTTTAAAGTTAGGTTCATGGAAGTATAACAGAGTAAACTTTTGAGGTTTATCTTTCTATGAATTCTGACCTACCTGTGGATTTGTACCACCACCATCACAACCAAGACAGGACACTTCCATCACCTGGAACGTCCCCTCACACCCTCACCCCTAAGGCAACCACTGCTCATTATCTGTCCCTGTGGTTCTACCTTTTCCAGAATGTCATAGAATGGCATGGGATCCTACCATGCATAGCCTTTGGCATCTAGCTTCTTTCACCTGACAGAATGCATGTGAAACTCATCTATGCTGCTGATTGTACCAAGAATCCATGCTTGCTTATTGCCGAGTGCCAGTCCCTTAGAGGCATGCACGAGCCTGTTCATCCATTCAGCTGCTGGATACTCAAAGTGTTTCCAGCTTTGGCAATTATGAAACAGCTTCTATAAACATCAGTGTACAGGTTGTGTGAACATATGCTTTCATTTATCTTGGGTAAAATACTTAGAAGTGAGACTGCTAGGTCATACAGTAACTACACACTTAACTTTAAAAGAAACTGCCAAACTGTGAAACTATTCTCCAAAGTGCCTTTCACCAGCCCTCAGTGGGGACCAGGCACCAGCGTGCCAAAGAAGTCTTCCAGGCAAGGACAGGGTTCAAGAGAAAGGCAGGGGAGGCGCAAACACTTGAGTACTGCAGACCTGAGGCCTCGGTGGGTGCCAGGGATGGGAAGGCCAGGGCAAGGGCACGTGCCTGAAAAGAACTGCCACACAAGAGTCAGTATGTGTGTGTGTGCGCGCGCATGCGCACGTGCATGCCTGTGTGCATGCTGTGTGCTAGTAGGGAGCTGGAGGGAGGGTGGAAATCCCTCTTGCTTCCCCATGAGGAAAAGCATGCACTGAAAATACCAAAAGAGACTCCCCTAGCTAGACTCAGATGAGAACGTCAGACACTTGAGTGCAGACCCTGGGAGCGTGCCTGACACAGCCACAGAGCAGGCTGGCTGTCTGGGCGAGGTGATGCCGTCCCAGTCTTCCACAGCAAGGGGTATTTAGCCCCCAGACAGTGCACTCTCTCCAATGGACAGCTGCATCTGCCCTGAAAGCGAATGCTCCCTCCCAGGGCAGTGTTTCTCCCAGTATGGTCAGAGTCAGAATCACAGTGCAGGTCTGGGGCCCTCCTGCGGAGACTCATATTCAGGCAGCTCCCCGCTAAGAAGGCCCTCGGTGACTCTGGCATAGGCAGGCTCTTTACACTTGGGGAAACAGCACTATGAGGTCAGCGGAACTGACGTTTATCAAGCATCTCCAAGTGTCATGCACTTTGTGTATGTCATCTCATTTAACCTCACAACAAACCTGTGACCCAGGCAACATTAGCTCCACTTTGCAGATGAAGAAACTGAGGCTCCAAGAAATTAATTAACTTCATCAATACTAACAGGCAGAACTGAGCTTCAGACCCGAGACTGTGGGGCTTCGAAGACAGGACTCGCTGCAGTGGTCAGGTTAGAGGAAGTCACCTGGCAGCAACCCCGCCCCCACGTTACCTGCATGATGGCACTGAACTGGGGCTCATTCTCCATCTGCTCCTCAGCGATCCCCCTCTGGACACTGGCCAGCACGGTGGACTTGAAGAAGTACCTCCAGTTGTGATGGAGCGTCCGGAAAAGGAGCTCAAACAGCTCGGCCTTCACATCAGGGGAGGGACGCTGCAAAGACACACAGACGCTCAGACCTGCAGCTTGCGGAGCTGCTCCGGCCTGGGCCCAGGGCAGCAAAGATGCCTAGGAGACGCCTCGTGACAGCAAGCCGAGTGTCAACACTCCATCCACATGCCTGTCACTACCTGCGCAAAAGACATCCAGCCCCTGGAGTCCTGTCACTGCCTGTGCAAAAGACATCTAGCCCCTGGAGTTGGCGGTTCACACCGCGAGTTCTTCAGGAGAGACATGGCCCACATTTGAGAGAGAATGCACGGGTCAGTGCCAAGGGCCCCTTTTTCTGATGAGCACTCAGCTTTTACACTAGAAAAAAGCTACCAAGTGGATGAACAATTAGGAGTATGGATTTCCTGTTCTATTCGACCTGTCAGATCTTCTTGCTTGTTCCTTTTCCCAGGATAAAAAATGCTGTCCCACTAACCTGTTGGTCTTACACAACCACGGAGGCTAAAGACAGACCCAACGCCTTAAAGCGATTCTGCTCCCCAGAAGGGGAGGGTTTAAAGAACACTTGGGAGCCAGGCTCTCTGGGCCAGTCTCCTCTTTCCCAGTAGCCAGGATTCTGAGAGGAGTTAGAGGAGAAGGGTCAGGCTCAGCAGTGTTTTCTCATTGACTCCAACTCCCCCAATCCCTTATTCCAAATGTCTCTGCAGAATTCAAAATTAGAAGGCCCACATATATTCAGTTCAGCCTTGATTAAAATTAAATAGACACCAGGGGCCACAAGCATCCACAGAAGAAGCCTCATAGGCCCAGTGCATTTCGTAATGCACAGCAACCAGACCTGTCCCAGTCTCAGTTCAGACAGTTAAAGATTAACTCTTATTTATACGACTATTACCAAAAAAACTGAAATTAAATCTATACTTATTCCGGGTCTTATTATGCTGAGTGCCTGCCTATTTTCTAAGAAGGACAAAGGGCTTTCCTGTAACACTGAAAGGTTTGTTTGAATGGTTTCAAGAACTTGCCTTGTATCCTCGAGACCATGAATGTTTCTAATAGGAAAGTACATATGTTAGAATGTTTGCTATAGAAAACCAGAGTCTCTTAAAGGTATAAAATTTGCCGCAGGAGACTGATCTTAGCAACTGACCCTGTGGAATAACTGCCATGCTTACACTAGACTAGCTCCAATGAACTCAATCAATATAAAAACACTGTACCACACCACTAAAGGCCTTCTTCCTTGGGAGAAACTACTTTACAAGCATATTAAACTAACAAATGAACTTTAAAACACAATACATTTTCTGTGAAATCTCATTCCCTTCCCAATCTGGAGATGGGGGGTGCTGCACAGGGGACCGTCTGAGCCCCTACCTCGGCAATGATGGGATACACTTGCTCCATGCACAGGGCGATGATGCTGGGGAGGAAGGGCTTGAACACCTGGCCTGGCTCCTGGACCACCACCTGCAGGATCTTCAGAAACTTCTCCACCACCCGGCAGCCTGTGCTGCCCTCGTGGAGGATGCTCTCGGCTAACTGCTCTCTACAGAGGAGAAAGCCACACAGTGAGCAACCACATGTTTCTCTGGGGGCCAGCATGAAAACCCATGCTGTGGCAAGTGCAGAACAGGAGCAAAAAGCCACACTTTGTCGCCAGACCCACCACTTCTCCCTTGAATCTGAAAACTATAGATGGTGGGTCTGTGCTTACCTGGTAAACATGTTGAGGAAAGTCTGTATGATTTGCTCAGTGAAAGGCACACCCATCTGTACTCTAAGGCCTCGAAACAGAGTGAGGAAGAAGCTCAGCATCTCATCAGTCACATCTGAGGAAAGGGGCAGAGATATCGTCAGAGGCTTGCACACAGTGAGAACCAGAACCCTGGGCTTCATCAACCTACTCCTGAAATCTGCACTATCAGCTTTCTCTACAGCTTCCTGCTGGAAACATTTCCCCAACACCATCAGGGCCAATGATGGAAAGTGGAAAACGATTAGGGACATGCTGAGAAAATAGTTCTGGTATAGGGAACCTCCACCTGGTGGCTCACTACAGGAAATGAAGGTCATCTCGAACCCTCCCTCATTGCCCGACATCCAGTGATGGTCAGAGTTTCACTGGAGAGGGATCACTTTGTGCCCACACTGATGAATGCCAACTGGGTCAACACCTGAGTGCTTAAGCCATTTCCCCCTATGACTAATAATCCCTGCAGCTGGGTCAGGGGTTAAGTGGTTGAAAGTGGATAATGAAGGTGTATTTAGGTTGCATGGCCCTGGTCCATTAAATGGATTAATTGCAGAAAATACTGGTTACATATAGGGCAGTTTCACTTCCAGATCTCAACAATCATCTTGTGTAGTGTGTTTCAGCCCTAACTGCACGCAATCTGCTTGCAAGAGGCAATGAATATTTGCTGACTGAGAAGTGCCTGATATTTCTCTTGTAAAACTGACAAGACTACTATAATGCTGTCATGAGAGCTAGGCAAGTACATCCACAGAGCTAGAGAGGCCCTCTATCACTGACAGTGACAGACAAGGGTGAGGGGAACGATCTCGGCAAATGCACCTTGCCACAAAATAAGGAGAACTAAGCCAAAAAAGCTCTCTTGCCTTCTCTTGTAGGTGCCAAGGCCCATATGGAGAGCTCTGCTCACTTTTCCAAAGGGCCTTGGCCCTAGACTCCACAAATAAACATCACTGCCCTTTCCCCTCAGTACCGGGTTTCGTTGCACGGAACAAGTCAAGGCCTGTACTGCACCGACTCAGTGTGTTCTACAGATCTAAGTGGGTATTCTGGCCCTTGTTAGCACCACCCACCAGTGGGGCCTCTGGGCCAGCTCCTACCTGACTGATGGATAAAAGCTGGAAAGAGGGCCAGGGAGACCTGAACAGATTCCTGCAGCGACTGGTAGCAAATCTGTCGAGACTTGGTGGACTCCCCCGAGATATTCTCCACAATATCTTCTAAGACGCTGAGTGTCTGGTGGATAATCAGTTTGGCTGCAAATCAAGATGAGTTGCAGGTTATAAGCTGTCTGGGGAGAAAGCATGGTAAGAGGAGACACAAGGGAGAGGGAGGAAACTTGCAAAGGTACCAAGAAGATGATCACACGAGTCTCACTAAAGGAACAGTCTCTTGATTACAATATAAATTCTCCTCTCTTTATGTTTTAGTTTTTGTTTTTACTATTATTACTGCCAGGACTCCAGAAGCCTGGAATGTGTGTTGGGGAGAAGATGCCTGCCTGCCTGCTTGCTCAGGTTTTTGCCTCTGTTTTGCCTCTGGCCATTGGCAACAAGTCCACAGAAGAAAAAAGATAAATAAATGTACCCCCAGGTTGGGTGCCTTGGATTTAATCAAATCTAAAAGATGGTGAATAGACTGGTGAGAAAATGAGTGTCATAAGGTCACAGGCCAGGACGGACACATGCAGCTCAAACCTTGTCACTCAGTGGGATGCTACTCCAGCCCAGTAATCCCACAAACACCTGCCATGCACATGTAATGGTGCTGGCTGCAAGAACAACCTGCCTGATCCATCTTTGGCCTATTAGCCCCGTAGCTTGATAAGGCATATAATTACTGTTATTATGTTATTGACAATACATAATGCTAACCCTGAGATGACTTTTGACTCCATATGGCACACAGGGAAAACAGATGTAGTGGGCCGCAAACAGGCAGAGGTCAGAGAGCCCTGGCTATGAACCACAGGTGACCATCTGAAGGCTATGTGCCATGGGCAGGACCCTCATCCATCTGGGAGAGCCGACAACCCCACTCTGGCAGTGCTGCAGTGGGGATTAGAGACAAGGTCCCGAACGATGCTAGCAGTGTGCCAGCCATCTAAGAAGGTCCAGGACGGAGATGCTGCCATTGTTCCCAGCGCGAGTGGAGTCACCCTCTTAAGATGCAGAGTTTCCCACCAGCCTCCCCAAAGTGACGCCCATGGCTCAGCCTGAGCCTAGCAGACTCAACCCTGGCGACCACCAGAGGCTGAGCCAGAGCTGGGCTGAGAGCTGCCTCCCACTTGGCAGCAGTCTCTGGGTCCCCCGAACCCCAGTGCTCAGCAGCCTCTGTGGGACTGCCGCAGCTTTGAGGAAGGGGTACGGCAGAAAGAAGACATGCTCAGGAGGCAGATGGAGGCAGGCCTGGCCCTGCTGCCCCTCATCTGAACACGTGGATAGAGAGCATCGCCCCACTCACAGGGCTGAGGATGAAGGAAGACGCTTCTCGCCACAGGCCTGGTCCTGGTCCCCCAGTCACAGTGACACTGGAGAGTAAAGGAAAGGCTCACCCACACTGCTGAGCAGGGAGCCGTCCACAACTACAAGCACATGGACTTCTACTCAGCTAGGAAACTGCACTCAGGGCAGCCACTTCCTCAAGAACGCACAGGCAACAGGGGAAGCAGTTTAGAGCAAAAAACCAACAGTCAAGAGACCAAAATCTGACCTCTGGCATTTAAGGAAATTCAAACGAGGACAAAAGATGTATTTAAAAAAAATACAAGTCAAAAATTGAAAGCACTATAAGTATATAATAATAGGAGAATGGGGTGGGTAACTGTTATACTTCCATGAGACAGGACATTATAAAACCATTAAAACCTTTTTTCTTTTCTTTTTTTTTTTTTTGTTTTCAAGAAGAAAGAGGCAATGCAGCAAAGTGGTGCAGAACACAGGAGCTGGAGCCATTCAGACCCAAGTCCAACTCTTGACCTCGCCCACTTTCTCTACAGTCCTGAGCAATTACACCTGCCAAGCACCTTCCCAATGGACAGACTGGCAGGCCCTACTCCCAACAGGCATCCAGACTGAGCATCACCAAGGATGGGACAAACAGAAGCAATGCAAGAGGAAATGCGAACACGAACATGCACCACTACACCACAACCTATGGAAACAATCAGGCAAAACAAGACTAGGAGACATATGACAAGAAAACAGGCCTGGACGCTTCAAAAATGCCAATGTCACGAAAGACAAAAACTGGGCATGCTCTTCTGGATCAAAGGAGACTAAAGAGATATAACAACCAAACACAATAAAACTATCCTAGATTACATCCTGGATTTTTTAAAAGCAAAAAAGAACAATTTGGTAACAACTGGGGAAAGTGTTAATATGGCTACATTTTAAATAACATTATTGTACCAATGTTTAATATCTTGTTCTATATAGATACAAAGGTTAAGTAGTCAGAGATGAAGTGTCAATTATCTGCAACTTAAACAGCTGGCTTTTAAGAAAAAGTGTGTTGCAGAAAAAAGCATAAATGTGGCAAAACATTCACAATTAGTGAATCTGGGTGAGAGAGATGCAGTTGTTCATTTTCTTATTCCTTTGGCTAGTCTGTAGGTTTGGAATTTTTTTTTTTCAAAGTATAAAGTTGAGATAAGAAAAATGAAACTTTCCAACCTTAATTTCAACACTGTGGAATGAGGATAAGACATACCTCACAGGGTTACAGGGTTACACAGGAAGTTACATGAAATAACGTATACAAAGTGCTCAACCCAGTGCCTGCACACAGTCAGCATACTGAAGACGTCATTCACATACTACACTGCAAACCCTTTCAGCACACAGTGGCATCACACCTCCCTGCCCTCTGAGTTAAGCCAAGGCCATGTAGCTGGCTCTGGCCAAGGAAATAGAGGTGGAAGTAGTGTTAGTTTCAGGCAAGACCTTTAAGAACCACTACGCAATTCACCACAATCCCTTCCAGAGTGAACACACTGAAATGGAGCCTTCCACAGCCTGGGTCCCTATGTGACCTCCCCACTCTGCTGACCCAAGCTGGACATATAGTACAAACAACATATCCTTTTTCTTCTTGTATTAAGCCACTACACTTTTGGAGTTGTTTGTTACCACTGAGCATATCCTCGCCCATGCAGACCAACATAACTCCCATGTAAGATAAAGTGCGGAAAGGAGACCATTACACGTGATAAAGCATGACTCCACAACAGCTGGATGCAAGCCCTGGGCAAGTTCCTTAATCTTCTAGACCTCAGCTTCCTCATGCTAATCATCAATCAAGATCCTAACAGTACCGAACTCATAAGGCTAATGTAAGAACTGAATGAATTACTGATTTTTGAAAAATACTTAGAACCAGGAAGAGACCAACACCAGACTTTGAAAGTTGATACTGGCATAGCCAGAGACTTGACGATGGATATAGAATCACCAAGGCAAGAGCCTAGTACACAGTATACCCTCAATATGTCAGCTACTCTCATCCAGCTATGTAACCATGAAGCATATTTTAAAATAGAAAAGGGAAGGTAAGAAGGAAGCATGGTTAAAATGGTTACTTTCTAAAATATTAAAACTGGTCAGATTTAGGAGTTACTTTTTCCTTCTTTGTATTATTCTATTTTAATGTATTTGTACAATGCACATATGTTAATCTTCCTAGTTATAAAAGTAGTGTTTTTTAAAGAGTATAGTATTTATTACTATTTCTGACATTTCACAAAGCATTTTTGCTGACATTCCATAAATGGCACCATCTAATAATGTTCTATTATTTTCTTTTTGTGAAAGGAGCTCGTATTTTTAAAATATTTCGGTACTATTTGTTATTTCAAAGAGATATTTCCTTATTCATTTTTTTCCCTCTTTCTTTAATATAAACAAGCAAACTTCAAGTGCCATTTTTTAAGAAACTAAGCTCTTTCAAAACCTCTGGAAGATCTGTATTTGGAAAAAGGTTGAAACCAATCTGGAAAAATAGTTCTTGAGCGCATTTTCCCAGCGTGTAGAGGTGAACTGCTTTGTTTGCCTACACAAGCATCTGAAATAGATCAATAACCACCTTAAGATGTATTTTATAGACAGAAGGCACCATCACCAGTGTCTTCCATTTTTTCTTAGGGCTCCAGCATTTTTTACATTTTAAATAAGAGAAGGGACAGTTTGATTCTGGAAATAGGTCTGGCTGCTGTCTTAACTGAATTCCAAAGGTAGCAGGATCCCACCCCCAAGTATGACTTCCTGCTCAGCCTCTGTGGGACTATGAACAAAAAAAATTTACCTCAGGAGCCTCCGGGGCAAATCTCATCTGCCACAAAGAACAATGCCTGCCTACCTCCTTCCCCAGCTGTCCTAGCCTAGGGGTCACTTACTGTCATCCAGTGGCATCTTTCTCTGTGGGGCAACAGCACTGGGCTTCAGGTTGCGATAGTCCCGGGAGAGTGCAGAGATGAGGCTGGCGTGGTTGATGGAGCGCACGGGCCACTGCTGCTCATTCTCTGGAAGGTTTGGCCACGGAAGCAGCAAGATGTTAGAGAGGGCTCGGCACACCAACACCTGGGCCTACAAGAGACCCCAAAGGCATCCATCAGAGGTCAGAGCCAAAGACCGTGGTGCGGCATGCCCAACACAGCCTTCAGCACCCGCTGGCTGCACACCTGGAACCCTAGCCCCCAGGCTCGTTTCTTGCAACCTGGGCAAGGCCTTTGGTCCAACTGGAAGGCAACTTAGGGAGGAAGATGAAATGAAGTAATAGCACCATGTCTAGGTCTAGCATAACCCAGAGCTAACCTCTCGTTTCCTCTCTAATCTGATACTTGAAGTATTAGAGAGGGAAAAATCACACTGCAGACACTGAATCTCAGGCATTGTTCAGCTGGTGGCTTCTGAGTCCTCTGAGAAGCTACTTAGAGCAGGACTTGCAGGAGAATCCGTGACAATCCATGCCCCTAGCACCAGGTCACATCCTGCAATCACATCCTGGTGCCCTCTGGTACCCTCTTCAAACCTTCCTGCCCTCCCTCCTGTTAGGTGGTTTTTAAACTTCTAGCTTGAGCCTCCTTTGAGGATTCTAAGAAAATGCACTTGCCTGGCACTTCTCAACCCCAAAGAACACACACAGAACAGTGACAACAAAAACCAGACTGCTTTGAATCAGAAAGAATGCAAAGAGAATTCTCACAACACTGGCCGAAATTACCAGGCTGCAAAGCAGCAAAACCTTTCTGCACACTGGGAGGTGCTTTTCCACGCCTCAATCAGCACACTGACTGCCTGCCTTAGAATGGGCACGATGAGAATCACTGAGTCTGTGTCAGTGCCACACAATAAGAAATCTGTCTATGCTGGTACAGCCTGTAAGCTCTGAGTACAAAATCAAAGGCCAGACTCTTCTTCCTCAGCTTCCTTGGGTCTCAGTCACACAGCCCTGGGGACCCCGGGGGAGCTCTGGGGCCTCACCTTATCGACAAGTCGCAGGGCAGAGGCATCAGTGATTCTGTTGAATACTTTCTGCACTGCAGGGATGCTGATCAGAAAGACGGGCCGCACGGTGGTGGCCAGTGAGACCAGTAAGTGGCACGCAGATAGCAGCAGCTTGTCTTGGACCTGCAGAGGGAAGAGGGCACGTCAGCTCACCACATCCCTGTAAGACTGGGATTCGAACTTTGCTGAGGCAGCCACAAGCTATGTGTCATTCTTGGTTTCCAAATTACACCACCTAGGCCCTATCTAGCTCAAGAATTTTTCCTATGATGACTACAAGAGAAGCCCATCTTCTCTGTCATGTCCACAGCTCCTGCCGCAGCCATTATCACCTCCTCCCGTTCCTCCTTCACAGTCACCAGCAGCCTTGAACTCAGGCACTTCTCAGCTTAGAGTCTGCAGTGGCTCCCTATCAGCTATTAAATCACACTCCCTGGCATGTCATCCAGGTCCTAGAATTCTTCACCTCACTAATTGTTCCAGCAGAGCCAAGATCTCCCCGAGCCCCCGACTCTTCTGTGCCTTAACACTCAGGCCAGTCTCTCCTACTGCTTTCCCTTCAGCATGCCTATCAAATACTTGGTTCAATTACCACTGTTGCTTTCAAATTAGCAAAGGAGAAAAACGTGTTACAGATGGGACCTAATGCTGGTAAGACTAAGATAAAAACAGCACACCAAAAAGTCAAGGCAGGCAGAATTACTTCGGGAAAAAAATTACTATGATTTCCCAAAGTCACAAAATATTCCTAACCTTTAACCCTTACTCTAAGATTACCTATAACCTATAATACTTACTCTAAGAAGATTACCTAAAAGGGTAAAGCTACATTCATGAATGTGTGCATTTCAGAATTCTTTATAATTTTTTATTTTTTAAGGGAGGCAGCCTAGAAGTCCAGCAATGGCTAGGAAAATAATGAAACATATTCCTGATGGGATAGGACTATTTTCAAAGTTATAATTATAAATACAACATAAATTTATGGAAAGCAACACATTGTTATTAAAACAATACACTGTTTAAAAATGTATAAAATGTTATGTATGACTAAAACTACAAAAAAATTCAAAGAATAAACACATATATGCTCTAGTAATATAGCAGACTTGGAGGATAACATAATAGAATCTGTCCAGTTTTAACATGGATATAACCTTTGACTCAGTAATTCCACTTCCAGGAATCTATCCTTCAGGCCCACTAGCATATGTAAGATGGACATAAAAGGAACTCATTTCTAGCAATAGGAAAATTATTATACATCCTCACAAAAAAAAAAAAAAAAAACCACTGGACATTTTGACAATCTGAAGTTGCTGTACATATGTAAAGGAAAATGAAGGCATACTGTTAGGCAAAAGCAGCTATATCTCCAGCTATCTACAAACTTAGTTATTACTTATTACATAAAAAGAGAAAAAAGTCTGGAAGGATATACAGGCATACCTCAGAGATACTGCAGGTTCAGCTCCAGACCACCACAATAAAGCAAATTATGCAATAACGCAAGGCACACTAATTTTTTTGTTTCCCAATGCATATGTTTTGTTTACACTATAGTCTATAAAGTGTGCAATAAGCATTATGTCTAAGAAAACAATGTACATATCTTAGTTAAAAAGTAGTTTATTGCTAAAAATGCTAACAATCATCTGAGCCTTCAGAGCGGTAATCTTTTTGCTGGTGAAGGGTCTTCCTTGAAAGTGACTGCTGCTGACTGAACAGGGTGGTGGTTGCTCAAAGTTGGGGTGGCTGTGGCAATTACTTAAAATAAGACAACAATGAAGTTTGCTGCATCGATTGACTTCCTTTCATGAAATATTTCTCTGGAGCATGCGGTGCCGTTTCATAGCATTTTGCCCACAGTAGAACTTCTTTCAAAGTTGGAGTCAGTCCTCTCAAACCCTGCTGCTGCTTCATCAACTGAGTTTATGTGTTATTCTAATCCTCTGTTATTTCAACAATGTTCACAGCATCTTCACCAGTTGATTCCATCTCAAAAACCCACTTTCTTTGGTCATTTACAAGAAGCAAGTCCCCATCTGTTCAAGCTTGATCCTGAGATTGCAGCAATTCCATCCCATCTTCAGACTCCGCCTCTAGTTCTCCTGTTATTTCCACATCTGCAGTTACTTTCTTTACTGAAGTCCTGAACCCCTTAAAGTCATCTATGAGGCTGGGAACCAACTTCTTCCAAACTCCCATTAATGCTGATATTTTGATCTGCTTCCATGAATCATGAATGTCTTTAATGGCATCTAGAATGGTGAATCCTTCCCAGAAGGTTTTCAGTTTATTTGCCCAGATCCACTGGAGGAACCACCATCTATGGCAGCTATAGTCTTATGAAACGTATTTCTGAAACAGTAAGACTTGAAAGCCAAAATTACCCCTTGACCCATGGGCTACAGAACTACAGAATGGATGTTGTGTGAGCAGCCATGGAAACTATGGAAACTAATATCTTTGAACATCTCCATCTGAGTCCTTAGGTAACCAGGTGCATTGCCAATCAGCAGATTTTGAAAGGAATCTTTTTTTCTGAGCAGGTCTCCATAATGAGCTTAAAATATTCAGTAAACCATGATGTAAACAGATGTGCTGTCATTCAGGCTTTGTTGTTCCATTTATAGAGACAGGCAAAGTAGATTCAGCATAATTCCTAAGGGCCCTAGGATTTTCAGAATGATACATGAGCACTGGCTTCAACCTGAAGTCTCCAGTTGCAGTTGCCCCCTGACAAGAGAGTTGGCCTGTCCTCTGAAGCCAGGCACTGACTCCTCCTCTCTGGCTATCCAAGTCCCAGATGGCACCTTCTTCCAGTATAAAGCTGTCTCATCTACACAGAAAATCTGTTGTTTAGTATGGCCACCTTCAGCAGTGATCTAGAACTTCTGGAGAACTTGCTGCAGCTTCTCCATCAGCACTTGCTGCTTCATCCTGGAGATGGCTTCTTTCCTTAAACCTCATGAACCAACCTGTGTTAGCTTCCAACTCTTCTTCTGTAGCTTCCTCACCTCTCTCAGCCTTCACAGAATTGAAGGGCCTGATCTGGATTTGGCTTTGGCTTAAGGGAATGTTGTGGCTAGCTTGGTCTATCCAAACCACTGAAACCTTCCTCATATCAACAACAAGGCTGTTGTACTTTCTCATCACTCATGTGTTCACTGAAGCAGAAATTTTAATCTCCTCCAAGAACTTTTCCTTTGCATTCACAACTTGGCTGTTTGGCTCAAGAGCCTTTGGCCAGGCCGGGCGCGGTGGCTCACGCCCGTAATCCCAGCACTTTGGGAGGCCAAGGCGGGCAGATCATGAGGTCAGGAGATCAAGACCATCCTGGCTAACATGGTGAAACCCCGTCTCTACAAAAAATACAAAAAAATTAGCCAGGCAAGGCGGCAGGCGCCAGTAGTCCCAGCTACTCAAGAGGCTGAGGCAGGAGAATGGCGTGAACCCGGGAGACGGAGCTTGCAGTGAGCCAAGATCACGCCACTGCACTCCAGCCCGGGCGACAGAGCGAGACTCCATCTCAACAACAACAAAAACGACAAAAAAAAAAAAAAAAGAGCCTTTGGCCTATCCTGGCTTTTGACACGCCTTCCTCACTAAGCTTAATCATTTCTAGATTTTTATTTAAAGTAAGAGACATGTGACTCTTCCTTTCACTCGAACACGTAAAGGTCATTGTAGGGTTATTAAATGGCTCAGGGAATAGGGAGGCCTAAAGACAGGAAGATGGGGAAGCCTCCAATCAGTGGAGCAGTCAGAACACACACATTTATCAATCAAGTTTGCAGTCTTTGGTTTGTGGCACTCCAAAATAATTACAATAGTAACATTAAAGATCACTGATCACAAATCGCTGTAAGATATAGTAACAAAAAAGTCTGAAATATTCTAACAATTACCAAAATGTAACACATGGAAGCACCAAATACTGTCAAAAAAATGGTGCTGACAGATTTGCTTGATGCAGGGTTGCCATAAGCCTTCAACTTGTAAAAAACACAGTCTCTGTGAAGCGCAATAAAGGGAAGTGCAATAAAATGAGGTGTGCCTGCACAACCACTGCCCAACTGTGCTTACCGCGCGAAGGAAAATGTTTCAGAGGTATCACAACTTTTTAGTCTGGAAATCTGAATGATATTTTACTTTTTCACAGTGAGCATGTATTCATGTGGAACTCAGATAACTAAAAAAGTAAAGTTGTATCTGAATGCATGTAGGCTACAACTAAAAAGGAACATGAAATAAAACAGATGTATAACAGCAGAAAGATTTATGGGTCTAACTCTGTGTCATATTTAGATTTTCTAGTAAATGGGTATAGGAACAGAAGGAGAGACAGAGAGTTAGATAAAAGGTGTAGGCTTTGCTGTTTCGAGACCTTGGTGCTGATTAGAGGTGTGATTGCATCCATGGTAGTAGAGATGAGTGTCACGAACTGCTGCGTGTTCTGCCGGTGAACTTCACTGCAATACTGTGCTAACCAGTGAGAGTAAGCCTGCAGCGCAGCCAGGGACTGAGCATGCCTGCAGAAAGAAAAGAAGATGTGATTTTAAAGGTTAAGGTGAAAATATATTAGCGTTCAACTCATTTTCATAGGAGGTAAGAATTGCATCCACTGCATTTGCTGTTCTAAGACATGGGCAACAGCATAGAAATCATTTACCGGTTCACGTAGAACCTAAAAACTAAGATATTCATCATCTAAACATTGCCACCGCTGACTAGAGCACAGAAGGCAGTTAGTCAATGTCTACTGAATCTTATTCAATCTTTCTGTGACACATGCTCACCTAAGAGAAAGGTAAATTATAAAAGCAAAATCAAAGAACTTAAGTGATCATGTGTTGACTTCAGAACTAGTACAAATTTAACATTCCTAGCTGCAGACTAAAGCGTAGACAACTACCAGGTGTGACAGCTTTATAAACAGAGCTTTGATGTCAGATTTTGGAGTTTAAGCTTCCACTGCACCACACATTCCACCTGGCTAGGGAATAACTGAGGCGGCAAAGACTATGTTTGGTTTCAGCAAAGGCTGTACTGACTGCATCGTACATGCAACAAAATATACATCAAAAAAGTATGCAATTCATCAAATATAATAAACAATCAATCTTAAACAAGGAGAGACAGTTGTCTCGGAGCTTCAAAACACCAAGCCTTCCAACATACCTAAATGTAATTACCTTTCGGTAATAATTAGTAAGTTGTAAGGTGGTACTACTATGAGGTGACACAAAGACAGTGTTCCTCATGGTTTGGGCATTTATTAACGACTCCTGCCTAAATCAGTATTACATTGGTGGTTGTGAATTGGTAATTTTTCTATCTTTCCTTTTCTCCTCATTAGTTGGCAGTCTTCTCTAAAAAGAGGCTTTCCCTCCTCTCATCCTTATTTTGTTAATCACTTTGGGTTTTTGTTTATCTGTTTGTTTACTTGAGACAGGGTCATATTCTGTTGCTCAGGCTGGCATGCAGGGGCACGATCATGGCTCACTGCAGCCTCAACCTTCTGGGCTCAAGTGATTCTCCTGCTTCAGCCTCCCAAGTAGCTGGGATTACAGGTCCATGCCACCATGCCAGGCTAATTGTCGTATTTTTTGTAGAAATGGGGTCTATGTTGGCCAGGCTGGTCTCAAACTCCTGACTTCAAGCGATCCTTCTGCCTTGGCCTCCCAAAGGGCTGGGATTGCAGGTGTGAGGCACTGCACCGGCCTAGCCTGTTAATCACTTTGAATGAGTAGATTATTTTCATTCAAACTGGTATAATTCATTATTGTCCTTATTCTTTCTTGATGACTGAACTGTCAAGTTTGACCAGGAAGAACCCTTTCAAGCTGGGTCCTGCATCCTCTTCACATGTTCCCAACAGTCACTGAGCACTTCCTTACTTGCTGACTTGGCAAGATTGTCCAACATCACCCCCCCAGACTTGAGCTTTTTTCTCCAAGGTGCTCTGGAGAATGGATTTGAGAAACCAAGACCTGGGGAAAACGGATAGGATTGCTACTGGATTGTCACTGTTTCTAGGAGCTTTCAGCAGACAGAATTAGGATATAGGCAGGTATCACTTTATTTACTTATTTATGTTGCTGAAACAGGGTCTCGCTCTGTTGCCCAGGCAGGAGTGCAGTGGCACAATCATAGCTCACAGCAGCCTCCAACTCCTGGGCTCAAGCAATTCTCCTGGCTTGCAATTCTAAGTGGCTGGGGCCACAGGCATGCACCACTATGTCCGGCTATTTTTTTTTTTTTTTTTGGTAGGGACAGAGTCTCACTATGTTGCCCAGGCTCCTCTCAAACTCCTGGGCTCAAGCGATCTTCCCACCTCAACCTCCCAAAGTGCTGGGATTACAAACATGAGCCAGTGTGTCCAGCCTAGACACCATTTTAAAAGCAAACTCAGCATCAACAATTACAGGGAAATTTGATATTAAGAGCCTTCTGACATGATGCAAGAGGAAAGGCACATCATTGCCTATGTAGTAACCTTGCTAAAAATGTTTAAACTGAATCTAATATAATGGAAATAATTAGACAAATCCAGATTGTAGGACATGCTTTTAAAAAAATTAAGATCTGGATCTGCAAAAGGTCCTCAGTCACTCTCACACACACACGCACATGCAGACATACAAACACAATTGGGTGAACTGTTCTAGACTATAGGAAATACATTTAATGTGTGGCTCATGATTAGTTAGACCTTGGATCCAAGAAAAAAAAAAGATACAAAAACATTCCTGGGACAACTGAAGAAATTTTAATATGGACTATATATGAGATGACATTATTGTATGTATTAAATTATGTGAGGGTTGATAATGATATCATAGTTAAAGAGCTGAATGAACTTATTTCTAGGATACACACACTGAAGGATTTACGGGTGAAGTGACATGTTGTCTGTAATTTCTTTTCTTTCTTTTCTTTTTTGAGACAGGGTCTCACTCTGTCACCCAGGCTGGAGAGCAGTGGTGTGATCTCAGCCTCCCGGGTTCAAGCGACTCTCCCAGCTCAGCCTCCCGAGTAGTTGGGACTACAGGTGCAAGTGCCACCATGCCCGGCTAATTTTTATATTTTTTGGTAGAGACAGGGTTTCACCACGTTGGTCAGGCTGGACTTGAACTCCTGACCTCAAGTGATCCGCCTGCCTCGGCCTCCCAAAATGCTGGGATTACAGGTATGAATCATCACGTTCAGCCATGCAGTTTATTTTCAAATGGCTCAGCAAAATAATAATAATAATCATCATCATCATCATCATGTATTGTGTGCAGAGAGGGCACAAGAAACAAAAGCCAATTTGTAATTGGTTACTCTAGGCTAAGGGTCCATGGGTGCTTATTCGCCTGTTTTTCCCATTTTCTATAGGTTTGAACTTTTTCAAAATTAGCAGTTGGGTAAGAAAATGTGCTAGTACTTTAAAGTAAGAAAATATAGTTACTGAAAGTTTGAAATTCATAGTGACCACACAGTTATTTTGTATTTTACATTTAAAATTTTATTTTATATTTAGAATCACATTACCCTTTAAGTTCTAAATACCAAAATAAAGAGAAAGGACATCAAAGTCAGCCTTAGGAGTAAGAATTTCAGTCAATCTAGCACATCTGTAGAGCTCCTCAAGGCTGAAAGGAGGGGCTCTGAAACTCCCAAAATGTGTACAAGTTGTTGTATTTATAAGGAAACTGGCATCTTTCTTGGGAGATGCTTTACAACTTTCTCTAAATTCTCAAAAGGGAAAGCAATATATTTTTTAAAAGTTTAAAACCACCATAGTAAGTAAGATTCTCTTTCCATCGTTTATCTAATCTGCAGCTCAAGAATGCTCTACAGCAGGAGTCGGCAGACCTTTTCTGTAAAAACCCGAGTGTATATATTTTCAGATTTGCAGGGCATACATACACACTGTCACAGCTACTCTACTCTGCTGCTATAGTGCAAAACCACTCCCAGACCGTATGTAAATCAATGTAGCTGTGTTTCAATAAAACTTTATTTACAAAAGCAGTCAGTAAGCCAGATTTGGCAAAGGCCATAGTTTGCCAACCCCCTGCTCTCATCTAAAGCAAGTCTTCTGGGCAGTGAAATCTCTGGGATACTGCCCATCTCCTGTCCCTGTCCTTCCATATGTCACTTTCCTAACAGCATCCCATGTTATCTGTAGAGTTTCTGTAGGTAGAGAGTGTGGTCTCTAGATGTCCTGCTTCAAAATAACCTGGGGTTCTTGTTTAATACGCAAATACCCAAGCCTTATGGCCTTATGCCATTCTGCTAAAATCAGAATCTCTGAGAAATGTGTTCCCCAAGCATTCTTCTGCATCCTACAGTATCCTACAGTTTTAGTCAATGATCTACAGGAAAGACTGATGGCATCTGAGGTGTTTCCCATTAGTCCCAACACACCTATCCAGTCTCTTCTTGCACTACATGGAGTAGCCACCTCCTGCCTGTGTGACTGTCTCAGCCTGTACTGTTCTTTCCTCCTGAAATGCCTACTCCATAGAATCTCCATCCCAGCTCTCACTTACCTAATTCCACTTTCTCCAACCGCCTCTGCCCCAGACATATAGTCAAAAAAATCTCTCTCTCTTTCTAGGTTTGCAGTTTAAGAGTTTTTCCCTGATTCATGGCAGCCACTACTGTTCCTTTTTCTCAATCAAATTATTTGGAGATTGGGGGCAAGGTCTTTCCTAAAAATGCACAAACATCAAACTCTAGACTTACACATCAATGAGGTCAGGTTTCAATACTGATGGCACAGCAGTTTCAATGTTGTACAATTTTATCTGAGATCCGTACAGAGTGACTTTGACCAACCTGTTGGCAAAGAGGCAGGTAAACAAGAACATTCAGCTTATGAACTAAGACAGACAAAACAGACAAGGCTGGTACCAGCAAAGAGCGTAAGGGCAGACTTTTTCATATACAAAAAAGAATCAAGACCAGACTTTCAATTTTATGCCAAGGAAATAATCTGAGATATGCATAAAGATTTATATACAAGCATATTAACTAAAGCCTTATTGAAGGTGTCAAAAACTTTGAAAACAATATAAATATCCAACCCAGAGGAGGTAATACAATGCAATATATACAATAAAAACCATGCTTAGAGGCATATTTAATGATAAATATTCAGGATGTTTTAAACATGACATGGTTGTACTAAATATACATACAGAATACATCGTGAATGTTCATCTATTAACAGAAGACAGGCGGGAAGAAGTGTCACCAAAATATGCTTATTGGTACCACTTGTTTTAGGGGGAGGATAGAGTGGGTAGATTATGGATGATTTTTTTCCCTCTATTTTTCTGCATTTCCAAATTATCTACAATTAATATATAATGTTTTATAAATGAGGAGAATAAAAAATAGTTCTTAAAAAGCAGGCAGAATGTGGTTGCTCATGCCTGTAATCCCAGCACTTTGGGAGGCCAAGGTGGGAGGATCACTTGAGTCCAGGAGTTCAAGACCAGCCTGGACAACAAAGTAGGACCCTGTCTTTTAAAATTTTATCCAGATGTGGTGGCACATGCCTGTAGTCTCAGCTACTTGGGAGAGGCTAAGTAGGGAGGACTGCTTGAGCCCAGGAGGTTGAGGATGGACTAAGCCAGGATCATGCCATTGCACTCCAGCCTGGGTAACAGAACAAGACCAAAATCCTGTTTGTTTGTTTTGTTTTGTTTTGTTTTAAAAAAAAAACTGCTCTTTTGGCAGTTTATCGAAATAGGATGACGTGGGCTTTTCTATAAAATTTGATAATGATAAAACCATCTTAGCTTTTATTTAAAATCATTTTTAAAAGGAAATGTTTCAGATGGGTTGATACATAATAAAAAAAATACAGCAAACTGTCCACCATAGAATCTATGTGGTGGGTATATGTGTATTCCCTGTACAATTCTTTCAACTTTTCTTCAAATTTGAAAATGTTTGATAAAACTTTGGAGGAGGCAGATGAAAGGAGCAAATGTTTCTAGAATAGGTGGAGGTGTTTTATGTTCAAGTACAATTCTTTCAGAAGCAAGCTGTTGAGCCCACTGGTTGCTCAAGGGCTCACTGGATACTAACGAGCATTAAACACAATAACTAATAGCTCTATCTAGTAGGAAATGGGAAATGCCTCTTTCATTACAGACAGGACAACATTCCTTTCTCTCCTCTTTTTTTTGAGAAAGCGTCTTGCTCTGTCAACCAGGCCAGAGGATTGTAGTGATCTTGGCTCACTGCAGCCTAGACTTCTGGGGCTCAAGTGATCCTCCCGCCTCAGCGCCCCCTCCCATAGCGGGGACTACAGGCGCATGCCACCACACCCAGCTAAATTTTTTTGTCTTTTTAGTAGAGACAGGTTTCGTCATGTTGTCCAGGTTGGTCTTGAACTCCTGGACTCAAGCGATCTGCTCACCTCAGCCTCCCAAAGTGCTGGGATTACAGGTGAGCCACCACGCCTGGAGTTGAAAGACATTCCTTTCTGAGTGAAGGGGAAAAAACCCAAGACCTGGCTAGTTTCTCTCTGCCTACTCTGCGTGGAAACCTGGAAATGGATGCCAGGGAAGGCAGTGTTTGTCTTTGTCCCAGCATAACAATCAACTAAGGAACTTGTTACAAATACAAACTTGTATTTGTATTTCTGATTGCTGGGGAGCAATGAGAAAGCAATCAAAAAGGAGCACTTCCGGTCAGTCAAGAAAGTGAGGGCAAAAGAACTAAGGTTCCCAAAGTCCCACGAAGTCCTCGTGATCAGAACAGTTATTATCAGAAAACAATATACCAATATGCACCTGGTGTTTAAATCCTGTTCTACACTAAAAATGCATTTCCAAACATCTTTTAATGTGTCTGTGTTTAGCAGTTCTAATATTAGCTTTGTTTTATGTAACCAATAAATGAAAACACTGCTAATCATACTGGCTATTAAGGTCATGTAGTCATAACAAGAGCCTTCTCTCACATTTTATTCTAAATGAAGACAAAATATTAATAACAAGTATGTTTAAGCACTGGGCTTGGAAATCTAAGCAGTGCAGAAAGATAGGGACCTATCAAATGATTCAGGATCTTTGAGACATCATCTCACTACAAAGTTGAGATGACTGACAGATATACCTTTTTTTTTTTTTTTTGAGACGGAGTTTCACTCTTGTTGCCCAGGCTGGAGTGCACTGGCGCAATCTCAGCTCACTGCAACCTCCGCCTCCCAGGTTCAAGCGATTCTCCTGTCTCAGCCTCCTGAGTATCTGGGATTACAGGCGCATGTCCCCACGCCCGGCTAATTTTTGTATTTTTAGTAGAGATGGGGTTTCATCATATTGGTTAGGCTGGTCTTGAACTCCTGACCTCAGGTGATCTGCCCGCCTCAGCCTCCCAAAGTGTTGGGATTACGGGCGTGAGCCACTGCGCCCCGCCAACTGAACAGATAAGATATATCTATATTGCTTAACAGAGTAAGTTCAAATAATGGACTTATCTTTGGATTTCAGACAGAAAAACATGTCTTATCCCTGCTAAACCTCAGTGCAAATGGGCCCAGTACAAGAAGAGGAGGAGGAACGGACTGGCAATACAAACGCTACGGTTTGGAAAGCGCACAACATGTGGACCCAGGAAACTGTTAAAATCCACTCTCCCTCTCAAAGACTGTGTGAACCGAGGCAAGGCACTCACATCACTGAGCCACAATGTACTTACTCAACAATAAAACGGCAATGCCTGTCTCTCAAAGTACAGAACAAAATGAAAGACCATGTGCAAAAACACAGAAAATGTCCTACTACTGTGTGCTGTTTTTATTATTAATATGAATCTGGCTTTTAAGGGATTTAAGCCCCTTGGCTATCTTTGCTTTTCAGCTAAGATGTGGCAGTGAAGTCTGGCATGCATGCACCCAGGCTCCTGAGGCTCACTTCCCCTCTGCACGTCACCAGTGATGCGGCTGCTGGGCCAGTCGAAGCATCAGGTGTCTTGGCTTTGGGCTGGATCCACATCTACTCAGTTTTGATCTAACCAATTCAACAGCTGCCTTGAAATGATCTAAATGTCCTGTCACTTACATCTTGGGTTTTTCGAGGGGAGAAAGGGAGGAGGGACTGCTGACTGAGTAGAATCAAGTGTTCCTCAACAAGTGCATCTGTAAACCTGGTGTGAGACCCAAGAGGAAGGAGAAGAAAAGGAGCCCAGTGGTGAAAGGCTGGGAACCACCTTTCGGGCCAGGCGTGGAGGCTACCCAGCTTTCACTCCCGAGGCCCTAATGGGACTGGAAAAAACACAAAAAGCACCCTGTGCATCTAGCTGCCTACTTGGACAATGGAGTTGACTCCTTATCAGTAGGGCTTTCTTAATATCTCTTTATCCTATGAGGAAAGACATGAAGACTGACCTCTCCTGGTTTCTCCTGGGTCTACAACTGTGTTTACATTTATACACAAGATCTTCAAAGAAACAATACCTTAAATAACTTATCAGGCGTTTTGTTATGTGCTAGGCACAGTGCTAAGTGCTTTATCTCATTTAATTCTCACACTAAACCTACAGGAAACAACATCTACTTCATATTGTAAATGAGGGACCTGAAGTTCAGAGAGGTTAAGTAATTTGTTCCCTATCAGCTTGTATGTGGCAGAGCCTAGATTTACCCGGGGCCAGAGCAGAAGCTATTTGGCAATATGCTGCCCCTCACACAAGAAGGTAAAGCTGAACTCTGAAGAAGGAACAGCTCCATAAGGTAACTGCCAGCCTACCTTTCCACGACTGTGAGGGCATCATTGAACCGTGCAGCAAACACATCCCCGATAAAGTACTCGGCCAGGCGGCCCACGGCCTGCAGCAGGGAGCTCAAGTCTCTCAGGGAGCAGTGCAGCCGCCGGCAGTCGTTCTCCGCCGTGATGTTCAACCTGTGTCCTGGAACACAACACGCCAGACAGTTTTTCACAGGAAGACCACGCTTTAGATACTACAGATAACAGCTGGTCCAGCAAGCCACACACAGCAAAACCAGCAGCAAAACCAATTCGCGAAACAAAGCAACCCACGGGCTGCTTCCCAGTACTGAGCAGGGAAACTGGGCCCGGTATCCACCTAACACTACACGTTTGTGCTCCAGAGTCCAGGGACAGAGACAGAGTTGTGGGAAGGGGCAGACAGCCTGGAGTGTGCTAACGTGGAGGGAGCCCCTGATCTGATTCCTTTTGACCCTGTAAGGTCCTGACACCATCACTGTTACATACAAGGAGGCACACCCAGGGAGGCCCAGGCACTTGCCAAGCACGTGTCACATTTCCGGGGCAAGGCTGGTGTTCTACGCTGAGTCTATGTGACTCCAAATCTGGTTCCTTTAGGATAGGGCCCTATCTCAGAATGAAATTTCCATGGACCAACAGTTAGGACCCGCCCCTGCTAAGAGAGGAGAGGTACACTCAGCACTCCACCCCTGAAGGCTGGGAGGTGACACAGTATGAAATAAAGAGTATGGGACTTGGATTCCGAAGACACAGATTCCCCGCCACTTCTGGGCTCAGTGCCTCATACAACCCTCCTAAGCCTCAGTATCACTATTACAAGGGCCATGTTAAAATATATAACCCTCTAAGCTACAGAGCATTGTTCAGTATTTCTAATTATTATAAATAACAAAGAACTAGTGACTTACTAAGGTCTGAAATTTCCTTACTTTTCAACACAACTTCTTCAAACTGAATAAGGAGGATGCTAAGATGAAGGACAAAACATCCTCCCTTGATTCGGTCACTTCCTTGGTTTTTGGATCCCTCTCTTCACAAATGTCCACAAAAGATAGTAAGAATTTTCAGAGACCTGCAGGAACAGAGACCTGCAGGTCTGATTCAAGTCCTTCTCACTGACACAGCAGGAATGAGGGTGGGGTGGTAACACCACTAGGGCACCGTAACTAGGGCACCTACGATCCCAGAACTCCCCGGGTACTTTCCACACCTGCTCCCTCCCCCTACTTCAGTTCTCTCCTGTCTCTTAGGAGGCGAGACTCACACTGGTCATCACCAACCCTCCTCCTCACACTGGTCACCACCAACCCTCCTCCCGCTGTGCTCCAAAATCAGCTTCCCAGAGCCCAGACTAAGCTTGCAGCTCCCCTGAAGCAGGTGCTGAAGCCTCTGGAGGCTCTCTCCTGCTAAAAGGGGAGAGCCTAGACTCTCCAGTATCAACTCAGCTCTCTCATGGCCTCGCCACCTTCTACTATGCCACTATGTCATCCAGATCCACTGGTAATTCCCCAGAGCCTCGTGTCTCTGTGCCTCTGCCTAGACTGCTGATCATGTCATCCTCTGCCCACCCAAGCTTTGCAAGCTCCTACATAGCCTCCAGCCTCTCAGGGGCATCCTGTCTCTGTGGGGCCTCCCCACTCCTGCCTTCCTCCTTGGCACCCGTGCCCATAAGGAGATAAACCGATGATTTACAAGTCCATCTCCTTACTGACCACAAAATCCCTCGTGGTGAGCAGCTATGTCCAGCAGCCAGCACAGCAGCTGGTACAGAGTGAGTGACCGTAAATGTATGAATGATTTAGATGCAACAGAACAGACGGCAAACTAGAGCAGGACAGGGAGTCCCAGGCAGCTTCCTTCCTCACCCTGTCCCTGGGAATACTGGCATGTATTACTGACAGTAAACACGGATGGGTGGCACCTGCAGAAAGGAAGGGTGGACACCTACAAAGCACGTGGCAAATGAAGTAGCAGGCTGAATGCCTCGATCCGCCACCAACGTCAAGGGATGAGGCTCGCAACAGTGCCTGCGACAGCCCCCAAAGGAAGACACGAGGCTGGAAGAGGGGACAGAGGGCCACATCTTAAGGAGCAGGAGAACGAAAGAAGAGGTAACTCATGGAAGGACCTCAGACAGAGAGGGCCAGTGACAAAGGCTGGTTTTGACCTGTCCCAAATCACCTGGTCCTGCCTCCTCCACTCCACAAGGACAGCAGTGCCCTGGCGCAGAAACAAGATGGCAGCCCTGAAGAGGCTGTGGGTGCAGCTAATGAGTAAGCCAGCTCCTCCAACCACAGCAACAGAATGACCATCCCACCCAGCCAGACGAACTCACGGAACCAATGAACTGAGAGGGATTTTCATCACACTGGTTGTACGAAAGGGAACACAGACTTCATGGGCTACAAAAAGAGACAGCCCCAATCTCTCAGTTAACTGAAGTGCCAAAATTATACACCCTCTGAATGTCAATGGGATTTTCAAGGTTATATCTATGCAACCAACTCCCAGGGTTGACTTCTAAAACCTGCTCCTCCTCTGCACACCAACCAGACCTCAGGGCTCTGTGGGAATAAACTCTAATGAAAAATACACCCTGACACTGGGTATAGCATAGTACAGGCCCAAAAAGAGGGGAGGCCAGCTTTTCTTTCTCAGAGCAACACTGGGGGTCACTGAGTCCGCTTCAGCAGTCCCTGGCACTCTCCACATGCTCAACCTTCATTTCGCACCTCCACCTCCCCCCAGGCTCTACCCTGACCACCAGTTTCCAACTTCTCTATAGTATCCAATTCCTTCAACTAGGTACCTGCTGAATACCTGAGAACAAGCTTCTTAAGTATTTTAAGTGTACAAGGGGAACACTGTATTTGTTTTAAAAACCAAACCAAAACACTACCCTAAATCAAGTTTCCATTTGAGTATGGTCCTTAATAGACAATTACTAGAGAGCTTAAAAGTCGCCCTGACCAAGCCGTCCCCTCTGCCCAGCACTTCCCCTGCACACCCGGCCCTTCAGCCTCTTCCTGGACCTCGGCTGAATGCTAGGGAGCTCAAGGGAGCCCTTCCATCTCTGGACAACTTGGTCACAAACACGGGTAAAGTAAATCTCCCTGTGATTGCTCATCACCCCTGGCCCACTCCTTGAGGGTAGAACACAGAACAAGCCAAAGCCTGCTGACAGCATGATAGCCCTGGGGATGTAACCCCTCATTACCCTCCTGAGAATCCTTGCCATCCTGATCCCTCCCCTCTGAACTTGTCCTATTTTGTCTAGCAAAGAGCAGTACCTAGGATGACAACTATGGGTACCTAGCATCCAGTACCCAGGATGGAAAACAGCTTGGAAGTGCTGGGTGTGTGTTTTAAACTGTGAGTTTGAACAATATGAAACTGTTGACACTTGATCACTTCTGACCCAACAAAACTGCAATTCCATACAGTTCCACTTCACACATATGTGTATCTAAGATCCATGTTCATCAAAAGTACAGCTGGTTCTTTCCTGTTCTATCTGCAAGGCAGACAATCGCATGGGCAATAAATACCCCAAATCAAATTCTCTACCCTTGACACCCCCTCCTTCAGCCTATAAACCTAATTTCACCACCACAAAAGTCACGCAGGGCATCAAGTAAACTTGAGGGGATAGGCCAGTGTCCCACTGTGAAAAGCTGTTCAGATCCACCCACACTTTCTTCTGTCTGGTCAAGGCTTAGATTTCCCCCCAAAAGCACAGGACATCTGCAAGGTAGAACCTTCAGATGAGAATAATGCTGAAAGGTTTGGAGGCACAAAACATCATGGCCACACAAAAGTCCTATCTTCCACAAACCAAGTCATTCTAAAGCTGTCTAGGTATGACCTAAGCCACATCCAAAGAACAGCTCCTTGGCAATTCACTGCCCTAGGGGAAAAAAAAGTCTTAAACATAATTTAGTCTTCTCTTTTTGAGGAGTTGAGGGAGGTCTAAAAATTAGCATTCAGGCATTTCCCTCTGAGAGAACAAATCATAATCATAAATCATAAACGGACCCAAGCAGAACAAACAATTTAAGTCTAAAAATCTTACATAAAATGTTGTAGGCAAAATAATCCCTTACACAGGAAAGTTTGCATGGGTAACCAGAAAAGTTAAAGGGTTACTTAGAGGAGAAATACTGTCTCAATGAAGGAAGATGCCAATGAGGGGTGGCAGAAGTCAAATACAGAATGGAGGCTTTGGGGTCACATACGGATGTCAATGCTGTGCAAGGGGAACACCACCAATGAGGGTTTCTTAACCCACATAAGGTAGAAAAGACAGAGGGAGCAAAGGATGACCTGCCAGGAGCCAGAGCAGCACAGAGCAACCAACGTGGCCCAGCAAGACAAGCTGTGCCTTGGTCTTGACAGGGAAGTGGAGGCAGGCTCAGCAGCAGGAAGGGAAACAGTGAGAAGCACGAGATCTTCTGAATCCAACTGCTCTGACAAAAGCAAAAGTGGGAGCCTTCCAGGCTGGGTAACCACACTGCAGGCCTCACTGCTGGCCAAAATGTGCATCCCATTGTCATACACGGTCACAGCACCAGGAGTAGACAAGAATCGCGGCTGGCGCCCATTTACACAGGCTCCAGAGGAGACCCAAGAACTAAAGGCTGGGCTAGAAAGTAAATGCAAATGAAGGAAGGCCCAGAGCCTATCAGGGATGAGAGGGCACAGTTTCTGCTGAGGGTCATGAGGCTGACTGACTGGTGTGGCATGGAGGTTATTTGAGGGGGTAAATGGCTATGGGAACCAGGGGAAAAAATGTACTCAGAGTTTCCATTTGTTAATAGCCTTTGCACTGGAAACTTGGCTTCTGAGCCACCAAAAATTGGGGAATGCTTTGTCATGGATGAGAGAGCTCGTTTTAAAGCAGGAAATAAGCATTTTTCTGGCCTGGGAGGTTTTGCCACTGGAGTACAAGCCAAGGATCAGTGCTGAGGATGAGATTTATAAATGATCCGGACGAGCCGAGTTCTGTGAAATTGCCAGTAAACAGGCTTTAGTGAAAGCAAGTATGCGGTATTTCCTATAGGAAAAAATAAATCACATTATCCTTCTAGGGAGAAGAGCTCAGAATTATCAGCTATGTCCCAGAAATAGAGTTTCAGATTCACTAGACTTTCACCTAAAGACAGACACAACAGAATGTAAAAACACCAGCTTTTACAAAAGTAAACAGGACACTGAAGGGTCAGTGTGGGGGAGGAAAGAACACCTGCTTGATTTTTTTAATAGATCAAGAACAGTGTCTTCAGGGTCCTGAGTACATTCTAATTTGAATAGTGGTCCTGAAGGAAAGACCACCTGGGCACGATTATTCCCAAAAATGGCTTCTGGAAACATCTGTAGCACTTCTACACAGCCAAATGATTTTCATTAGTGGTGACAGCACATTTTATAAGCATGTTTGTTTTGAAAGTGTCTTTTTAAAGTTTTGTCTTTTTAAATTTCTTACCCTATCTACAAAGTCAGGGCCTACATTCGGGGCATGCCAAGGCCCATCAGCCTCCTGGGGCCCACTAGATTATTTAGAAGCTTATATAGTCATGGAAACCAGCCGTCACAGACCACCAAGGACAGCCTCGGAAAAAGGCTCCTGTGGAGGCTCTGCCATGAATCACAAGCTCATCCAGGAGATGGGCTGCACACTGGGCGGCTCTGTGCTGGGCTGAAACAACAGTTACCCAACACAGGGGCTGCGCACCAGAGCCGGGACAGATCCCATAAGAAGCATGCTGGGAAGAAGGAAGGGCAGTGAGAGTGGTGCATAGCAGCTGATGGGGCAGGGAGGACACATGTGGCTTTCAGTTACTGGTGTTTTCAGTTGACAAAAATGAATGTCAGATGTTAGCTATTTCAACATTTTGTCATTCCCTATTATACCATCATGCGACTTGTACCAACAAAGCCATGGGACCCTGGGTAAATTAACATCTCTGAACATCAATTTCCTCTTATGTAAAACAGGGGTAACTAGTAATAGCACTTACACCTCACAGGACGATGGAGAGAATTAAGTAATATAAGTCAATAACACAGTGCCTGGCATGTAATGAGAGCTACAAATGGAAGCTATTACTATTATTGTTATCAACAAAATAACAAAGCAAACTAACCCTAAACCCCAAGCAGGCAGGGCCTGTAAACAGCAGCCAAAAGCCTTTTCAACCAGCTCTGGTCAGAGCCCCTGGGGCCATTTGCAACAGGTGCAGGGGGCAGGGGGACCACAGGCCATCAGCTGCACTATGGCCTTCCAATTCTAAAGTGAGCAGGAAGCAAGAAAGCACAAGGCCATGTTCTCCCTAGTACACCTGCTGGTTGAAAGGACATAAGGAAACTAATTAGAGGCTTTTTAGTAAGTCCTGTCTCTTTACTCCAAATCAGTTTCTTTTCCAAACACCTCCTTGGAATACACTGTCATGACCTCATCTTTTACCTCCCCCACAGCTTTTCATCATAAGCCTTTAAAAACGTTCCCTGTTTCGAAGTGGGGAGAGATGCCAGTGGGGAGGCTGCAGTGAAGAAATCATGTTCCGACAGCAACGGCAGCAGTAATGAAATATCAGTCCGATGGTTTTTTGAATGTTTGGTTAAATTAGAAAATAAAAACCAGTTTACCTGACCCTGAAGTGACTATAAACTGTTGTAATCCCAAATAAACTTCTAAATTGTCCTGAAGAACAGGGAACTGAAAACAAAGAAACAAAAACAACAAAAATTTTAAGCCATAAATGCAAGTTTTAATAGCATTTTAACATTACAACATTAACACGTAACTATGGTGTGAGGAACAGGATCAAAACCTTTTCTCTGGGAACCTTTAAATGCAGCTAAAAAGCTATGACCCCCCTTCAGTGCCCCCCAACTAGTTTCTATAATTGAAACCGCCAATTAATACACAGAATAAGAAAGAAAACGTATTAGTTCAACCCTTTTTTTAAAAAAAAAAAAAAAGCAAAGGACACTGTGGTATGACTCTTACGTTCCTAATAGAGGAGATCAAACCCTGAAATGACCTACACCTTCTAGAACTCTGAGAAGGGACCATATCTCCCTTCAAATCCAAGGGAACCTCTACCTTGAGAGAAATGTCAGCTATGCCTTATTAAGCACATGGTAAAGTGATAAGATTGGCCAAATTATTTGGAAGTCAGTTCCCTGGCTCAAGTAGCGGTCAGAACGTCATAACCGGAGCTGCATCTTTCTTTCTCAAGCTGCTACACTCACCAGTAAGATTAAAACGTGACTGGCCCCTAAGAAAGGCAGATGGCAAAGTACGAAGCTTTCCAGGAGAGAACACAAGTATAGCTGGGTCATTCAATGCAAAAGATGACCCTATGGCCAGGGGCGGTGGCTCACGCCTGTAAATCCCAGCACTCTGGGAGGCAGAGGCGGGCAGACGACGAGGTCAGGAGATCGAGACCATCCTGGCTAACACGGTGAAACCCCGTCTCCACTAAAAATACAAAAAGTTAGCTGGGTGTGGTGGTGAGCTCCTGTAGTCCCACTTACTCGGGAGGCTGAGGCAGGAGAATTGCTTGAACCCAGTAGGTGGAGGTTGCAGTGAGCCAAGATCACGCCACTGCACACTCCGGCCTGGGAGACAGCGTGAGACTCCGTCTCAAAAAAAAAAAAATTACCCTAATAACTGCCTTGCCTTGAAGAAGTGATGAATTTAATGAAATCTCTTTGAATAACACGCACCACACAGGGAAGGGAATCAATCCTTACAACTAAAGATTCCAGCACGTATAGACACACGCAGAGAAAGCTAGCAATTTGCCAAGAGCGAGCTTTACAAAGGCCAGCTTTTCAGCAATGTAACTTCTATAAGTAACAGCTCCCACTCGGCCTGGCCACTTGCAAGCTACTGATAAAGGTATTAAGGCTTTAGTCAAATTGCTATTATATCCAAGACTAAACAAGGTTCCAAAAGTTGGTTTAATATTTTGTGGAAATGTTAATATTTGTTCAGTTTGAGCATCACTTATGGTAATTATTCTGTTTTTAAAAATTACATAGAGGGGAAAGAGGGGAGAGAGAGAGAGATCCAGGGGAGTCAACCAGCCATGCTCTGTGTACAGAGAAATCGCTACACTCTCCACTCCCCCGGACAGCACATTACCAGTGTGGAGAAGGCGTGCGTGGGCAGGAGCTCCATCACTTTGGCCACCACCTCCAAGCTCTGCCGTAAGTACCGCTGCCACTCCGTCTGCTGCTGTAGGGGAAGCACAGGAGAATCAGCTCTCCCAGAATCCTCTCATCTTCCTTGCCAACCTCAAGACCACTCTCAGACATAAAATTTTGAAGAAATGGAAAATGATGGAACCAGGTTATCTGGTACTATAAAAAGGCCAAGCTAGAATTTTTTAAAAACAATGAATTAATTTCACAAAAAACTACTTCCTCAGAAAGTAAATGATCCACATAGAATAAGCTATTTTCCCCCCTTTGGGTTATAGGATACAGAGATGGAGAGCCACTTGTGAAATCACCTGTTGGAAATGATCACGCATCACCTTCTGACACGGTCCACTACTGTATCCCTATCCACATAACTGACTGACTCAGTGCCACTCAGAATGGGGTCCACAGCCAGCCAGCAAACGCATCCCCTGGTGGGCTGTCAGAGATGCAAATTCTATGGTCCTCACCCCAAGCCTCCAGAATCAGAATCTGCTTTAACAAGCTGTTCCAGTGATTCTTATCCATGGTGACATTTAAGAAGCAAGACACGTCACTCCCCTTTTGGGAGATGAGGACATTAAGGCTCACAGAAATGCCACACCCAGCCCTCCAATCTCCTCCATGCCCAAGGTTGCAGAGCTTCAAACCCAGGCCATCTGGCTCTAAGCAAAGGGCTCTCTGTAACCCAAATATGACCACCCATAAGCTCTTGACCATGCCGCAGTCACTCTTACTTTGAGAAGAGCAGCAGTTATTTGAAAAATTTTAAAGTGCCTAATGGTTTAAAAAAAAACACTGGAATTGTTTCCTTAAAGACATTTTCCTTATTAATGTTGGGCACATCAGCATCAATAAATTCAAGGCTGATTTTAAGAAGCAGAAGTTTGCATAATGTACTCCAAACAGACTTCCTTTCATTCTAGCCTTATCGGTTCAGTATCTTGCTAACGGTCTCCACAAGCATCCAGCTAGCTGTTACTGCTGCCCAGGTTGGGGAGCAGAGGTGAGGGTGCAAGGCAGGGGAGACAGAGAGGATACAGAGTTCTCACTAAACCGTTTTTCATTGTGCATATGGTTTCTCTACTTACATCTCTAGTCCACATAGATAAAAAAGCCTGTAAAACATTTTTTATGGTTAATAAGCCAAAAGGGACCAGCAGGAGATTAAAAATTTCAAATGTACGACTCAAACCAGAAGACTACTCTGGTTTCAGAACAGTCTTCGGAGCAGAGGGCTCTGGGTTCCAGGTCCCCATTCTGATTGATGTCACAACATGACAGCGACAAAAAATCAATCAGGGCATGCCGCTTACATCGTCATCCAGAGTCTCATCATCCAACTCCTCCAGCTGGGCTTGGTTGTATCTGAACTGGATTCGATTCAACACCTCTGTGAGCAGGAGCACCAGGGCATCTTCGTACCTATGTGGCAGGGAGAAATTCAACATTGAAAGGAGGCTTTCAGCTTAGAATTTGGAAAATGCCTCCTGCACTATAAAAGAAATGGTGTCTATGTTGATCACCATGGAAAAAGAGCATCGAAATTCCTGAGGCTGAGTTTATGGGTTGGTACGTGTGTGCGCCCATGGAAGAGAAGCAGAGGTATTTATTTAATGACGTACCAGGCACCATGTATCTTCCTGACAGACTGTTTATATAACAGCCTTTTTTGTCTCTGGCAATAATTTCTGTCTTAAAATATATTTTGTCTCCTATTAGTATAGTGACCCGAGCTTTCTTTTGGCTACTTTTTGCACGGAATATCTCTTTCCATCTTTTTACTTGCAATCTATTTGTATCTGAATCCAAAGTGAGTCTCTTGTAGACAACACGTCATTGGGTCGTGGCTTTAAAAAATCTGTTCTCTGCCTTTTTTAACAGGAGAATCTAATCCACTAAATGTAATGTAATTACTGATAAGGAAGGCCTCATTTTTGCCATTTTGCTATTTATTTTCTATGACTTATGTTCCTCAATTCCTCCATTCCTGCCTTCTTTTGTGTCAAACAGGTATTTTCTAGTGCTGCATTTTAAATCCCTTGTCCTTTCTTTTACTAAGTATTTTCAAGTTATGATCTTAGCAGCTGCTCTGGGGATGATAGGCACTGCATATAAATATTACCTAATTCAATGATTTCATGCTTTTAACAGCTGTGAGAAGTAAATGGTATCAATATTTTTCTGATGAGGAAACAACAATTAACAGAAGTTAAATAAACTGCCCAAGGCCACAAAGCTATTTCGAACCTAGGGCCCCCTAATTCAAAATCATGTTCTCGCTACACATAAATCACCAATGAAGTGTTTTGTTTTGTTTTGTTTTGTTTTTGTTTTTGGAGACAGAGTCTCCTCTGTCACCCAGGCTGAAGTGCAACGGCGCAATCTTGGCTCACTCCAACCTCCGCCTCCCCAGGTTCAGTGATTCTCATGCCTCAGCCTCCCGAGTGGCTGGGATTACAGGCATGACCCACTAGGTCTGGCTAATTTTTGTATTTTTAGTAGAGACAGGATTTCGCCATGTTGGCCAGATTGGTCTTGAAATCCCGACCTCAGATGATCCACCTGCCTCGACCTCCCAAAGTGTCAGGATTACAGGCGTGATCCCGCGCCCAGCACCAATGGGTTTTAAGCCTGCTCCACCCAACTCCCAAAACCTAATCTTTAGTCCATTTTAAGAAGACTTAGAAACTAAAAAGAGCCTGGGGAAACCCTGACCCTTTGATTTGTGTCTAAGAATAATTTCTCAAAGAAATACTCAGAGCGGTAGGTTTGGATATTTCCCACATGTAATAAGAACCCAACTCAGAAGATACCAAGTTATAAGCAACAATTGCTACCACAAGGACCAACAAACTGCTCATTTTCAAGAACAAATCATGTTGCCTAAATACTCGCCTATCCTGAAACGCTTCTAAGATAAGTTAAGGGACTGCTCCCATTCACAGAGCAAACCACCAGTGCTGGTTAGTAAGCTCTCCACATCAATCTGCTCTCCAAAGCTATGATGCTGGGGCTGAGACTCAAAGGACACTTTGTTTCGGTCTGTTAGGTTCTGCCAGCAGGGACACTGGAGGGAGACTGGAAGGCAGAAGGGACAAAAGGACTGCATCCTTCCTGTGGGCTTGCTGTCCTGGCAGTGCTGCCCCAGCAACAGACACCTGGCAGAAGCAACTGGTTCCGGTTTCCAGCTTCATTCCACATTCCCAGAACTAGTATCGTGCACCCTCAGAGGTGGAGGCAACACCCTCTCCTCAAAGGAATGGTCCCAGTTCGAAAAGATCCCTCCTCTGAACTCCTGTGGCAGCTAGATGGGGCCCTCTCTTCAGAGATCTGAACCCTAGTTGCTCAGGGACCAAGCAGTGATCTTCCAGATTTTGACAGCCCCAGCTTCTTGCCTTTGTACTTCTAGCCTTAGGGGTGAAGCCACTTCCTGTACTTATCAACTGTGTTATCTCAGTGTTTCCTCTGAAACCTATTTAATCAATTTCCTAAAATGAATTTTCTGTTCAAATAATTAAGTATGGTTTCTGATTTCCTGACAGGACTCTAATACACCACCCAATCTAATACAGTTGAGTACTGGGACAACATGATAACCAAAGTTAAAAGATATCCAATACCAAGACCAAATACAGTCCATTTAGTCCAGGAGGTACAGCCCATGTGATGAGAATCAGTCTACAGACCACTTACAAATCCTCCTGGATTGTCCCATTTCAGATTTTGGTGACCAGAGTATCTTTTTTTTTTTTAACTTAAAAATTTAACCTATGCCAAAATTGACATTTGTATTTATTTACTTATTTTTTAACATAATTTCAACTTTTATGTTAGATTCAGGGGATACATGTACAGACTGGTTACCGGAGTATACTGCGTGATGCTGAGGTTTGAGGTATAACTGATCTCCTCACCCAGGCACTGAGCATAGTACCCAATAGCTTTTCAGCCCCTGCCCTCCTCCCCACTCCCTCTCTATCAGTCTCCAGTGTCTGTTGTTGCCATCCTATGTCCACGAGCACCCACTATTTAGCTCCCGACAGCTCGTTTCTTAACTAGAGACAGAGACACTCCCTACTTGCCCATATCCAGCAATGACTCCCCAACTGTATGCAAACGACTTAACAACCTAACACACGCCAGCCCTAAAGTAGACTAGCAACTGAACAGGGCCCAGGAAAGAATGCCGGCAGGGAAAAAGGCACTAATAAAATCTGCAACGTCTGTGGGAAAATTCACCCAATAAAGTCAAAATCCCACTTAGTAAACTCCATAGAAAGGTAAGATCAAACATTTAGGCCTAGAGTTTATGTTTTTGCCTTTGTTCAAGACATAAATTTCTAAAGTTACAGAAGTTCCACACTATAAATTGCTGTGACAGATCAAAATATTTCCACAATTCTCCTAGGAAAGAAAATCTACTTCAGACCAGAGGACAGATGAATTTTGTCATCTATAAATTGTCTTGCTGTGCTAAAAGGAAATTTAGAGACTTTCTATGCAAATGTAACCCTAAATTAGACCTAAAATCTTAACTGGCAATTGGCAACTCTGGCTGCAAAAAAAACCCGTATCGCTTAGAAAATTAAGTCCAAGTAGGAACCAGGCAAACATGCACATAGATCACTGATCTCCCAAAGTGTCATGTGGGAGGTGGAGAAAGTATATGGCTGTGGCAGACACTCTGGTTGCCTGCCCAATACCCATTCTCCTTCCTCAGCAAGAGAGCACTGGGTATTGAGGCCAACTCAAGGACAACATCTCCCCTGAAGATGGGGGCGGTCAACGAGAGCCTAAAAGCAGCTACTGGGTGGGACTTCTAAGAAAGCTTCTTTTGCCCAACCTATCCCACTTCTCGTTCCTACTGCCTGAATCATGGGTATGATGTCTGTAGCATCATCCAGCATCCATCTCTGACCATAAGATGATGATGGAGAGGGAAGCCACGCCTAATGGTAGAACAAATAAGTAAGAGGATTCAAAAAATTACTTGCTACTCAAAGAGACACAACTTCTCAAGGAGAAGACAATCGACAGATGCCAACCTCAAGATGACAAAGGTGTTGGAATTATCGATGACTCTAAAACAGCTATAATAACAATGCTCCATGAGGTTCCTCTATGGTCTGAATTGTGCGACTCTTCCCCCAAAAAGTACTCATTCATATATTGAAGCCTAACCCTCAATGTGTCTGTATTTGAAGACAGGGCCTATAAAAAGGTAATAAAGTTATGTGAGGTCAAAGAGTAGGGCCTTAATCCAATAGGACTGTTGCCCTTATGAGAAGATGAAGAGACACAAGGGTTCTCTCCCTCCCTTTCCTCACATGCACACAAGAAAGGCCACGTGAGCATTCAGAGAGAAGGCGCCATCTGCAAGCTACCAAGAGAGCTCACAGAAACAGAATCTGCCAGCATCTTGAAGTGGAACTTCTAGACTCCAAAACTAAGAGAAAATAAATTTCTGTTGTTTAAGGCCAGCCTGTGGTATTTTGTTATGGTAGCCCAATCTAACTAATAGAGAAGGTAAACAATATGAGAAAGAAACCTGGAACTTCAAGAAGGAAGGAAAAGCAAGAGAAATGGCAATGTCTGGGTAAATCTAATAGACTACTTCTTTCTTCTTAAGAGCTATAAAATATGAATGATGGGTACGTGTATAAATTAGAACACTGTCTGGTGGGGTTTTCCAAGTATGTATATGTAAAACCTCAATATAAAGAAGAGAGGCTAAAGGACTCTAATCTATATGGTGGTAAGGTTTCCATACCACCCTTGTGGTAAAATGTGACTCTGAAAAGTTAAGTATATATACTGTAATACCCAGAGCAACCACCAAAAAAACCCACATAAAGAAATGTGGTCCAACACTCAATAGACACACTGGAAAAGAAAACTAAATGTGTATGCAACTAACAGAGTCTCAAAATAAATGAAGCAAAAACTGATCAAACTAAAAGGAGACAGACAAATCCAAAATTATTTTTGGAGAATTCACCCCCCTCTCAGTAACTGATAGAATAAGTAGGATAAAGACAACATGTACAGGCTGGGCGCAGTGGCTCACGCCTGTAATCCCAGCACTTTGGGAGGCCAAGGCAGGCGGATCACCTGAGGTCAGGAGTTCCAGACCAGCCTGGCCAACGTGGCAAAACCCTGTCTCTACTAAAAATACAAAAATTAGCCAGGCGTGGTGGCGGGCACCTGTAATCCCAGCTACTTGGGAGGCTGAGGCAGGAGAATCGCTTGAACCTGGGAGGTGGAGGTTGCAGTGAGCCGAGATCACACCATTGCACTCCAGCCTGGGTGACAGAGCAAGACCCCATCTCAAAAAAAAAAAAAAAAAGACATGTACAAATTAAACTAGAAAACAATAACAAAAAGGTATATGGAAAATCCCCAAATATTCGGAAACTAAACAGGAAATCTCCAAAGAAATTAGAAAATATTTTAAATCAAATGAAAATTAAAATGTAACATTAAAATTTGAAGGATAGCCGGGCGTGGTGGCTCACGCCTGTAATCCCAGCACTTTGGGAGGCCAAGGCGGGCGGATCACAAGGTCATGAGATTGAGACCAACCTGACCAACATGGTGAAACCCTGTCTCTACTGAAAATACAAAAATTAGCTGAGTGTGGTGGTTTGTGCCTGTAATCCCAGCTACTCGGGAGGCTGGGGCAGGAGAATTGCTTGAACCCGGGAAGCAGAGGTTGCAGTGAGCCAAGATCACGCCACTGCACTCCAGCCTGGTGACAGAGTGAGACCCCGTCTCAAAAAAAAAAAAAAAAATTTTTTTTGAGGGATAAAGCTAAAGCAGGGCTTAGAAGGAAATTTACAGCATTAAATGCTTATATACACCACAGAGATAAGCCTATAAGCCTCAAGTTCTGAGAGTTAAATAAAATTATACATGTTAAGGCAACTACATAGTAGGTGCTCAATAAAATATATATGAATAAAGAACAAATGAACAAAGAAATGAATGAAAAACACACAGGTGATAAACAGACAAAATTCCAAGTCAGGTAAATACAAAGGATTGAAGCATATTCCTGGATAGCTTTTTCAACTCAATAAAGCAACTAAGACTCTATTCACTTGCCCTGTGGGGCAGTCAAGAGCAAGAACTAGAAAGCTGCTAGAGCTCTGATCTAAACCTAGTTCACACCTTTATTGCACCACAATGTCATGTGTAACAGTGGCACTTCCTCTTTATTAAGCAGGTTCACCCACTCCAAAAAGCAAGGAGCAGTTTTTCTCACCCTCACTCACATTTGTTTACAGTCCTATCTAATGTCACCAGAATCCCTACGTTGGTTTGTGGCCAGCACTTGCCAGAAGTCTAGTCACAAAGAGGCTCACAGAACATGACACAATGACTTTAGGTTGCTTCACACACTCAGGTTTCTTCACCTTCCTGTAAAAATAAGTTTCTACACAGGTGACTCCCTTCACATTGACAAGCACAAAGAGCCGGAAGTGAGAGAGAAAGGGGAGGTGAACCAATGCTTATTTGCTGAGCACCTACTGTCAGCCAAGGCACTTTACGCTCATTAGTTCATCCCACTTTCTCAACAATCTGTGAGGAAGGCACAACCATCCAAAAGCACAAACAAGGAAAGGGAAAGGAAAATCCGGGCCTTTCCATGCCACCACCTCAAAATACAGATCAGGATGATCTACCCCATCGGCCATTCCACTCTGCAGGAATGGCTACAGAACATTTACCCCATTAACACTGGGGCTCAGGCTCTCTCAAGTCCCCACAGTCTCTCATCAAGAAATTCCTCTCACACCTGTAATCCCAGCACTTTGGGAGGCCGAGGCGGGTGGATCATGAGGTCAGGAGATCGAGACCACCCTGGCTAACACGGTGAAACCCCGTCTCTAATAAAAATACAAAAAATTAGCCGGGCGTGGTGGCGGGCACCTGTAGTCCCAGCTACTCGGAAGGCTGAGGCAGGAGAATGGTGTAAACCCAGGAGGCGGAGCTTGCAGCGAGCCAAGATCGCGCCACTGCGCTCCTGACCAGGCAAGTGAGCATGCAGAGCTCCAATTTCCAAGCTCCTAGGACCAAAAATAAATCTATGTATATTTGTGCTTCTAAATTTGTAGCCTACAATGCTTACCACTTTGTTGTGATGAATGATGCAAAACCTTTAAACCACAGGGGACAGGAAATGAGTGCTGCCTTTGTGACTTAACCACACCTACATTTCCCATTTAAGACAGCAAGAAAACATTTTTGACTACTTCCTGCAAGATTAGTTGCTTCTGAAATATGATTCCAGAACATCCCAACTTCTCTCTGGTATATTTTATCAGTTGACAAACATTTGATCACATGTGCATGCTCTTAGTTAACATAAATGTGGTCATCACCAGAAGCCAGTGTTCTTCAGCAGCTGCTCCTGCAAAACAGCATATCTCTGATATATTAAGAGTCTCTCATAGTCTGGAGTGGTGAATGTTAAGGGTTACAGAAAAAATTATAAGCTGAAGTTGAAATATTTTCTTTGTGCAGCCCACTGGACTAACACATGTTCTTTGTAGTCTACTGTCTTAGACCACTAAGGGGTATCTGACAGGACATGCAGTTCCCCAGACGGTGGTTACTATTTAACAGCACTAACCAGAGGAGCTTGGAGGGGTTTTTGTTGTTGTTGTTGTTTTATTTTATTTTAGAGACAGAGTCTTGCTCTGTCGCCCAGGCTGGAGTGCAATGGCATGATCATAGCTCACTGTGGCCTCCAACTCCTGGGCTTAAGCAGTCCTCCTGCTTCAGCCTCCTGAGTAGCCGGGACTACAGGCATGCACCACCATGCCTGGATAATTTTTGTATTTTTTGTACAGACAGAGTCTTGCTATGTTGCCCAGGCTGGTCTCAAACTCCTGGGCTCAAGTGATCCTCCCACCTTGGTCCCCACAAGGAGCTGGAACTACACGTGCACACTACCATGTCTGGCTAATTTGTTTTTTAAGTTTTTGTAGAGACAGGGTCTCATTATGTAGGCCGGGCTGGTCTCAAACTCCTGCCCTCAAGTGATCCTCCTGCCTCAGTCTCCCAAAGTGCTGGGATTACAAGAATGAGCAATGGCACTTGGCCTGTTGTTTTATTTTTCAAAGGCATAAAGGCATTATATGAAAGTGTTATGTTTAAAAAAGAATAAATCATGAAAAATTAAAAAGCCTCATTTAGGATGATAATCACATGATCAATGAGAAAAATTCCCACTGTTTCAAGTGGTCAGCCAGAACAACTGACAACTGTGACATTAGACAACAGATGCCAGGGCAGGCAGGTAAACATCTGCAGGTGGGCTAAAGGCCTTTAGACTGTCCAGGGGCCATGCCACCTAACGCTACAGTCACAACCACAGTCTAAAGGCAGTAACATCTTCTATTATTCATCATTGCTGTTGTCATCACTGTGACCATTTACTGAGTGCCTAATACATCTAGATGCTGTGCCAGGTATTTTACATACATGATTTCCTTGAATCCTAACCATCCTGCAAGAGAAGTGTTAAGTACGTCCATTTTGCAAGAGGAAATGTGATCAGCATATAACTTGACCAAAAGTAACACGGCTAGCCTAAAGCAAAAAAAGAATTTAAATTCTCTATACCACTGCTCTATTAGTATAATGATCTGCAAAAGTGTGTGTTTAATACTAATAATCTGCTAGTATATATTTTCTCAACAGGACCATATTCTTCACATCTCTCATTTGTACTTTGTTTTTGTTTTTTTAAACAGTCTCATTCTGTCGCCTAGGCTGGAGTCCAGTGGTATGATCTTGGCTCACTGCAACCTCTGCCACCCGGGTTCAGGAGATTCTCCTGCCTCAGCCTCCCAAGTAGCTGGGATTACAGATGCCTGCCACCACGCCCAGCTAATTTTTGTGTTTTTAGTAGAGACAGGGTTTCACCTTCTCAGCCAGGCTGGTCTTGAACTCCTGACCTCGTGGTCCCCCTGCCTTGGCCTCCTAAAGCGCTGGGATTACAGGCAGGAGCCACCGCACTCGGCCTTGTACTGTTTTTTAAAAAGCATTTTCATATTAATCATTTCCTCAGTTTATTCTCACAACAAGCTTGAGAGATATGAAGGAATATCTACCACTAAATATAGAAAAATGAGGCATAGTCCCAGAACCAAAAAGATATGCCTATTTAGCATGCAAGAAAGATTATTTTGGCAAAAGTAACTTTTCCTTCAAGAATCTCATTTCAAAAACATAATTACTTAAAGTTGGCAACTTCACCAAAAACAGGATCTCCTGTGTGTAATACGATTTCTGATATATGAACGTACTACCTATAATCACACATGTGACCTGACACCATAGCAACCTGGAACTTATTCCACAATTACAAAAACCATCTTTGGGAACAAAAGAACAAATGTTTAAACTTGGAAAATAAAATTCTCAACAGAATATTTGCATATTTATTTATTTTAATTTTCAATAGAGACAGAGTTCAGCAAATGGTACCAGTGACTGGTACCAAGAGACACAAGGAGTCTCACTATGTTCCCAGCCTGGAGAGCAGTGGCCAGCCACAGCGTGATCACTGCACACAACAGTTCTGAACTCCTGAGCTCCAGCGATTCTTCTGCCTCAGCCTCCCATGTGGCTGAGACTACAGGTACATACTACCACATCTAGGTCCTGTTTAGAATTTTTTAAACTCATAAAACCTCAGCAATGGAAAAGCCTTTGGAGTTCCAGCCCAACCTTTTCTCTGCAGTGGAGTCTCTCCTCTCCACCTTCCTCCATTTGGTACATTTATGGGGAAAGAGTATTCACTAACACCACCACCAGGTGAACACTTGCAGTGTGCCAAGCATTCTAAATATGTTAGTTCGTTATTTCAATTAATGTCTCAACAACTATTATTTTCATCCTCATTTTACAAATGAGGAAACAGAAGCTTCCACAGGCTAAGTACCTTACCCAAGTACCCCTAGGTAGGAACTACAAAACCAGGATCCAAACATAGGTCTGTGCGATTCCCCGTCATGGCTTCCACTCGACAGAACCCCCTCATGCACTGGTTTTACAACACAATGACCACCTAATCTGAAATTGCTCTTATAAATACTGTGCAAAGAAGTAGGAGCTATAACCAAACTGAGTAAAATCTGCAGGCACTCTGTTAAGTATGATAAAGTACTTAGGGCTAGATCACCTAGTTTGTAATCTCATAGCATAAATATACAAATTACACGAATCAGTTTTAGTTTATTAGGAAACTACTCTGATCCTAAAATGCAAAATATAGCTTCTTTGCCTCCTTCATGACTGCCTGCTCACTGTGTGACTGGGATGCAGTCACCTACTGAGACTATGATGGGTATGTTTCTGCTAAGAAAAGCTGCCACATTTACTTTCCCCATATATGGATGCTGCCATTATTTTCCTGGCATGCTGAATCTCCACCTTCCCCTCCTCTTCTCCCCACCCTGTGGCACAAAGAACATATTGTACAGGAAATATACTCTCTTCCTGCAAGCAAGAAAAATGGGTTTGAGAAACATATGGGGGGGGAAACAAACCATTCCGCATTCTCTGTTTTTTAAAAATACAACAAAAAGTGCAAAAGCAATTATCTCTGGGGTGTGGGATTATGTTTATCTTCCTTACATTTTCCTATATCTTTTCCTAGATTTAAAAATGAACACCTTTTTCTTAACAGGTATTTATTAATTTATTTAGGAAATTTTCAAACACATACAAATGGGGTAAGAACATAATGAACCCCAAGTTCCTAGGAACTAACTCCAACATCAATCACCAACACATGGGCAGCCTGTTTCTTCTCTACAGGAACCCACTTCCCTTCTACCCCCACTGGGTTATTTAAGCAAATCCCAGATGTCATATCATTTTATCCAATAAATACTTCAGTTTGTATCTCTAAAATAAGGGCTATTAAAAAATTAAGAACATTAACACAAATGCACTAAAATATAAAAAATTAGTAATACATATTACTTTTAAAATTTTAAAAAGTCTTAACAAAATACTTAAAGGAGAAAAAAAAGGAAATGCTCAATGGCATTATTGCCTAAACAGCTTACATGACTCAGCTTCACTGAAAAGGTCCAAATGCATGGCTGTCTCTTAGGCCACTAGAATAACTGGCAAAATGACCATATCTAGTTTTCAGTGTTTGAGGAGTTTACCTGTTGAGAACTGCTTCCTTGTCTCCAAGACGACTTTTAATTTTACTTGTCAGATAGTCCAAAAACAGCGTCCAGATATCCAAACAAGAGAAGTAACCTTCATGAGTAGGCTATGGTACAAAAAAAATCCAGACAATGAAATTATTTAATGCTACTATTCCTTAGAAACACACACATGCCAGTGTTTAATTCCAGCAGAATGATGAAATCATAAGCCTAGATTCCCCAGTTTCCTGGTAACCAAAACTGGTGGCTTTTAGTCGGTCTATACCATTGGGCCCTCCTGAACCTTACAAGACAAGGGTACCATGGAACACATCATGAGGGAGATACTGTGCAGCATAAACTGAGTTATAAAATAAGTCAAGCAAAAACCTATCTTAAAATCTGAGACTGGTAGAGAGGGCTCTTACAGATCATCTAGTTTAAATCTATTTTCCAGAGAGAAATCGAGATTCAGAGATATAAGTTGTTCAAGGCCAGAGGTAAAAACAAGTCCCTTTACCCCCAGCCAATGCTCTTTCCATTACAAACCATTACGAAAGCAAAAATCAGTTTCAGTGGCTCCAAAGGTGACAGGTTCACACATTTGAATGTAAGGAAAGTAACACTTGCAGTCTTCCTACAGAACAGACTGAAAATGAGCTCATTAAGTCTGACCCTCAGGGCATTATCCCATTTGCAAAAGCAAGGGTGTCAAACGTGCTAATAGCAACCTCCAACCAGGTGCTGATGTGGAGGAACAAAGTGAGAAGTCTTTGTAGGATCCTAGTAGTACAATGAAGACCACTGCACTAGTTAACTTTCTCAAGGGCTCTGAGACTCTATTTCATGCAAAGTCCAGGCAACACAATCTCCAACAGCTACTCCTTCCCCTATGCATTCAGGTTCAACTTGTGGCTCCAAACCCTGATATCTCCACTCAAATGCTCACTACCTGAAAGACTCCTTTGGTTTTGCTGGTGGCTGTCTCACTGGACCACATATTTGGTGACAAGATCAAATATGAAAATAAATAATAACATGACCTTCTTGGATCAGTTTCTTTCCATTGCTGATCCACATGGAAATCTAGACGTTTACAAGGGCATACATGGAGGTGCCCAAGAAATAACTAACAATGGGTGGTGGTATCCAGTGGGAGTTCTGTACCTAAGCTGAAGTCTGAGACAGAATAAGTGTAACTTGGCTGGGCGTGGTGGCTCATGCCTGTAATTCCAGCATTATGAGAGGCCACGGCAGGTGGACTGCTTGAGACCAGGAGTTCGAGACCAGCCTGGGCAACATAGTGAGACTCGGTGTGTATATTTTAGAAAAAAAATTAAAATAGGAAAGGAAAGGAAGAAAAAGAAAGAAAAAAGAAAAGAGTGTAACTTAAAAAGCCAGGCAAATTCCAACTTCACGACCCAAAGGGTAGCTCTGGAACTAGACAGGACCAACCTCAGAAAACAAAATGACCAAGTCCTGTCTCTACCTCATACTTGGCAATACTGACAATATCCACGACATGAAGTGAACCAGGAGAATAACCAGGAAAAACAATGAATAAGCCACATGGAAATGATACGGCAGCCAGACCGAGTGGCTCACATCTGTAATCCCAACACTTTGGGAGGCCCAGGCGGGTGGATCTCTTGAGGTCAGGAGTTTGAGACCACCCTGGCCAACATGGTGTAAACCCTTTCTCTACTAAAAATACAAAAATTAGCCGAGCATGGCGATGCACGCCTGTGATCCCAGCTACTCGGGAGGCTTAACAGGAAAATCGCTTGAATCCAGGAGGCGGAGGTTGCAGTGAGCTGAGATCGTGCCACTGCACTCCAGCCTGGACAACAGAGCAAGACCCTGTCTCAAAAAAAAAGAAGAAATGATATGAGTAGTCCTTGGACAGGCCACTAGACTTGCCCATCCAAGAGACACACTCTTGTCCTAGGTTCAACTTGCTGAGCTTCCCTCAAGTCAATCACCAAGGTTATCCCTCCTTGGTTCAAAACTATCCACTAGCCCCCTCAAAAGAGCACAGCTCATCAGATGCATATGGAAGTGCCTTTGGGAAAGGTTACCACATAAATCCAAGTATTATGGCTCCGTCAAAGTACTTTATAATTATACATATAAACTTCATGCATGTGAATTGAGGACTTGCTATATGCTCAAGGCTGGGGGAAAGGTGAGCAGACACACCCTGTATAACCTGAAGCACCACCTTTCACATCCATTCCTGCAGGCCCCACTGCGAGGGCTTGTGCACTGCCCACAGGCCGCCCATGACCTGGCCTCTGATAGTTGCTGTGGACATGGTTCATTCCGGTCATCAAGATGATGGGCTGGCTCCATTTTTGAAGTCGCCTAACTTTTCAAAACCTTCACAGACCCATTTTTAAAATGGACCTAGACCCCAATTTACTTTTCAGATTCCAGGGCTACAAATCCAGGTTTCTTTAAGAAACTAATGATACCATTCTATCTTCCAAGTGGTTTACAGTGTTTAGTTTTCATTTGCATTGGTCTATGTGATCTTCATAAGTCTTGGAAAGTGAACAAATATTTTGCATCTTCCCCTTTTACAGATAAAGAAACCAAGGCTCAAAAGTCAAGTCCAGTCGTATCTTGCCCAAGGTAACAAGACAATTAAGGAACAAAATCAGAACTAGAAAGTGGATCTTGGCCAGGCACGGTGGTTCACACCTGTAATCCCAGCACTTTGGGAGGCTGAGTCAAGTGGATCACCTAAGGTCAGGAATTCGAGACCAGCCTGGTCAACACGGTGAAACCCTATCTCTACTAAAAATACAAAAAATTAGCCGGGTGGGATGGTGCTTGCCTGTAATCCCAGCTACTCAGGAGGCTGAGAGGTAGAACTGCTTGAACCCAGGAGGCAGAGGTTGCAGTAAGTCAAGATCGCACCATCGCACTCCAGCGTGGGCGACAAGAGTGAAACTCTGTCTCCAAAAAAAAAGAAAATAAAAAAAAAAAAAAACAAAAGGAAGGTGGATCTTAAGGCTCTGTGGTCCACAGCCCTCCCCCCCAGGGTATACCATCTCAGGCACAGTTTCAGGAAGAAGGGGCAAAATGAAAAACACAAGAACAAGAAGGAAGTGGTGAGGACGCACTAAGCTTAGGAGCATTAAGACAGAGACATAGGTTTATAGACAGCCAGGAGGCTCAGCAAGCAAAGCAAGGCAGGAGGCAGCAGACACCTGCTGAGCACTGCTACCTGGAGGCGCTGGCGGCAGGGCATTTACAGAAAAATGCAGGAAAAGAAACAGAAAAGGAGAAACGGTTAAAGAAGATACTAGCACCATCTTCTGTCTTATGACTGTTCTTCGAAATTATGTTCATCAGTACAGTCATGTACCATATAACAACATTTCCATCAACAATAGACTGCATGTGTGACAGTGGCCCAATTCAAGATAACCCCTGTATTTTTATTCTACCTTTTCTATGTTTAGATACAAATCCCTACCCTTGTGTTACAGCTGCCTACAGTATTCTACACAGTAGAATAGTAGAGTAGTACTCTACACAGTAACACACTGCACAGGTTTGTGGCCTACACCACCTAGCCTACTTGTGTGATGGACTCTCCCATCTAGGCTTGCGTAAGTGCACTCTATGATGTACACACAACGATGACATCACCTAACACATTCATCAGAACACATCCCTGTCAATTAAGGGACGCAACACACGACTGTACTAAAATTTGTGAATTTTAGAAACAACAGGCAAGAATATTAAATATATTTATATAACCCTCTAGACGAGAGAAAGACACATTTTCCCACATTACAGGTAATAAAGCTATGAGAGAGTAAGATCATACTTGTTAGTGAACAGATGAGAACTTAAAGCTGTCTCTTGAGATCATTTAATTTCTTATTCTTAAGTCTTATTCCAAAGACCTCCCCTATAAGCAGGCCTTGGTCCTAGAGTGCACCTTGCCACCTTTTCACCATTCTACCTCCCCAGCAAAGGGCTGTCTGCCCTGGTTTACCCACAGTAAGCTGGGACAGTGTACCTTTCAGGTTCCTGTCCCTCTACCTAATGCTCAGAATCTGATTCTGTCTGGACGTCAAAGACATACCTACTCCCACAGGTGGCCAGCCTGCTCCCAGAAAGGAAGGTCCTCATACAGGAGACAGGAGAGCAGAAAGGAGCTCATCTGACGATTCCAGGTACAGAGAGGAGGAAAGAAGCTTGTGGTTTGCTTCATGAGCATACTTTTTCCCCAATTACTTTCCCAATATATAAATATAATATATAAATATATAAAACCACCATTTTCAATTCGATGACACATAGGAGTCTACTGAAAGAATCATAAAAAATAAGCCAGGGGAAAGGCCTGAAGATGTCCACTGCAGTCTATTTTCTTAGGTGAGGAAACTGAAATCTAAGTAAATTTAAGGTTTCTCCAAGGACACAGAACTAATAGAAATAAGCAGACCTCAAACACAAAACTTTTGGGTCCAATCCAAAGAATCAGGCATAAGACATGCCTACTTTAAAAGATGTTTCACTTTCTTCTATACTATACACACCAGAAGACCCCATTTTACATAGAGAGTGAAATGTCAAGACATTGTCATTCCATCTCCCCCAAGTAAGCCTCCTGTTTCTGGCCTCAGAACTGGCTCCTCAGCTCCCTCATTTCTGTTACGCTATTTAACACTCACTCAACATTCTCTCAAATCCTCTTTTTTCATGGTCTCCTTTAAAATTCCTCTGGATGTCCCAAAACTGTTCCACCTCTGATGCTTCTCCCCTACATCCTCACCCTCCTGCAGTCACTTCAAGTTCTCCTGAGGACTATGACCTCGGCACGGCTCTCCTCATGCTCTGCACGCACTTGCCCCTCTACCTGACACCTCTGAGCTTCTTCAAGTTTTGGCCTTCCCTCCCCTGCTCCCAGGACTGGCTCATCCTTACCACTGGGTCCTCTTCTATTTTCACATGCCAAGATCTTCCTTGAGAAAGGACAGCTTTCCCAACAAACCCCTGCTCCAAGTCATATACACAACCCTCCTAGCCTAGACCCTTGCCTTTCCTCTAGACACATTAAGCTACAACACTAGTGGTTAAAAAAAAAAAAAAAAAAAGGCTACTTCTAAAATCAAATGTCCTCAGTGACCCATTAGTTTCATCCCTGGTACATATCAACTAAAACAGCTATCTGTGTACATCCAAAAGCACGTACAAGAATGTTCACTGCAAGATCAGTAAGCACTGGAAGCAGCCAAATCAGCAGGGGAGTGAACTTGCAAACAATGACTTAACAACAGCACAACGAAAATCAACACATGACTGCCACACACAACGCAAACGAAGCTCACAAACACGATGGCCAATAAAAACACAGATAAAACATACATTATGTGCTTTCATTCAGAGAAGCTCTAAAACAGGCGAAACTAGTCTGTGGTATTAAGGTCAGGCCTGGGGTTACTTCTGGGGAGAAACGAGGGGAAGTGATTGGAAAGGACATGAGGAGATTTCCTGGTTGCTGGCAACAATGTACTTCTTGACTTAGGTGATGGTTACATGCATATGTCAATTTGGGGAAAACTCATCTAACTACACCTAAGATTTATGCACTTTTCTGTATGTGTGTCATACTTCAATAAAAAGCTTATTTTAAAAACACACAGCTGGGCACGGTAGCTCACGCCTGTAACACTGGCACTTCAGGAGGCCCAGACAGGAGGCTCACTTGAGGCCAGGTGTTCAAAGTCAGCCTCGTCAACATAGCAAGACCCAATGTCTACCAAAAACTTTAAAAACTAAGATAAAACACACACCAACAGGCACGGGGGATAGGATGTGATAGAAATATCTAAAATTGTACTGTGGTGATGTTTGGACAGCTCCATGAATTCACTGAACATCACTGAGTTATACAATTACAATGAGTGAATTTCATGGTATATAAAATTATACCTCAATAAAGCCACATATATAATTTTATATATTTTTTATGTGTGTGTGTGTGTACACACACATACTAGAATGACTAGGGTCACTAGAATGTAAGTAAACTCAATGCAGGCAAAGACTGCTTGTGAAGGTTGTATGTCTAAATCCTGGAATACAATAGGAGCTCAAAAAATATTTGTGAGGGGGAGAAAAACTTGGACACTACCAAAACTTAACTCTTGAGAGCTTCACTATATATAATCTTCTTGAAGGAGGTTTCAGTGGCAGTTACAGAACAGAACTAAAGGCCGTAATTTCAGACTTTTCCTTTCTTTTGCTTTGTTCACATAATAGTGGTCAAGAGCCCTGACTCTGGGTTCAGATCCCAGCTCCACCACTTACTAACTGTATGACTCTAAGCAAGTTACTCTTTGTGCCTCAGTCTCTTTACCTGCAAAACAGAGATGACAATGGTAATAGAACCTACTTCACAGGGATGTTAGGAAGATTAAACCTGTGACTCTTCACATAATAAGCATTATATTAATGTTTGGAAAATAAAGTTGAAAGAAAAAGTTCTTTCTTCTCAAAGTAACAAGGTAATAAACCTTTTCTCTGGAAGGGAAGGATGACTTTGGTGCTTTACCTGATGAAATGTGTACTTGAACAAAAGTGTCAAAAACTCCACCACAGGGAACTGGGAGTAAGACTCGATTCTTCTTAGGTGAACACTCACAAAGAGCCGAAGAAAGTCAGTAAACTTCTCGATATAGCTAAATGAGACAAGACAAAAGGTGACAATAAGAAACCCAGCCACCTCCTTAGAACTTAAATTCAATCCAAAGTTCTTTCAGTACAGAACTATACAAATTTGTAATATATTTTCTTTTAAAAATATAAAGGCCTGCAACAATTACCTACAGGACAGGCAACCCTTCATTCCATTAACCACCTGAAACATAGCAGAAAAGCAACTTTAATCCTCAGACACTGTCTGCTAAGGCTTCTTATAATCTAGTGCGCTCACATTTTCTAAGTCATTTGTGTTGTGACCCAATTAAAGTGAAGGGAAATGATAAAAAGTTGATGGGCAGATCACTGTGTCATTTCAATCTGGCAAGTCTAGAAGGCTGGTTTTCTTTCCGGGAGGCCAAAATACTAAAGTGAATGGTGCTAAAGACACAAAAACAAAACCAGGCTACGAAGGGCATGGCATCCAGGTAAGATGTACTCAGGCTTGCAACTTAATGGCCATTTTTCCCCCTTTGGTTCCTGGTGCTAATTAAACACAGCACAACCCAATACTCTAAAAGTGATTTCAAATATAAGGGAGGAAGGCTATTAGAACTGGGCAAGCCTCAGGGACTTTAGTCTGATGCTTCCGTTTTGCAGATGAAGCCCAGAGAGGTAAAGTGACCAGCCCAAAGTCACTCAGCCAACTCATGGCAGAACAGGACTATCATCCACTCCCAATCCAGTGCTCTTTCTTTTCACTTCACAGTGAATCCCCAACTCATTTGTATTCACAAAATCATTTCACAGAAGAGTATGGGTCACAGCTGCAAGGATAAGAGATCTCTGTTATTAAATACACAGCACATCATCACTCTCACATTTCAGAAACTGTCATTTTAAGCCCCTAAATACCAAAAGGTGATTAGAAAATGAGATGGCCATACCTTCATAAATCACATTTCAGAGACCAACACAAAAAGGTAAAGACATACTAGGCCTTAGCTGAAAATGAAATAATGGCTAAAAGCAATTCTGAAGCTCATTACTGCAAAAGCTATTTTTCAAAACAGAGATATGTGAAATAATAAAAGCAGAGAAAACTACTACTCAGAAAAGCAAAACTGGCCCGGAAATAAAATGTCCCATGTTGCTCCTGGGACCTATCTCCCTGAGGGTGGCCAGCCTGCCTGCCTGACCTCTATGCGGCCGAGCTTATTTGCAGCTTTTTAAAAAATACATATTAATTTGTTTTGATAAAGAGAATGGCTGTCTCTGTGGATCATGGGGCCAAGTACTCGAAAAACAGTAAGGCACTAAAATCAACTGTTTTTAGAGACAGGAACATACAAAGACACTTCTCTCTGGTGTCATCAATCACTAATACTCAAGAGTAGGAACTCCTTCCTCACTCACTTATGTACCGCATGATAGTTTTACATGGATATTCAAAGTCACCACCCAGCTGACTGTTCTTTAGGAAGGTGCACTCAATTCCCTACTACCCATTTAAAAAAAAAAAAAAAAAAAAAAAAGCCATGGGCTAAATACAGAACAATCTCAATTTTACTTTAGTATCTAACCCAATTTTTTAAAAATACAAACAAGGCTGTTCAGTAGCTAAAACTACAGATTTTATTTCACCTCATTTTCTTTCCCTTGCCCACCTTCTGGTACAGGTGCTAATGAACAGTAGAAAGTTAGGGGAAAAGGCAGTAGAGGGAAAGAGAAGCCAAGGATCTGGTTAGCAGCTCCTAAACAACTGAGAATGGACTGAGCTGTTTAGAATTAGTGGTAGGGGACCCAGAGCCAGGAAGCAAGCACACAGCATTATTTATGTCACCTTTCTGCTCCCAGGCACCTCTCAGCTTTCACAGGGCAATAGGAAGCACAGGATTAAAATGTAAAACCAAGAGCACAAAAGTTACACGTAACAACATCAGTACATAGACAATCCATAATGACATTTCTATACCATCCAAATGGAAGCCACAACAAAGTTGTCTGTGACTACATTATGATTAAAGTCAAAACAACTGATATTTGATAGTTGATACAAGCAGCTAGATTTTTAAATTAACATATGAAGAGATAGACATGAGACACACAGATCATTAAAAAAAAGGTAATACAGCCTTTCTTAACCACAGACAGAAAGAATATGAAAGTGTGAATAATGATGCCTTTGAATTCATATGGAAAGCTATCACCAAATAATTTTTAAGAACATATTACCATATCAGATTGTGTTCTTATACAGAGCAAACATCACGGTTTTACAATAAACCAAACCAAAATAATCTTATGTACCAATTTTTTAATTTTAGAAATATTTTACAAAACTGCCCAATTTAAAAAGCACTACAACTTTCAACTTTATGCACTTGATTTTATATTCTGCTATTTACTCTAAGGAAAAGAAAATAGCTTAATTCTATATAGCTTAATAACAAAGGACAATCTAAGGAAAACTGAGAATATTAGCAACTTTTGCTGCCATGTCATCTGTAAATATTTACTAATTCGATACGATTTATTGCTTGAAAGTCCCTAAACCGTCAATCTGATTGTTCATAATATAAGTTTCCAAATTCCCTCCTGTTTTCATACAGCAGCAGTTGTAAGATACATAAATGACCTCATCTGCAAGAGACATAAATCATGAAACCCTGCCTCAGAGTACTGTGATGGAGTCGTCTTTTAGAGTGCTTTTAAAAAAAAAAAAAAGTAGGTCATTGTAGGCTCCACTTGAGAGGACAATAACAAAGAAACACAGCTGTGTGCTACATTAACCTGTGCACACATTAACATCCCTCCTATAGTTTGATGAAAACTTGCCATTGGTGTAAAACTCACAATAACAACAACATTCCTGAATACTGCAGGATGTTCACTTGGGAAAAGTCAAATAGTAAAAACTGACACCAAGTGACAAAAGGCGATTATAACTCCTGTACCTCCACGGACCTCTTCTCCTGTTCTTGGCTACGCAGGAGCAGCAGTCTCAGTCCCTGCACCACCTCAGACCTGCAAGCAAATAGTAAGGAAAAGGGGGCAAGAGGAGTAGAAGGGAGGACAGGAGATGGATGGGGAGAAAAGACAACAAACCTACACAAGGCACAAGCATTTTTCAAACTCAGTCACTTCCCTTAACCACCCAAGCCCTTCCAGCTAATCTCAGACTTACTGGCACACACCTACCTTTCTGTTCCTCACCAGGAGCCCCATATTCTGAAATCAAAGAGGATTACAGATGCCATGCAGCACAGCATGGTAAACAGTCAGGGCCCTTTCTTGGGGCACACCAGCTCCACACTTGGTTTCATTACCTCTCATCGAGCTCTTCTAGCCTGCTCTTCACTGTGTGGGCATTGTTATCCTTGGTGATTTTCTGCAGGAGGTAGAAAGTCTGCTGGAACATACGCAGTAAATACTCCTCAAATTCCATAGGCACACAGTTCTTGGACATGAGTTCATTGATGCAGGACATGGCCAGGACCCCCAGCCGGCCGCGCTCCTGACCCGAGACACAGTTCTGGCTGCTGCCGTTAACTGACGCCATCTTTCTGGCCCGGATGTCACAGCCAAATCGTGCAAAGTGGAAGATGGTGGTAAGGAGGGATGGGGTGATGCTGGCAGACAGAGGAATCCAACTGAAGAGATGGGCCAGGCACTCCAAAGCCAGGGAACAGATATACTCACTCTCCACATCAAGGATGGGAATTGGCTGATTCAACAGTTTGGCTGAACTGGGACTCTGCAACAGGTTACTCAGTAAGTCACCTGAAAATAAGAAAGGCTTTTAAGCTATCCAGCATCAAATCTCTTACAAATGACTTTAAGTAATTCTCCTTCAAAAAAATATATATATATATGTATACATATATGTATCAGTTTAGTTACCTATGAAATAAAAAAATAAAATCTATATGCTCAAAGTTAAACACTAATTAGGAAATTTTAACAGTACAGCAAAAATAAGATAATTGATTATGATTCTTAGTGAGGGGGATCTGGATACAATCTTTAGTGTTTTGACTCAAATTTAGTTTTAGTGAGATTTGTACAACAGCAGTTTCCCAGGAGACATAAGTGAAGAGAAGATGGGATTATTCTCTGGCTGCAAAACCCCAAATCCACTCAAGTTTTTGTTTTCTTGCTACTGTTCCCCCAAATCATGACCTTGCTTTTGAAAAGCATGATACATGACCATTAAATAAATAAACAAATAAAAATCCCTAACACCACATACAAAGTTGGGCACCAAATGAAGTAAAGACTTAAACCAAAGATAAAACTTTAAAGTTAACAGAAGAAAATATAAGAGTATTTGAAATATAAGAGAGAAAAAGACTCCTTAAAACTACCAAAAAAGAAAACCTTAACAAAAAATACTGAGGAATATAACAAAATTAAGATTTTCTAATCAAGGCTGGGCGCGGTGGCTCATGCCTGTAATCACAGCACTTTGGGAGGCCGAGGCGGGTGGATTACCTGAGGTCAGTAGTTCAAGACCAGCCTGACCAACATGGTGAAACCCTGTCTCTAGTAAAATACAAAGTTAGCCAGGCATGGTGGTGCATGCCTGTAATCCCAGCTACTTGGGAGGCTGAGGCAGGAGAATCGCTTGAACCCAGGAGGTGGAGGTTGCAGTGAGCTAAGATCACGCCATTGCACTCCAGCCTGGGCATCAAGAGCGAAACTCCATCTCAAAAAATAAAAAATAAAAATAAAAAAAGAGTTCCTAATCAATGAAAAACATTAAGGGAAAGTTACCAGGCAGACAACAGACTGTGAGAAGATATTCACAATTTCTAACATCGAAAAGGACTAAAAACTAAAATCTATTTTTAAAATGCTACACATCAGTAAACACAACAACCCCAGTACAAAAACAGGCAGTTGATATGGAGAGACAATTTTCAGAGAAAGAAACTCCAAAGCATATGAAGAGATTTCAAATTCATTAGTAATCAGAAAAAGCAAATTAAAAGGAGTCTGAAAAAATGTTGGCAAATGCCAGACGTCAAGTACAAGGAATGGATGCAGGAACCTTCACAAGGCGGTGCAGGAAGAAGGGCCATTCTGAGGAGGACCTGGCACTCTGGAGTCCTATTAAACATTCACATATCCTTTCACCTGACCATTCTCCTGGTATGCTCCCAAAGCAACCCTCACACGGGTCCATGAAGGGACAGGCGTGAGGGGGAGAGCTGGAGGCAGTCTGGCCTCCTCCTTGGCGGGAGAGGATAGGGAATGCAGAGTCAGGTATCATATCACACAGTGAGCAGAAGTAGAGGACTAAGGCACAGACGGGCAACAGCTTGGAGAGACCTTAAAAAGATACAGTTAAATTAAAAGTAAGAAACAGAATGACAGTTTTACTATACCACTTACATATTAAAATACATGGACACAAAACAGTAAGTTCTTACAAGAACATGTTACCAAACAGAAGACAGAGGTTATCTACATTAAAATGGCTGTTGATTACGGGGAAGGGAGTCCACAAATTCAAAACTATTTTTAAAGGAATACTAAGATGTTCTTTTCCTTTTTCACTTTCATTATCTCCAAGTGTACAATGGAGCTTTCCAGAGGCTACATCACATGGGATATTGCAACAGATGAAATGCAGAAGCTGCCTTTCACTAAGCCACATGTTAGAGATTTGCAAAACTGTAAAACAACACCACTCTTCTCAGTGAATTTTTCTGTTTGCTTTGAAAAATATAGTTATTTTTTATTAAAGCATATTATCTGTTAATATGTAATGGGTTCATCACAGATATTTTTAAATGAATTAATGACTATTTGTACATTTTTCTCAGTTTTTCTATCAGCAGATATAACTTACAAAGTGTTTTGAGGACCTCAGTAATTTTTTAAGAGTCAAGGGACCCCAAGACCCAAAATTGGAGGACCACGGGGCTACTCTGTGGACCTGGACCAGTAATGTAATCAGGGAACTTGTCAGAAATACAAATCATCAGGCCCCATCCCACACCTACTGGAGTAGAGCCTGAAGGGGTTGGGGCCCAGGAATCTGTGTTCTTATAAGCACTCCAAGTGATTCTTATGCTTGCTTGATTTTTGAAAGCACTAGACTAAAGGAAATCAAACAAAATGAAACAGGGGAAAAAAAGCTATAAAATTATTTTAGAGAAGACAAAAGAAGAAAAATATTTAAAACTATAACAACAGGCCAGGAGCGGTGGCTCACACCTGTAATCCCAGCATTTCGGTAGGCTGAGGCGGGCAGATCACTTGAGCCCAGGAGTTCAAAACCAGCTTGGGCAACATAGCGACACCCCGTCTCTACAAAAAATACAAAAATTAGCCAAGCATGGTGGCACATGCCTATAGGCCCAGCTACTCAGGAGGCTGAAGTGGGAGGATCGCTTGAGCCCGGGGAGGTCAAGGCTGCAGTGAGCTACGATTTTACCACTGCACTCCAGCCTGGGTGACAGAGCAAGACTCTGTCTTTAAAAAAAGAAAAAAGAAAAGAAGAAAAAAAACTATAACAAGAAGAAAAATTTCCTGAAATTTGACATGACTCTACAACATGAAAGGGTTTTATCCTGTTCCAAGAAAAAAATGATGAAGAGTGATCAATACTAAGAATGTTTAAAATGAGGAAGCAGTGTAGGCAGAAAAAGTACAGATACAAAGGAGAAAACACCTCAGTCAGACTTCTCCACAGTAACATTCACAGCATGGGGACATTCTCTCAAACACGCAAAAACTCAGGTAACTCCACAAATTCTTCTCAAGGAGGATAACAGACAAAGAAACCACACAGATAAAGAGATAAATCAAAATAAAGAATTAAGGAATGGAGAAGCTGTAGCAAAAGGACACACTGGCATCAAATTACATAGAGACTCAAGACTAAACAGACGTAGGAATTAAGAGGGTGCGCTAGCTAACTTTCCCATCTTTCACAAGGAAGAAGTCTCAAAATACATGGTCTAAAATTAAACATGGTGGCGGGGGGAGGTGATACATAAAATTCAAACATGTAGTACAAAATTGATTTTTATCATTTTTTCTTAACCATAAAGGTATCTTTTAGAAATTAGTATTTCTTGTAGAAAAAGCACCTCAAGGTCAGCAATTCCTTAAGTTTAACAATTTTTGTTACGTTTAGGTAAAACCTGGCCGGGCACAGTCGCTCACGCCTGTAATCCCAGCACTTTGGGAGGCCAAGGCGGGCAAATCACTTGAGGTCAGGAATTCGAGACAAGCCCGGCCAACATGGTGAAACCCTGTCTCTACTAAAATACAAAAATTAGCTGGGCGTGGTGGTGCGTGCCTATAATCCCAGCTACTCGGGAGGCTGGGGCAGGAGAATTGCTTGAACCCGGGAGGTGGAGGTTGCAGTAAGTAGAGATTGCACCACTGCACTCCAGCCTGGGCAACAGAGCAAGCCTCCGTCTTAAAAAAAAAAAAAAAAAAAAAAAAAAATCAAGTAAAATGCTGGGTACTGTGGCTCACACCTGTAATCCCAGCACTTTGGGAGGCTGAAGCGGATAAATCACTTGAGGTCAGAAGTTCCAGACCAGCCCGGCCAAAATGGTGAAACCCCATCTCTACTAAAAATACAAAACTTAGCCGGGCATGGCAGCTGCCACCTGTAATCCCAACTACTCAGGAGGCTGAGGCAGGAGAATCGCTTGCCCCTGGGAGGCGGACGCTGCAGTGAGCCAAGATCATGCCACTGCACTCTAGCCTGGATAACAAAGTGAGACTCCATCACCAAAAAAAAAAAAAAAATCAAGTAAAACTAAAATTTAAATGTTATTAAAAAATATATAATCTGATGCCATTTTTGTCTTTTTATCTGTCTTATCTCTGTGTAGAGATGTCTGGAGTGATCAAATATTATTTGATGTTCTTTCTATGTAAGATACTGGGTAAATGTTTACATTTTATTTTGTACTTTACAGCACTAGGTCTCAAATGTTTGGGTTTCAGAAGTCCTCACTCTTAAAAATTACTAAGCATCCCGAAGAGAAAGCTCTTAGGAGCATTACTTCTATTGATATTTGCCATATTAGAAATTAAAGCTGAGAAGTGTTTAAATATTTAATTCATTTAATTACAAAGCCATCATGTTAGCATAACATTTTTAAATGAAAAAAACTGTATTTTACCCAAAAATAGTGAGAAAGGTAGTACAGTTTTTCTATTTTTGAAATCTCTTTAGTGGCTGGTTTAAAAGATAACTAGACTCTCCCAACTGCTTCTGCCTTCACTCTTTTGCAATAGATTGTTTTCACTGAAGTATGTGAAGAAAATGCAACTCCACACAGATATGCAACTACAAATGAACAAAGGGCTTTAGTGGCCTTTTCAAATAACTGTGTCTATTCTATCATATTAGATTAAAGTCTGATGAATAGTCATTTCTGAAGGGTTAACTGCAATGTGGAATCTGGAATTAACTTTTTTATTCATATACTCATGAGAGAATGGGAATAAAAATGACAAACAATGTCTTAGTATTTTTATGAACACATACCTGGCCTTTGGGACTCCCTAAAAGGGTTTGGGGGACTTCCAGGGGTCCCCAGACTTATTGAGAGCTGAGGTCTTATGCTAACGCTGGAAGAACATGAACAAGTTGGCTAGCCTTTCTCAGCCTCAACCTCCTCCGCCATTATAATGAGGATTTTGTGAATTCATTAACGAAGGGTTTAAGTTCTATTCTTAAAAGTGGACTTATCAAGTTGATTTATGAGGAGCCAAAAAAAAGAAAAGTAGATTTAAAAGCTGTCCCTAGCATGTGGCTCAGAAGACTTTTTCCAGAATGGATGCTAAAAGGAAAAAAAAAAACAAAACATCTATAATAATACTTATGGTAAAAGCAGTAACAGCCACCATCTGCTGTGTGACTACTTGCTTGGCCCTATACTGAAAACTATATATGCATATTCTCATTTAATATTCACAACTCTAAGGTGGGCATTATTACCCATATTTACAGACCATTAAAATAACTAAGGCACAGACAGACCAAGTGTTTCCCCAAGTCCCTCTGCTAGCATAAGGTAGAAATGAAACCAAACCAGGGTCTGGCCTCAAAACCAATGTTTCCTTCCAAAAACCAAGTTAACTGGAAAGATTATGCAACCAGGAAAAATGAGCAATAAGAAAGCTAATATTTAAATACAGAAAAATATTCCTAATTGTTCTCCTCTGTATTAAAGTGAAAAAATAAATATGGAAAAATATGTATGGCCTAAAATCATATGTAAAATAATAGCATGTGTATACCATGACTACAAGCATAGAAAGACAAATATGTGAAGACAAAGACTGAACAAGATTATGCAAAGGCAAAAACTGTTTAGGTGGATATGAATGATCTGCGATTACTTTTGTCCTCAAAAGAAAGAAAATAGCAGGACCATGGTCATGGAAGTCAGCATCTGCTAAGGAGTGTACCACAACTCATTTGCCTAAAAAGGTTGGGGTGAGGGAAAGAACCTGTTAAGGCTATTTCTCCATAAAAACGATTTTACTCAAATTTAAATGTTTCAAGGTATTTTAGTGGATGGCGGAAGTGTTTTTCAAAAATTACACCGTAATCAAAGTGGAAGGAATCAGCACAAAACAGATTCTGCTTCATGCAGCAGCACTTCCAATGCAAACCTAAGAGAGCTTTATCAAGTTCTCTATGGAAGAGGGTAGCTTGATTACAAAACCTGTGACCCTGGCAGCGATACGCACCAATGCCCACAGAGCTGTGTAGACAACTCTGGTGCATTTACTGACTTAGAAGGAATGAAGACATGGTTGGCATATTTGTAATTTTTTTTTTTTTTTTTTGGAGACAGGGTCTTGCTCTGTCGCCCAGGCTGGAGTACAGTGATGCAATCATGGCTCACTGCAGCCTCAACCTCCTGGACTCAAGCCATTCTCCCACTTCAACCCTCCCAAGTAGCTGGGACTACAGGCAGGAGCCACCATGCCCAGATATATATATATTAGAGATGGGGTCTCACTATGTTGCCAACACAGGTCTCAAATTCCTAAGCTCAAGTGATCCTCTCACCTCGGCCCCCCAAAGTGCTGGGATTTACAGGCCTAAGCCACCATGCCCAGCCCTGTAATAAACTTTCGTGCAAAGCTTTTTAATTATTGAAACTTCATGTTTTTCCTATCAGTTGTATATTTACTAACTTAAGAGTTTTCCAACCTCAGCACTACTGGCATCTGGGGCTAGATCATTCTTTGGTCTGCTGTGTACCGCGGGGTGTTTAGCAGCATCCCTGGCCTCCACTCACTAGATGCCAATAGCACTTCTCCAGTCGCGTTAACCTAAATTTCTCCAGACACTGACAAATATCCCCTGCAGGACAAACCACAGCTCTAACTGCAGCCTTGGCCAGTAAAATGGGGGAAAACTCTATTCAAGGAGCCCCTGGAGGAGAAAATAAGATCACAGGAGTTGTAAGTGACCCTCCCAAGTCCCACCTTTCTATAGGTAGTATACAAGGAATACATGAAAAGATTTGCATGAAGATATGCAATCTGTTAAGAGTTTGGGAGGAAACAGAAGACTGGCCTCAATTCACACTCTCTGATACATCCTCATCCTGAAGAACTTTTCATCATCACGTATGTACAGATCTATATTTGAAACTATATATCATGTGCATGAGAAAGATATGGTCCCTTAATTTTACTGCAGAGCAATCAAAGCTAACTCAGAATTGCTGTAGTCACATAATCTCATTCTGTGCACTTTTTTCCCCAATGGTCCAGGCAAAGAGAAGTGAACATGAGAGGAGATGAAGGAAGATGAGGCTGCTCAAGTGCAGCAGGAAGGAACAGCCTCAGCAGGCGGGGGGGCAATGTCCACATCTTCCCTCATTTATCCTCAGAGGAAGCTATTCCTTTTTTAAAGTCAAGGACATCAGCGGTCAGAGAAGGTGAAGGATCCACTCAAGGTCACAGAGTAAGTGGCAGGGCCAAGACTCCAAACCAGGGGAAGAAGGAAGTGGACAGAATTGGTGAGAACGACCAAGAAAGCAAAGCTAGGACAATGACCGTGCACCTAGATTTGGAATTCTAGGGTTCTGGTAGGGGTTCATGTCCCCACTCTGCTCACTGGCGATGCAACCCCTGGCAAGCTTCCTTGTTTGTAAGCAAGAGACAGACTAGTCTGATCTCGTGAGGTGAGTGATCACTATTGCAGCCAGTTTAGGAGTTAAGGTAACAATTTGGGGGAACTATGCTGAGAAATAAACCACACACACTCCTTCAAACTTTTTTCTACATCCAGACTATTAAAGGAGTTGTTGCAGGAACTAGTCCCTGGGCTTTGTTCTTTAAAAGTAATAAGACAGAAAATTACATTAAAAGAAAGTATATGGGGAAAAAAACCCCACAAGCCTCAGGTGGCTACTAAACCTAAGACACAGGGCAGGAGAGCCCCACAGGGGCTGAGCTAAGGAATTCATTTGGTTGCTTCACTGGGCCCTACAGTTTCTCAGAACAAATTTTCTCTAGAAAACTGATACGGTCAAGAAAGCAAAACAACTTTCTGGAAGTTTTACTGCTTAACTTGGCATCTTAAGCGCACAAAGACAGTTGAACAAAAGCATCAAAATGAATGGTGATTGCATCATCAGCACTGTCCAAATAGTGGGGCAAGATCTAATGACTTCACTTACATTACCATAAAAAGAAAGAAAAATACTGTAACAAATGAACATGCAATTTTTTTTTAAAGGGGAACTTTACCAGCTTAAAAGCTTACATAACTCCCTAAGTGCCCCCACAGTCTCAATTTATTTTGTTATTTCTCAAATACTAAAATCCAACACTTCAAAAAATTTTAAGAGGCAATTCTCAAGAAGTAGGCACCACATTTTAGGTTTTGTTACAAGCAAATGTCAAGTTAGTTCATATTTTATTCCGCTTAGCCGCATAAAACCTAGGCAACACATGGAAGAAGTAAGCACATATCTCTGGTTTGTATTATCTGACATTCCCCAACATGGCCCTGAGGAAAACAGAGCCTATCAAAGTATAAACTGAGTTAGCTCAGAACCTGTTTGGATGAAGCCAACAGAAACACAAACAAGCATTTCTTCTACAGTAAACTGCTGTTGCTAATAAACCATGCTAGCGAGTATTCAACTGTCTAAAATAAATCTAACTCAAAAGAACTAATCTTGGCTGGGTATGGTGGCTCACACCTGTAATCCCAGAAATCTGAAAGGCTGAGGCGGGTGGATAGCTTAAGCTCAGGAGTTCAAGATCAGCCTGGGCAACATGGCGAAACCCCGTCTCTACAAAAAATACAAAAATTAGCCAGGCATGTTGGTGCACATCTATGGTCCCAGCTACCTGGGAGGCTGAAATGGGAGGATTGCTGGAGCCCAGGAAGTCGAGGCTGCAGTGAATTGTGATCACACCACTGCACTCCAGTCTGGGTGACAGAAGGAGACCTTGTCTCGAAAAAAAGAATTAATATTTGCAAACAGAATTTAAACGAAAAAACAAACTTAACTGTGGATACTCCAAGACATTCGTTCACTCATAAAATCAAATCTCTGAATCATTTCCAAATGTTTCTTTAATCTCCAGATACCGCAACATATAAATCTGCTGAGCCACCTCAAATATCTACCTAAAGAATAAAGGTTTGCCACCAAATACAAAGTTCCATTTCCTATGAGCTTATAATGCACTCTAGAACTCTATAATTGTTTGTAATCTAAGCAGTATGACAAATGGCTCTCTAATAATTTTTAATCCAAGTAAGATAATGAAAATTTGTAATAATTAGTGCACTATGAGTACTCCCCAAAACTTCCAGATAGATTTTTCAATTCTAGAGTAACTCTGTAAGAATTTCAGCTTCCACATACTAACAACAGGCTACATAAAACAGCTTGGGCTTAGAGACGTCTGACTTCCACAGCCTATCTCCTTGAAATAAAGGAGAAGATGTGGAAATATTTCTCATTAGCCACATCAACCTTTACAGTAGAGGAAGCTATATGTGTCAATTCACAGGATGTACTCTGCTGGAAAAGCATTTGTGATCATTTAGTGTAAACAGCAGCATTTAGAAACTAAAAGTTCCTGTTCAGATGCAATTTCCTCTTTCCATCCATCCTTGAAAGTAGTCATCTTTAGAAGAACTACACTCTGAATTTTGAAGCAGATATTAACATAACTGTGGACAATAACTAGCAACCAGTAAACTATTTAATAGCCTCTGCAAATATGCCCCGCTTTACCAAATGACTCTTAACCAATGTTGATTCAATGCTAACTACTGCATAGTCTCCACTATGCAGGCAGAGAGGTCTCCACTATGCAGGCAGAGAGGTCTCCACTCTGCCTTGGCCAACATGAATCCAGTGAGGAAGAAAGCACTCAATATTCCTGTTCCTATGTCCTCTCCTGCAGGCTGCTGCCCACCTCCTGCCACCCCTACAGAAGGACAAGCAGACGTTTCAAGCCCAAAGGCTCCTAACAATCTCAGCACAAGCACATAACCATGACATTCAGGAAAAATAAAAAAATGAGGGAAACAACCTAGGACTATTTTTTTAATGTAATTTTTAAAAACAGAGATAGAGTCTCACTATGTTGCCCAGGCTGGTCTCAAACTCTTGGCCTCTAGTGATCCTCCCACCTCAGCCTCCTCAGTACTGAGGACTACAGTTGCAAATCACCACACCTGGCCCCCAATACATTTAAAAAGAAGAATGCCTTGGCTGGCAGGCAGACCATACCACTTTCTCCTGAGGTCGGGGATGGTGGTGGAGTGGCAGCAGTAACACTGTGTTTGTCCCAGACAGTCTCCAAGATACCTACCAAGAAAGGAGAAACAGAGTTATAAGAGAAATAATGTCCAGCATATAAAAATCATATTTAGAGAAAGTTTCTTGATACCTCTGATCAAACATGAGTACTTGAACATCCCTTTCTTGACCATGTCCTCCTCCAGCTAGCGGCTGTGCCTCTCGACTTCACAGCTATCTTCTGGCTCTCCACTGCTTCACTGTGGCCTTGTGGTGTGGCCTCTCCCCACTGTTGCCTCCAGCACTGCTCTTTGCCAGAGTCACCTGGTTGCTGCATGCACTCACTGGTCACTTAATCCCCATCCTCCTTGACCACACTGTGGCATTACAGGCCATTGCCTAAACCCTTCTCTGAGCTGGTAGCACCACTCTTTCCTGGCTTTTCTCTGGTTTCTTTGAACTCAATTCTATCCCTTTCACTATTACTTCCATCCTCTGCCCATGAGTCATTTAAACACACGTTTCCCCAGGTTCCCTGACTGACCTGCTTCTCCTCTCATTTCACTCTCACTGCTAGAGTGACTCATCCACTGCTATGGCTTCAATATATTCTGAAGCCTCTCAAGTCTCCTGTTCTTGGCCCAAACTCACCTTGACTATATACACCAAGCTCTGCCTCACACGATGGGGGCTTCAGAAACAAGGCAAGGCAGTAACAGACCTGCATGTCCACCTGCTTCCTGGACAATGCTACGTGCATATCCCAAACTCAACTTTTCGTTCCCCACAAACCTGCCACCAATCCTTTTTCGTTCCTCATGCAGGAAACAGGCTGGAAATCCTGGCTTCTGCTGACCTCATCTAGCCTCACCTGACCCAGGCTTCAGCTCACCCGACAGACGCGGCCTTGCTATGCTCAACTGTCTGCTGTTCCTTCTACATGTGTCCCTCTCAACCTCTGACCTGCTCTCCTCCTCCCAATTTCAACATCACCTTTCCACCAGACTAAATGCCACCTGTCTGTCGCTCAAAATTCCATTCAGCTGTCACCTCCTTCAGGAATTCCTGCACATAAAACATACCTCTATTTAGCTCTTAAAACATCTTTAACTGTTTACTTGTGTCTCCCCACTCAAGTGTAAATTACCTGAGGGTGGGAACTGTGTTTTCTTCCTCTTTGTACCCGTACAGAACCCGGAACATAAGGTGATCACAAAGGCTTTTGAAAATATCTTATTCTCAAATTTTTCATATTAAAACCTGAATAAATCTTGAAAGCATTATGTTAAGTGAAAAAGCCAGACACAAAAGATCACATATTGTATGCTTCCATTTTTATGAGAATTCCAAAAAAGGCAAATCCATAGAGACAGACTAAGTAGATTAGTGAATGCCAGGGATTGGGGGAGAGGAGAATGGGGCGGGGTGGGGGAGGGTACTGCTAATGGGTATGATGCTTCTTTTTATAGTGATGACAATGTTCTGGAATTAGATAGCGGTGAAGGTTGCACAACCTCAAGAATATACTAAAAGCCGGTCAATATTGCACTTTAAAATGGTGAGTTTTATCTCAATTTTTAAAATATTTAATATACTGCTGGGCACTGTAGGACACAGAGGTATAAAACATGGTCCCTAACATTAGAAATTTAACATTTAGTTGGGGTGTCAAAAAATGTGCTTTGAGACCAGGCACAGTGGCTCATGCCTGTAACTTCAGCACTTTGGGAGGCTAAGGCAGGAGGATCACTTGAGCCTAAGAGTTAGAGACTAGCCTGGGCAATACAGGGACTCTATGTCTAGTAAAAATACAAAAATTAGCCAGGCGTGGTGCCGCATGCCTGTAGTCCCAGCTTCTGGGGAGGCTGAGGTGGAAGGATCGCTTAGGCCCCAAAATCTGAGGCTGCAGTAAGCTATGTTCACATCACCGCACTCCAGCCTGAGCAACAAAGAGACATCCTGTCTCAAAAAAAGGAAAAAAGAAAAAAAAAGTGCTTTGAATGAATAAATACTCTGAAGGTTTAGGTTTACCCCTGGGGCTTTAGGGAAGGATGGGGGGACAAATGCCAAGTTCTTTTTCTTTTTCTTTTTTTTTTTTTTAAAGAGACAGGGTCTCACTCTGTCACCCAGGCTGGAGTGCAGTGGTACGATCATAGGTCACTGCAGCCTCAAACTCCTGAGCTCAAGCAATTCTCCTTCTTTAGCCTCCTGAGTAGCTGGGACTACAGGCATGCATCATCACACCCAGCTAACTTTTTTGTTTTGTTTTTTTTTTTTTCCAGAAATGGGGGTCTCAATATGTTGCCTAGTCTGGTCTCAAACTCCTGGGCTCAAGTGATCCTCCCACCTCAGCCTCCCAAAGCACTGGGATTACAGGTGTGAGCCATTGCACTAACCCAAGTTTACTTTAAATCAATGGTTCTTTCAGCCAACTTTAAGTGCCCACCACATGCCAAGCACTAAACTGGAGATATAAAGAAAGTTCCTAGACATCCAAGAAGAAGCCTGGATAAAGGAGTTAGAGATAAAAACTTCTTTTCACTACAAGATTCCCTCAAGTAGCAAGCCCAGGCTCCCGGCACCCTCAGGGCCTCACGGCCAGGCATTGCATACATGTCTCCCTAGCAAACAGGTATCACAGCAGCACACAGCAGCCACCCCAGTCACCCAGGGCACTCCCCTCTCCTCCTACCTTCCTGTCTCATGTTGTGGTTTGCTTTCTGTTTATTCTTACCCTTTACACCTTGTCATGAGGCTCTCATCAAACAGAAAAGACAAAATGCTACATACAACTACAACCTAGTGCACAAGGGGCTGGCTCCACACCATGTCTCACTTCCTTACCCAGAACGGGAAATTTTCATATCCTCCTACTCCAACTTCTCCTGATCTTCAATTCAAATTATTTTAAATAGAGTGCTTGCCACCCACCTAACTTACCATGCAGTGATCGGCACTGTAGGTATACTCCTATGACCTGGACTCTACCTCACTGATCACAGTTACAGTGAAGACCACTTCGTGAAAGACTACGAGGAAAATAAGGTACAAATCTATTTTGTAGTCCTACTGTGTGCTAGACCCTGGGCTATAGGTGTTGGGAACGCAGCTTCCCATTTTCATGCTATCTCAGAAACAGCGCAAACAACTGCTCAAAGCTGCTGAGTGCCAAGGCCTGAACTCTGGGTGCCTGCGGGCAGGCCTCTATCTCTGGGCACTACCATACTGCTCACCTGTCAGTAGCCCAAGCACTGTCTGCACCTGGTCCAGTAGCAGCTTCCGCAACTCCTCCTTCCGAGCCACACTGAGGTCCTCACGGGGACAAGCCAGCTCTTCTGAAGTTGTCTTCAACATGATCAGCCCAAGGGGGGTTGTCACAGGGGACTGGATCAACTGCCAGGAAAAAGCATGTTCTGAGCAGAGTGTTGGACTAATAAAGTACAAAGAGGACTCAGTAGCATTAAAGCTATGAAGCATCTGTGTGTGTTTAATCTTACATGAACATAAATCAACACTTCAGAAACATCACTTAGAGGCCAGCTCCAATGGCTCACGCCTGTAATCCCAGCACTTTGGGTGGCTGAGACGGGCGGATCACCTGAGGTCGGGAGTTAGAGACCAGCCTGACCAACATGGAGAAATCCCGTCTCTACTAAAAATACAAAATTAGCCGGGTGTGGTGGTGCATGCCTACAATCCCAGCTACTTGGGAGGCTGAGGCAGGAGAATCGTTTGAACCCAGGAGGTGGAGGTTGTGGTGAGCCGAGATCGTGCCATTGCATTCCAGCCTGGGCACCGAGAGCAAAACTCTGTCTCAAAAAAAAAAAAAAAAAAGAAACATCACTTAGAGGATATTTAGGTAGCTCTTTTTAACCATTCAAAATACATTCTCATCATATTTTATGGACAAAATTCTAATACCATGAACTTAAAAACAGCTAGAAAACAATGGTCTTTTATACCTAACATGACAATTTTTATACATGTCCAGATTCCTAACACAGCCTTTGTTACTTTGTCTAGTAGCCAAGTTTTGTGTGTGTATGTATATAAATTATATCTGTATTAGTGATTAAGATGTGTAAATCAATTTGTGATGTCTTTTCAATATGCATGTTGTTAAATCAACTTTACACTTCTAAACTTTGCATGCTTCAGAAAAGTTCATGATTAAATATAGCAGAGCAACACCATACATACATGTCATTAAACTAAGATTAGTTAGGATTTTGCAAATACCCATGTAGCAAATTAAGTTGCTGTTTCTATCACGTGTAATAGTCTCTCTACCATAAGAAAGTTTAACTAAACAAGACAAAAAAAGTACGCCTTCAACAGCAAAGCACTACTTACATCTTCCTAATCATTTTTACAAAATTCAAAGCATTACTATTACACTTATTTTTTAATTTCCAGAAATGATAAAAGTAAACAAGTTGCCACTAAAATTATCTGTTGAGTTAATTGCTACAATCTATAAAAGAGCAGACAATTTGAAAAGCACTTCAAGTTTTTCCTTAATCTTAACTTTAAATGTAGTTAATTCCCTGACACACTTTTTTTTTTTTTTTACTTAAGCTAAAAAAATATATAAACTTTAGGGAAGAGCAGAACACTCAGGAACTGCACCCATACAGACTTTATATTCTTCACTTCAAGAAATACAGGGTACGGGCTGGGCGTGGTGGCTCATGCCTGTAATCCCAGCACTTTATCACTTGAGGTCAGCAGTTCGAGACCAACCTGGCCAACATGGTGAAACTCCATCTCTACTAAAAATACAAAAATTAGCCGGGTGTGGTGGCAGGCGCCTATAGTCCCAGCTACTCAGGAGGCTGAGGCAGGAGGATCACTTGAACCCAGGAGGCAAAGGTTGCAGTGAGCCAAGATCACCCCACTGTATTCCAGCCTGGGCAAGAGAGCAAGACTCTGTCTCAAAAAAAAAAAAAAAAAAAAAGAAAAAGAAAGAAATACAGGGTACATTCCTTTCCCTTAGAAATAACTCTCCCTATCACAAAGCAAGGAAAAGCTCACCCCTAAAGAACAGGACAAGTACTCAATAATGGGAACTTAAGGTAAATTCAAGTGTCTTCAGAAGCAGCACTAGGTAACCAGCAGCAATGAATGATGTGTTTAAAATGCTCTCTATAAATTCAGGTCTCTTGAACACTAAAACTTTGTATATTCTCCACAATTTTTATCTTCGTTTTCTACAAATTGGGCCTATTTCTAACACTGACTTAAATTCAGATCATGCAGTGTAGGGAGGACAGGAAATTTCTCTTCACACAATGAAATAGAACTGATCCTTGGTAAGCATCTCTTTCCATTTGGAGACCTTTGGCTTATCAGTCTATATTCTAAAAGATTCCCATTACTTCCTCCTTTTCCTTTCTTTCTCCTCTACCTCTTTTGTCTCTATTTTCCCCTCCAGGCTGCATCCTTACTCTCTCAGCTGGAAATGACTCGTAATGCCAAATATCCCATTTGGCAATATACACCCTCCTATAAATATGAAATGCTGTGCTTCCCAGATATAAAAATCCCCTACGATATGGAAAATCTATCTGCAAGCTCTCCTTCCTCTCACCATTTAGGGGAAGGGGAGAAGGTCAGGCAAGAAGCCAGATGAAAAAAGAAAGCTATTCTTTACTTGAAAAAGAGCTTGATAAAATGTATAATTTTTCCTCTCATTAGCTTTGTACCCAGGAAGCTTTTGATTAAAATAGTGTCTCCCTTTACCATCTTCACATCTATAATTTAAGCCTGTAACATAGGTAATCTCTGCAATTTAACAGACAATAAGCTCCTGCAGGTTGAAGAACAAGTTCAGGTTTCTAGCGTGAACTTCTGAAAAGGTTCCATTGTTTTTATTACACGACCCAACAGAAGAAACAGCAATTCTCTCCTATGCTGCTTGCCCCTTAAGTCTCTAGCCCCACGTACAATGTGACCACAGGTTCTGCTCAACAGACTTCAGGAATTTGAAGAACAGGTTCTAGAACCATTAGTGTTATGTGTGTGCTGACGTATATGCAGGCAGGTGGGAAGGAAAGCGGTCGGTTTCAATTTCGATTACTTCTCCAGGAGCCTAGAAAGGGTATAACCAACCCACCGCACGTAAGGCTGGGTTACCAAATCAACCCCTCTCTATCTGGTTATGGTGGTCACCACAATTATAACAAAAACTGCATAGATACCACCCAACAAACTGTCACAGCGTTTAAAAAAAACAAAACCATGCACCCCAGACTGCAAACACAACATGAGCCAAAAAAAAACCCTTGAGATGATTTACTCAAAGGATCAAGTGATGGTGAAATGGATTCCAGAACCAGTTTGGCATTATTTACCAATACCTGAAGAAAATGTTTACAGTTAGCCCTCCATATCCATGAGTTCTGTATCCAAGGGTTCAAACAACCACAGATAGAACATAATCAGGAAAAAGAAGAAAAAATGGCTGCATCTGTAGTAAACATGTATAGTTTTTTCTTATCATTATTTCCTAAACAATACAGTATAACAACTATTTACAGAGCACTTACCTTCTATTAGGTATTAGAAGTAATCCAGAGATGGTCTAACCTACACAAAAGGATGTGCATAGGTTACGTGCAAACTATGCCTTTTTATATCAGGGACTTCGACATCCATGAATTGTGATATCCAAGGAGGTCCTGGAACCAATCCCCCACGGATACAGAGGGATAACTCCACTATATTATCAGAAATGTCAGCAATTGGGCACTGATCATTGAGTACTGATCATTCTTGACAAGGCTTATATGCCATTGTCTAGTTCACAAGAATAAATAAGAAGCAGGACATAACACAACTGGAAAGGATTTCAAAGATCACTTAGTCCAACCCTCTCATTTTACAAAGAAAGAAAGGGAAGCTTACCTAAGTGGCAGGAGGTGCTAAAATCAAAGGGGACTTTAGGCTAGGGGCAGTAGCTCACGCCTATAATCCTAGCACTTTGAGAGGCCATGGCAGGAAAATCACTTGAGGCCAAGAAGTCAAGACCAGCCTAGGCAACATAGTGAGACTCTATCTCTATTTATTAAAATAAAAGAAAAGAAAAAGAAGACTTTACACAAAGTTGGGTGCAGAACCCAAACCTGCTGCCTCACAGTCTGGCTCCTTCTACTACATGGTGTTTCAAAGTCACGAAAGCTACATGAGGTTAAAGGAGTCAATACTGAAGGGGTTGAAAGCGGGAGGTGGTGGAGAACAGTGGACAATTAGCCTTTTTAAACCTCCAGAAGCCCTTCACCTAAAAGTGCTCTCTTCCAAATCCATCTTTTGTTACAAATAATTATACTTCAAATGTAGCCAGGAAACGTTCTGTTCTTCATCAAAGGGACCAATCCCAGCGGTGGAACTGTGGCTCCACCTTACCTGCTATCATCAGGCCTGTGACTCTCCGTCTCAAGGTCCCTCTCTTCTTGTCACAGGACGCACCACTAACCAACCCAGGAATAGGTTCACTTAGACTCCCAACCCTCTTGGTCTTTCCTGTCTCCAGTGGGCTTCCCTGACGCCCACTTAAGAGAGCCTTGGAGAGGGTTACCATAACCGTCCTCAACTTGGATTGAAGGCAAGTGTATTGGACAGAACGCCAGGGAAGTGTCTCCCACCTCGTGTCCCCCCAGTCCAGGCCTACTGGCCTGCTTGCCATTCCTCAGGTCCTGTGCACTTCCTATTCTCTCTGCCCAAAATACTGTTCCCCTAGATACCCACGTGGTGCACGCCATCACCCCCACTCAGGTTTCTGCTCAAATGTCTGTCCCCAGAAAAGCCTTCTACGAGCATCCCATCTAAACACAACCCCCGCTAGTTTCTTTCCCCTTCCCTGGATTGAGTTCTCATCATACTTATAAATACCTCCAAGTGTGTACCTGTTTATTGTTCGTTGATGCCCTCATCCCCGCCCTGAGATCATAAATTCCAGGAAGGCAGGGACTTGGTCTTTGTTCATTACTATATCCCCTCATGTGCTTAGTGTTCAACAAATAGTTTACTTGAATAAAGGCATGAATCTCCTTTGCAGTAACAACCCAATAAATCTCTAGATAAATGAAGCACTGTACAAAACAAAACTAAATGAAGAATTTTTGTGCCCCTTTGAGAGACAATCTGAGAGAAGCACTTTGGATGCTGAATTCTTTTTGAATTGCTGCATCATTAAAATGGTTTGTATGAAGAGCAGGCAGAACATTAGAAAATGATATTGTTCTGGAAAATCCTACAGTCACTGAGACTATAAACAATTTTCAAAGAACTTTATTTCTATAAACTGTATATAATACCCACTTCCTGCATACCCAAGACTAGCTCAATACATGAAAATGTTTCCAACTTGATCACAGGATTCAAATGAGCAACAGCATCTCCCTCGTAGCTTTTAGGTCCCAGTTACTCCCTTCTGACTTCCAAATCCTGATCCCAGATCCACACTTCCTAATGTCTCATTAGTTATTACAAAGAAGGAACACACAAATTTTAAATGCATTTTCTATCAAACTGAATTCACCATCTTCTGCCCAAATTCATTCCCCTTCTTTCAACCCTGGCCTGAAAAATCTATCTGAGCCAGAAAACTGGAAGTCATTCTAGATTCCTCCCTTCTCTCCCCTCTCACCTATTGTCACTGGCCTCCTGCCCCCATCCCCTGGGTGCCTCACCTCCACCCACCAGGTCGTCTCCTTTTGGCTCAGATCCTCTACACCCTGCCTCTTTCCCTCTCACCTCGCCCCTCTGCAATCCAGACCCCAGCTAGCCATCATTCCACCATAAACATGTAGCCATGTTTTCTCCCTCCCCAAAACTTTTCATTAGCTCCCTAGGAAAAACTACGAATTGCACAATGGAACCCCCCAACCCTTCCTGGCCTGGCCTCTGCCCATCAATCTAGCCCCTTACTCTGCCACTTCACCATCTCACATCTCAGCCCAACAACACCAAGTCTACATGCTATGCCACCATAGCACTCTGCATATACTTCCACAATAATTACCATATTGTTGAGTAATCACTGTTTGCACAGCTATTTCCCCCACTAAACGCCGAAACTACTGAAAGCCTCACCCTTGTACCCCCAACACCTAGTACAGCACCTAACAGGCTTTCAAATACTGGCTGAACAAACTGCACAAGAGGTTAAAAAGAGATTAAGTTTTTCTCCCCCACTTTCTCCACCTCACAAAGATACAATATGTCTTATAAATATAAAGTGAATGCGATAATCAGTCCTACAATAACCTCACTACTGCAGTTCCAAACTGCTAATCTTAAAAGTCCTCTTCAGGACAAGGAAATAATCACTTCAACAAACAAACTATTCACAAGATAAAGTTTCCTTAGGCATATCCTTACCTGTAAAATGTTAGTAAAAAAGTCGTGGTAGAACATGGGCCAATCCTGACGTCCAATATCAACAATAACTTTGCAGAGCTTGTTCCGGATAAAGTAAGGTAAGGTTTTATGGTGAGCCAAAAGGAGTTTGGGCAGACAGCTACGGATTTCCATCTTATCCTGAGATGGGACCCCAAGCCACATTTTATTGATCAGATTCTGAAAAACAAATATACATCTTTTAAGTTAACAACCTATACACAAAAATAACTGCTTTTCATCCCACAGGTAGCTATTATCACTTCAATAAACAAGAATCCCTCTTTAAATAAAGGTTTGGGGCAATATGGCAATAAGAATAATAAAAGTATTCAAATCTTAGGACACAACAGTCCCATTCCTAGGAAGAACTGCCAAATAACAGAAACAAAAAGCTGTATGTGCAAAAACTTTTTTACACCACTGTCTCTAATGGCCACCAAAATATAATGACAGAAGCAACTTCAATGTTCAAAAACAGGAGCATGCCTTGGTGAATAATGTCATAACCACATGTGGGGATATAAAATAAAGTGGGGAAAAGTAGAATACAAAATAGCATGGGCAATATGATTACAATTAGATTTTTTTTTTTTTTTTGAGACGGAGTCTCGCTCTGTCGCCCAGGCTGGAGTGCAGTGGTGCAATCTCAGCTCACTGCAAGCTCCGCCTCCCGGGTTCATGCCATTCTCCTACCACAGCCTCCAGAGTAGCTGGGACTACAGGCACCCGCCACCACGCCCGGCTAATTTTTTTTTTTTTTTTTGCATTTTTAGTAGAGACGGGGTTTCACCTTATTAGCCAGGATGGTCTCCATCTCCTGACCTCATTGATCCACCCGCCTCGGCCTCCCAAAGTGCTGGGATTACAGGCATGAGCCACTGCGCCCGGCCTACAGTTAGGCTTTTTAAAGGGGGGCACAGAAGACAAGGATTGGAAGAGAGGTGATAAATAAAACTTTTTGTTGTTGGGGATGATGGTATTATGGTTATTATTTCTCCTCCTAAAATGTTTTTATTTAATTATCTTTCCTTTATCAATGATAACAGGCAGGGAATAGTTACATGTTACCACAAATGACCTACCTACTTAACCCTAAAGTCAACCATCCATCTTACCTTTCTAGTGTGGAAGATGGAAGATGCCCCAAACACCAGACAACTACATAAAGACAGTATGTGGGACGACATCCCAGAGCTGAGCTACCCTCTCCCAGCACATTACAGCTCTAGTCTAGTGCTAATGATATGGCAATAGAACTACAAAATCCTTTTCAGAAGAGTATAAAATTACTGACAACTTACCTCAAAAACTGTTAAACTGTACATCATTACATAGTCATTCCTAGTGCTGGAGAGAAAGTACAGGCAGAATCTCCAGGCTCCTATTTGCTGGGCAAAGTTATTAAGAAGCTCCTCTGGAAAAGTTAAATGGCAACAAAAGAAAGCTATGAAAATACATGAAATTAGACAAGACTGGGCTATCTTATTATTATTTAAACATGTCTCTCTGCATATAATGTAAATGATGTCAAAACCAGCGGATTCTTTAAGATAGAAAGAATAAATCATACAATATTTTTCTGCGTCTGAGGTGACCATGGACACTGACAATGTTTTCAGCCACCTAAAAGCCAATAACCTCGCTATGGATATTTCTCTAGGCAGAGAAACTTTCACTGCTAAAGTTCTTATTTAAGCTAATGTGTGGCTGGAATGTTCTAAGAGTACCCTTCCATCTTCTTAAAACTGCTAGCTAACTTACTTCGTCTGAATATGAGCTACATTCTAGGGCCTCGCCATTCCTCTACAAATCTTCAGTGGAGCCTACATTGTTCACACACACAAAATGACGGCTAGAAAGGCAGAAAAAGAAAAGATTAAGACTAATTCTACAAAGATAGGAAAGGAAAAAAATGCAAGAGAATTCAAAACGGCTAACTCTTCATTTGGGTTGGTTTTATTTTAAAACACTGCCACCAAAAAAGTGAATCGACCGGTGGCAAGAGCAACGATGACGAGTGTTGCGGCGAGTAGCCCTGTCCACACATCACGTTGGTTAGAAACGGTTTTCCTCCTCCTGAGGCTGCTGATGGCATCAGCCAGAACCCACAAGGCAGCAAGCATTACGGGGCTACCATCATGTTTCTGGACATGCTGTCCCTTAGTCACCTTGACCTGCTGCACTGGTCATGAAATATAATCCAAAAAGGGTAAAAGTGCAAAGGCCCACAACCTTGAGAGATTCTAGAAAGCCTTTGGAAAAGCAGAACACACAGCAGCTTCTTCTAATCCTCAAGTCATTGCTCTGCTAGTTCCCTACAACTTAAGCTAAATGCAACGACGCAGTCTCATTAAAAAATCCATGGAAAGGCCAGGCACAGTGGCTCACATCTGTAATCCCAGCACTTTGAGAAGCTGAGGCAGGAGGACTGCTTGAGGCCAGGAGTTGAAAGACCAGCCTGGGCAACACTGAGACCCTGTCTCTACAAAACAATGAAAAACTTAACTAGATATGGTGGTAAGTGCCTGTAGTCCTAGTTAATCAAGAGGCTGAGGCAGGAGGAGACCTTGCTCTGTTGCCCAGGCTGGTCTTTAACTCCTGGCCTCAAGTGATCCTCCTGTCTCAGCCACCTGAATAGCTAGGATTATAAGCATGAGACACCACGCACAGATGGCTATTTAAAGAAAAAAAAAAACTCGACAACTTAGGAGAGTGTCAAAATGAACATGCTTTGGTGTGCCTGAAGCTTTAGCCCAGGAGGCCGAGGTTGCAATGAGCTATGATCACGCCACTACACCCAGCCTGAGTGATAGAGCAAAATCCTATCTCTTAAAACAAAACAAAACAAAAAAAAAAAAACAAAAAAAGGCCGGGCCCATTGGCTCATGCCCGTTAATCCCAGCACTTTCGGAGGCCAAGGCGGGTGTATCACGAGGTCAAGAGATCGAGACTATCCTGGCCAACATGGCGAAACCCCGTCACTACTAAAAATACAAAAATTAGCTGGGCGTAGTGGCAAGTGCCTCTAGTCCCAGCTACTTGGGAGGCTGAGGCAGGAGAATCGCTTGAACCCGGGAGGCAGAGCTTGCAGTGAGCCAAGATTGCGCCACTGCACTCCAGCCTGGCGACAGAGTGAGGCACCATTTCAAAAAAAAAAAAAATCCAAGCCTTTTAATTTTAGATCATTTCAAAGAGGGCTCGTGGGGCTATGAAACCATGAGCTCTTAATGCTATGACCAAAGACTGAAGTTCTCTATAGGACGCCATAGCACTCAATGGTGCTGTTTTCCTGAGGAGACATAAGAAAAGGGGGGAAACATATTTTTGTAGAGATGGAGTCTTGCTATATTACCCAGACTGGTCTCAAACCCCTGGGCTCAAGTGATCCACCCGCCTTGACCTCCCAAAGTGCTGAGATTACAGGCATGGGCCACCATGCCTAGTCAAAAACATTATTTTAATAAAAATAAAAGTTAATTACAAATCCATAAAAGGAAGCTAACAGCCTGCCCTAATAATTAAGCAAAGGTTTCTGTGAATCCCCAAAGTGAAGTCAAACCAGACTGGAACTGAGGAACTCTGGGCTCTGTTCTAGACTCTGAGTCTGACCCCAGGTGAGTCACTGCTCCCCCTTGATGCTTCTGTTTCCTCCACTCTACAATGACCACATGGTCTCGAGGTCCCTGCTAACAGCTCTATCAATTTCTAGAGCACTAGTGATTTACCTTTGCTGGAGGGTGGGTGGAGCCCTTTGAAGAAAAGGCTTCCTTCCTTTCTCTGACCAAACTAGGAAAAGCCTAGAGTTTATCCCAAGACCATAGAAAAGAAGCAATAAGTAGTCCAAGTCCACACACTCAAATAAAGCTACAATGACTAGGTACAAAGAGAACTGAACTAAGACAAGCCTACTGTATAGAAACAAACCCCTGGATTCCCCTCAGCCTGCACTCAAATTTGGCATCTGGAGCATTTGGCTACTTAAATCTCTTTTAAGATCAGATTAGAATATGAACATGTTCAGAAGGTTCTACGTTTAATTCATGAAATAGAAGGTGAGAAATATTTGATTTACAAACCAAAAATTAAAAGAATCAAAAGCATTTCAATTATAATCTAAAACAAGACTTCAAAGAATACAGTAGAGTGTCAGAATATCGAAGACTAATGGCCAGGCACGGTGGCTCACACCTGTAATCCCAGCACTTTGGGAGGCCGAGGTGGGCAGATCTCTTGAGGTCAGTTCAAGACCCACCTGGCTAATACGGTGAAACCCCGTCTCTACTAAAAATACAAAAAATTAGCCGGGGGTGGTGGTGGGCACCTGTAATCCCAGCAACTCGGGAGGCTGAGACAGGAGAATCGCTTGAACCCAGGAGGCGGAGGTTGCAGTGAGCCGAGATCGCCCCATGAACTCCAGCCTGGGCAACAGAATGAGACGCCGTCTCAAAAACAAAACAAAAAAATTTTTTTTTGAGACAGGATCTTACATTGCCCAGGCAGTGGGAAGCCCCCAAAAGTAATACCAGTTATGGGATTTCTGGGCACTATTAGGTTCAGATCAGACGTCTGCACAGCAAAACATGTTCATTTTGACACTTTCCTGAGTTGTTACTGTTTCTCTTTAAATAACCATCCAGGTGCAGTGGCTCCCGCTTATAATCCCAGCTATTCAGGAGGCTGAGATGGAAGGATCACTTGAGGCCAGGAGTTCAAGACCAGCCTGGGCAACATAGCAAGACCCTGTCCCACCCCACCCTAGACGCCCCCACCAAAAAGTCGCAGGCTTCTTATATGAAAGTTCAACAACATTGCTGAAATTAAGATCCACAGTGATGGATTTTCTTTCCTTTGGTCAAGTGGAGGGGTTTCCCCAGCCACCAGCCAACAGAACCAGAGCGAAAAGAGCAAGAATTCAAGTGGAAAGCACGCAGACTTGACCAGTCACGGCTACGAACAACTCCTTCCTCCCTACCAGGGCCTCCTCATTATAAATTCCTCTTTACAAGTCAATGCTCCACTTACCTATCTCACGTTTTCTTTCATTGGTTGTACAATCGTGAAAAAATTCTGTCATCAGACTTTCCAATGCCCTGAGAGAGGCTTCTTCAGATGCCTAACAAAGGAATTTGAAAAAAAATCAATAAGCTGCATCTTCAGTTCCACTGTTCCTCAGTTCCTTCTAGGTCACATTCAACAGCAAGAGCAATTTACTTCCTCAAAATCTTGGTTCAACATTCTTCAAATGCATGGTATATGCCAGAAAAAACTGAAGGGAATTTCCCAGCTGGCTCAAAACCCAACGTTGTTGTTGCATCCTCTATAAATTCATGCTACTGTGCAGCTGATTTTCAATTATGTATGCTAAGAAAAGGGGAAATTCAAAATTCAACTCTGGAATAATGATTGAAAGCAAATTAGCCCCTGGCCCTTCCTGAATGGGCAGAGCAGAGAGATTCAAGAAGGCCAGAACTCCTCATAGACTATTCATCCCTGATACATTTCCCCTGTGTCTGAATAATTTGTCATATTTTGATTCACAGCACTTATATCAAACAGCTTCATGGATTCTCAGGGGTTTGGGGGGTAACCAGGGAGAGTGGTTTTTTTTTTTTTAAGAGACAGGGTCTCTGTTTGCCCAGGCTGGAGTATAGTGGTGCAATCATAGCTCACTGCAGCCTTGAATTCCTGGGCTCAAGCGATCTTCCCATCCCAGCCACCCAAAGCAATGGGACTACAAGTGTGAGTCATTCACTGCAACTGGCCATGGATTCTTGGAGGTTTTTGAAGGCATTCCAGGAGTCATACAGTCAATTCTCAATCTCACGTGAGCAGCCAACAGAGATTAAAGTGCAGCTGAGAGCCAAGCTAACTAGGGATTCAAAATTAGCTCCTGTAAACCACAGGCCCACAGTGAGAGCCAGACTCTCAGCAGAACTGCTCAGGTTGGAAATGAGAGGAGAGGCAGCTCAAGGCCCCCAGTACCCATCCCCTCCCTTTGGGGTTCATATGGAGCCCCAAAACCCACTTCCTTTATTCTTACTCAAGTAGGAGTCGCAGGAATGACCTTGAGTTAACACTCCTTCACACAACCTGCCTGCAAAAAGGTAACCATTCCCAAACCATTTTTGAGTCATCACTGGTATAATTCTACCCCAGACATAATCAAGAGCCAGCAGCAGTTGTGATTATTTAATTATCTCTTAACTTCTTTCTTCCCACCTATCTCCCTTCCCCATATCCTCTCCATCAACCATGGACTGAGACCTGACTATAAAAACTGCATTTTAAAACAACAAGCCCACACTCAAATGTGTCACATGTCAAACTGTAGTATACCAGCGGCCTCCGTCGGGTGATTGACTTTGTGAAGACTGAGGAACAAATTTTCATCTCTGAGGAAAAACCAGCACTTCTCAGTACCAATTACAGAGGCTGAATCAGACTTGATTCATAAGCGTGTGCACACCAACCAACACACACAAGTGCACTCACTACACAGAACACAGGGCCACGTTCCTCCCACACTGAGGTCACAGAATGATGGCTCTGCAATGACACCTGAACTGCGACACACTGAATGATGAATTATTGTACAATACTTTGAGCGCTTGTGAGTGAGAGAGACTTTCTTCCCTGAACTTTGTATTTAGGATAAAGATTAGCCTAGCCCCCTACTCCTCTTTCAGACTTCCATATCGGTTTAACTAAAAAATATCCTTGGCTTGCAAGCCAAGCTGTTTTATTAAAAACTATCTATTTTTTCAAACCCAAAAATAAACTGAAAAGTGAAGCTAAAATAAGACTGCAATCTTCTAAAATGTTTCAAGTGTTTGTGTTGATCAAAACAGCCTCACTGTTCTCACTGACTTTATAAATAAATGCTATAAATGCAAACCTCTAAAATGAGTGTACATAATAAAAGAACGCCGTAGTCTGTTTCATAAATCGAGTCTGGTGTGCCATTTCATTTGAAAAAAGGATTTGCTATTTAAAATAAAAAGGCTGTGGGAAGATGCAGAAGAATCAAAAAAAATAGCACATGTTAAAATAAATCAATAGTTCTTCTGGAGCCAAAATGTGTTCCTGGAAACTAAGGACACATCTGCAAATCATATCTCTCCATAACTTCTTGTGTTGAATCATTTTAAAGTAGATCCTGCAGCAAACTTGAGCTTATCACATCCAGGCAATCAACCACCACCATTTATTTAGTACTAGATTCTTGAGGAAGAGATCTGAGAAATAAATGATTACTGGAAAGTTCCTGATAATCTCCAAAAAGAATCCAACTCTGCCACCATTCCCAGTCCCATCTACCCTTTACTCTCTGCCCCAACCCAAGAAGTTACAGTTCCTGCAGAAAGTGGAAGGACAAAAGTACTCCTAAGAATCCCAGATGGGCTGGCCCAAAGGTACTGAGTTATCTCACTGGACTGTTTGCAGTCAGTTACAGATCCAACTCCTTGTTCTACTCTTTCCCCCGTTCTCACTACTACACTTCACTAGTTTAAAAAAAAAAAAAAAAAAAAAACCCAGA